>NC_000005.10:149453659-149753976 GCF_000001405.40 Homo sapiens | reverse complement strand
CACGCCTGTAATCCCAGCACTTTGGGAGGCCGAGGTAGGCGGATCACCTGAGGTCAGGAGTTCGAGACCAGCCTGGCCAACATGGCAAAATCCCGTCTCTACTAAAAATACAAAAATTATCTGGGCGTGGTGGCAGGCACCTGTAATCCCAGCTACTCAGGAGGCTGAGGCAGGAGAATTGCTTGTTGTGGGGAGGCAAAGGTTGGAGTGAGCCGAGATCACACCACTGCACTCCAACCTGGGCGACAAAGCAAGACTCCGTCTCAGAAAAAATCTAACTAAATAAATAAATACACAACACCTTTTAACTGAGCAATTCCCCTCTGAGGCATTTATCCTATGCATACGGTCACATGTGTGCAAAACTTACTGCAAACTAGCAGCAGTAGTCAATTAGAAATAACCTATTTCTGTGTAAGAGGTAGGTTAAAAAAAATTTTTTTAACTAAAAATAAATAAATAAATAGGCCAGGCACAGTGGCTCATGCCTTTAGTAATCCCAGCATTTTGGGAGGCCGAGGTGGGAGGATCACTTGAGGTCAGGAGTTTGAGACCAGCATGGCCAACATGGTGAAACCCTGCCTCTACCAAAAATATAAAAAATTAGCTGGGTGTGGTGGCACATGCCTGTAATCACAGCTACTCAGGAGGCTGAGGCAGGAGAATCGCTTGAACCCGGGAGGCAGAGGTTGCTGTGAGCCGAGATCACGCCACTGCACTCCAGCCTGGGCAACAGAGCGAGACTCTGTCTCAACGAAATAAAATAAAATAAATAGCAATCACTTAAATGCCCAACTAGTTAAACAAACTATGATCAATCCAAACAGTGAAGCAGATCTCTACATATTGATACGAAATGATCTTTAAGAAATACTAAGTAGAAAAAAAGTTGCACAACAATGCCCTTAGTTTGCTACCATTTGTGCAAAAAACAAAAAATAAAAACCCAGGAGGCAGCAAGTTAGACCACATATATGCGATGTTTGTATGGTTTACCTCTGGAAGAACACATTAGAAATTAGTAGAGGGTTGCTCTGGGGATGGAAACACAAGAATGTGAGTGCAAGGGATGACTGCCATTTGTAACATGCATAATGTTTTTGTTTGTTTGTTTATGTTTTCATCTTGACTCCTGACTTCAAGTGATCAAGATGGAGTCTCACTCTGTCACCCAGGCTGGAGTGCAATGGTACGATCTTGGCTCACTGCAACCTCCGTCTCCCGGGTTCAAGCGATTCTCCTGCCTCAGCCACCCAAGTAGCTGGGATTACAGGCACCTGCCACCACGCCTGGCTAATTTTTGTATTTTTAGTGGAGACAGGGTTTCACCATGTTAGCCAGGCTGGTCTTGAACTCCTGACTTCAGGTGATCCACCCACCTCGGCCTCCCAAAGTGCTGGGATTACAGGCGTGAGCCGCCACGCCTGGCCTGTAACATAATCTTTTAAACCAGGGTCTGTGTTACATTTGCAAAATAAATACAAAAGCAAGTTCATTGTCTCTTTCACATTGAACCACAGTGTATGCTGAAACTAGTAGGAAAATGAGCTTGCCAGGCAGCTGGGTCTTCCTGGGGCTTGCTCTGCGTGAGCCCCACCAATCTCTTCCCCTTGGTTCTGCTCCGACTGCAGTCTGAATCACAAGGTGGATCAGTTAACACTTCAAACAGCCCGACTGAGTAATAGATTCTAAATCAGGAAGGCTGAGTTTAAATGCCTTCCCCACCAGCAAGGGTATTTATCTTGTTCTGTACATATTAACGGACATGTAGAGAGATGCGGTACATAGTATGTAGACTAAAAGCCAAACCTCGGGAGTGATTAAAGCCTGGGAAGTACTTGGAGGTGATCAGATATTGTCTAAACCTGGTATTATCTGAGTTAAAACAGGCAGCAATATCAGCAGCTGTGGTAGGCACATGCACAGGGAAGTAGCAACATAGCCTTACATCTGTTTATGACTCTACAATTGGCAATTTGCTTTCAGATCCATTATACATGCATTCTCACAGCAATGCAGGGATTGCTGTTCCCATTTTATAAAGGAGGAGATAGTTAAACTATGACTACCGTCTATGTTCTCCCCATCTCAAGGTCACAGGTAGGAATCCGCCCATAAAAGGAGGCTGAGAGGTGAGAAAAGTGTGCCCAAGGAGAGAAGCTTGGGGAGAAGTGAAACCTACAATGTTACCTTTATTTTCTTAAGCACTGCCTATGACTGGTTATTTCTGGGTGCTGGGATTAGTTTTCTTTTCTTTTTTTTTTTTTCTTTTGGACAGAGTCTTCCTCTGTCGCCCAGGCTGGAGTGCAGTGGTGCAATCCTGGCTCACTGCAACCTCCACCTCCCAGGTTCAGGCAATTCTCCTGCCTCAGCCTCCCAAGTAGCTGGGATTACAGGCGTGTGCCACCACACCTGGTTAATTTTTGTATTTTTAGTAGAGACGGGGTTTCACCATGTTGGCCAGGCTGGTCTTGAACTCCTGACCTCAGGTGATCCGCCCGCCTTGGCCTCCCAAAGTGCTGGGATTACAGGCATGAGCCAGCGTGCCCGGCCGGGATTAGTTTTCTTTACTTTCTCTTACCTATTTGTATGCTCTCACATTTCAATAAATTAATGCATATCATTTTTGCAACAAGAAAAAATACAATTTATATAATCATAGAAGATCAGCACCATAGAAAAGGTAAAAAAGTAAATAAATAAATAAAAAGAGATAATCCCATATTCAGTTGAAAGGCATTTAAAACCGCTAAACTGCTAAGTGGCAGGGTGGGGATAACCTTACTTTCTCTGACAAATTAGTCCCTAATACTGAAAATTTTTAAATATTAATTTTCAAAAAATCCATATTACATTTGCTAAACAAAACAACCAAAATATAAAAGTAAAAGGAATCTAAGATTATTTCTCCAAAATACTTTGGTATTAACGATAAATTACAGTGCAATTAAACAACTGTCTGTGTTATAGTAAAACATTTAAGTTTTGAATTTCATAATTATTAGCTTCTTTTTTACTCTTCAAAATTGCTTTTACATTAACTTTTTCTGTAAAGCTCAGAGCACAGCTATGGATGTACACAGATCCTGTCTTCCAGGCTGAAGCCTGGCCAGGCTGCCTGCACGGGCACCCATCGTGCGTACTTGGACCTGCCGGTCAGTCCCATGGTCACCTAATGCACCCGGCTGCAAAATCCAGCAGCTGGTGCGGGCCAGAGATAATCGGATGGCTTTGGTATTGAATTGCCCATTGGCCACATGGTACGTTAAATGTGGTTCACTCTTTTTCCACTTGATGTGAGCTTTCTTTAAATAATTACAGACCTCATGGTTGAGCCAGCAGCGGCTCTGTAAGCAGCTCTGTGTGAAAGACACCAGGGGCTGGGGCCCAAGAATGGCCATTCTGAACCTCAAAGAGCACCCACAGCCAAGTCTGCAGACCCCTGGGGTATCTGAGTATTCACTGACACCTTCCTTCCCCTATTAACATATATATATATATATATATATATATATATATATATTTTAACTAAAACAGAGAAGACAGCTAAAAGAAAGTTTGTTTTATAGATTTTAAAAAATGATTCAAGGTGGATAAAATAATGCTGTGGAAAAGGGGAAGAAATTATTGTAGATATCATCTGTCAGTAGAGGATTTTGAATGACTTGCTCCTTTAAAAAAAAAAAATCTGGCCTGAAGTTCCCAATTCTCACCCAATCTTTCCACCCCCATGAATGACTTATCCAATGTTCCGTGATTCACTGGGGAGGTTGGAAATCAGGGATTCTCTTGCCTGGAGTTCCTCCTCCACCTTCTCCTCCTTCCAAACCCACTCGTTTAAGGCACATGATCCCATGACAAATTTCTTCCAACTTACAGTTCAAAGAGAAGTCAGCATTGCACCTGTCACCAGGAAAGGGGCCATAACCTGGGGAGTTAAGAACCTACACTGACATTACCCACTGGGTGCAGGGAAAGTACATTAACCATCTGCGATGAGACTGTTTCCTAGCTCCATCTGTCCATCTGTCTCCAGGAACTAGTCTCCCTCTCTATCCAGTACCTGGTGGTTCAGCTCCAAGCAGAATTTACCAAAGCAAAACAGCCCCCATGATTCACAATCCCAGACTTGTGACACTTTAAAACAGCTCACGTTTAGAAAGATAATGAGTCACAGGATGGCAGAGATTAGGAAACTCAGGGCCAGAGAGGGGGCGAGACCTGTCCAAGGTCACACAGCAAAGAGGAACAGCCCAGGGCTCCCTCCAGACTCCAGGTACAATATTCTCACCATGACACTCTTCTTTCCAGCACAGATGCAAAAAACAAGATTTTCCTCTTCCCTAACTCTAAATTACATAGAGATCAATGGAGATTACAGTTTTCTGGGGGCGTTTCACAGTTGCAACTGTTGCAAAATCATACAATGGCGAGATGTGGCAATTCCGAAAAGACTGGAGATCATTGCTCCAAAAAGAATTCAAGATAAGGCAGGGAACTCAGACAGCAGTAGCGGAGGGGCTCCATTCAAAAAACATCTCTCTTCTCAACCAGGCAGATCTGAAGGGCCACAAGTCTCACATTCCCGTCCAGTTCCTACAACAGTGACCTCAGCGGGTAAGTCACTTCACATCCCTGGGCCTTGGGTTCTTCATCAGCAAAACAGAAATGAAAATCCTCACAAGGATGTGAACTGTGGATGTGAAAATGCTGTGTGAATTTCGCAGTGACACACTAACAGGTATAACGGTAAATAGGAGTAATAATCATTATGATGGCACTAAGTATCATCTGCATCATTAAATTTATTGAGGGCTGTACCTAGTGGTTCTGTGGTGCCTGGCCCCACCGATTCCTGCTGTATTGAGCCAGGGACTTGAGTCAGGACTACATATGAGAAGCTGTACCCCAGCCTTTGTGTCAATCCTTAACACAAATCCCTGCATGTCCCCCACTCACTCCTAGGGCCTGGGGAGGAGCGGTGCAGTCCACAGGGTGATACCATTCATCCCATGCTGCCTGTGAGGCCCAGGGAAGAACTAGTCACCCTCAAAGTCACTCTCCTTCTGAAACCTCCCCAAGGCCTTTCCCCTTCTGCAGAGCAGCCTCCAGCTAGTTTCTCGGACGAGAATCTTGGTGTTCCATCTTTGGATTCTTCCAGACATTTCGTTCATGCTGTCTGTTCCTCACCCCCATGGGGAGTCCTCCAGTCAGCTCAGAGCCTCCCCTCAAGCCTCTCACCTAGCCACTCATTGCTCAGTCATCAGCCACATGATATGCTAGCCATCACGACAGCCTGGTCCCTGGCTAGGAGGCCCCTCCCATCATGTTGGCCAGCTCCTGCTCATCCTTCAATACCCTTTCTGCTGCAAAAGTTGTCTTGACACTCTGCCCTGGGCACCTTCC
This sequence comes from Homo sapiens, assembly GCF_000001405.40. Lineage (NCBI taxonomy): Eukaryota > Metazoa > Chordata > Mammalia > Primates > Hominidae > Homo > Homo sapiens. Next base: position 149,748,570 of record NC_000005.10, on the reverse strand, counting down.
ATGGCCATCAGCAGATCTGTTCATCCAGGGCAGGGAGCAAGGCTTGCTCAAATCTGCAACTGGTTTCCCGTGCACAAGGAGTGACTGCTGCACGGCTTCCTCCACTAAACTGTCACCAAACCATCTGGTCACTGGTAATTGTCATTATTATTGATCATAACACCCAGACACACTGCACTAAGCTCTTCAGACATTGTACCTTCTCATCTTCTCAACTCAACTACCCACTGAGATATATATATATAGATATATCTATATCTATATCTATATCTATATCTATATCTCTTCACCCCATTTCACAGGTGAGGAAACTAAGGCCCAGGCAGAATAAGTACCATGCCCTAAGTCAGCAGCTAACTGACAGACCCTGGACTCAGGCTGACTCAGAGCTCTGTTCTTCACTGTTCTCGTGTGCCTCCCACTTGCCCTCAGACCCTGGGCTGTGCTCATCACCTGGAACCGGCTGGTACTGCCCCTCCTCTGGTTGTTTCACAACCATATCATTGAAAATCTTCTGGCAGGCCAGCTGAGCAAAGGAGGGCTTTCTTCTCCTCTTAGGGTGGATTCTAAACCTCCACCTCCCTCTCCTGCTTGGCTCCTCACCCACTCCTCAACCCCACCCTGCTCTCCCTGGAACCTGATTCACCAACCTGGGCCTGCTCTAGCCTCTCAGGAGATGGGCCTCTGGCAAAGCAGCTTCCACCCAAGACACCATCACTGTCCTCTAGTTTTGCCTGCTATGGTGCCTGCCCATGGTCCACCCCCACCCCACCAGGGAGGTGTGGATGCAGGCACAGTGGGAGGAGATTGCCACATTCCTGTTGGGGCTGGACCAGAAAGTACAAGCCAGGCTGCCACTCCTTCAGCCACTGGGACAAAGAGCAGTGCTGGAGTAGGCTGGAGGCCCCAGGCGCTGCTGGGCAGGTACCTGGTGTCCACACCCACAGGGCAGGGAGGAGCTGTTGCCCAACCCCAAGGAGAAAGTGGCATGAGGCCACTAGGGCACTGGGGCATGATATTTTGGGGCGGGGCCCTGGTCATGCCTGCCTGCTGGGCCCTGGGGACCTCTGTGTGGCTTGGTCAGCAAAGGAGCTATGTCCCCAAGCCCCACACTCACCCTCTGAGCATCAGGCTCACGTGAAGAATGGTGCTAAAAGTATTTTTCTCCTGACACTGTTAGGAGGGTTAGGTGAGCTCGGCAGCCTGTACAGCTTAAGGACTTAGCCAACTACTCACTCATTCAAGACACATTCAGTTATGCGAAGGAATGAAGTTGGACTCTTACCTTACACCATATATAAACATTAACTCCAAATGGATCAAAGATAAAAATGAAAGAGCTCAAACTCTAAAACTCTTAGAAAAAAACAAAGCAGGCAAAGGCTTCCTGACATTGGGTTTGAAAATGATTTCTTAGATATGACACCAAAAGCAGAGGCAACAAAAGAAAAAATAGACAAATTAGACTACGTGAAAATTATTTAATTTTGTGAATTAGAAGACACTATCAACAGAATAAAAAGGCAACACATAGAATGGGAGAAAATATTTGCAAATCATATCTGATGAGATTAGTATCTCAAATGTAAAGAGAACTAAATGTCAACAACAACAAAAAACAAACAACCCAATTTTAAAATACAGGCAAATGACTTGAAAAGACATTTATCTAAAGAAGATATGCAAATGGCCAGTAAACACATTAAAAAATGCTCAGTCATTAGGGAAATGCAAATCAAAACTACAATAAGATAACCACCTCACATCCATTAGGATGGCTACTATTTAAAGAAACAAACAGAAAACAGGAAGTGTTAGAGAGGATATGGAGAAATTGGGACCCTTGTGCACTGTTGGTAGGAATGTTAAATGGTACAGCCACCATGGAAAACAGTATGGTGGTTCCTCAAAACATTAACAATAGAACTACCATATAATCCAGCAATTCCACCTCTGGGCATATACCCAAATGGGTTGAAGTCAGGGTCTCCAAGAGATATTTGTGCACCCATGTTCATAGCACCATCATTCACAATAGCTAAAATGTGAAAGCAACCCAGGTATTCACTAACAAATGAATGGATAAGCAAAATGTGGCATATTCAGTGAAATATTATTCTACCTGAAAAAGGAAGGAAATCCTGACATTTGCCCCAATAGAGATGAGCCTTGATGACACTATGCTAAGTAAAATAGGCCAGCCACAAAAAGACAAATACTGTGATCCCACTTGTATGAGAAACCATGTCACAACCAAAATCATAGAGACAGAAAGTAGAATGGTGGTCATTTGAGGAGATGACACCTGACAGGACAGGAAGGAGGTGAGGAAGCAGCAAGCCATGGCAATGCCTGGGAAGAGCGTTGCCGGCAGAGGGAACAGCAAGTGCAAAGGCCTCACTACACTAGCTAGAAGACTAATTCTATTATCAGTGGAGCCACACCCTGACCACACTGTGGAAGCAGCACACAGAGCTGGGATGGCAGTGAATCAGGCATCAGAAATGGATTCTAGTCCTGTTGCTACCTCTAAGCTACTGCATGGTCTGGGACCATGACCAGCACCCCTCTGATCTTTAAGGGGCCTGATACATCAAACTGTCACTGGCCTCTGGGAGTCTGCAGGTGACTTGTGTTCTCTCAGGCTGCCTTCTTCCTCCTCTCTTCCAACCCATTCACTCATAAAGTAATCCTAATCCCCCCACCTCCTATGAGCTGACCCATAAGTGGGTGTGGGATTGAGGATCAAGGAGGACAAACACAGGGACCAAGACGAATATTTGAAAACTGATTACCGGCAGGATCCTACCAAGTCACTCTCTAGACCTCTATTTTCCCATCTGTAAAATGGGAATACTTCTTTTCCCTATGACATGAGATTGATGTGAAGATCAAATGGAAATGCCTGATAAAGAAGTTGCCCTGCTCTCCACGGGCATTATTATAAAGAGGCTTTCGATCTGTTCCCTGGTCATTCATCCTAAATGCTAGCCTGTACCCCACACTGAGGCAGGAAAGAGAGAGGGGAGGGAACTGGCAGAGTTCATGACAGACACTCTATGAATAGTACCTGATTTTTAGTACCAAAGCAGGGGTGTCATCAGAGGGAGCTTTTTAAAGACAGAGAAGCTTAAGGGCCTACTCTCAAAGATTCTCACTCTATAGGTCTGGGACAGCCCCAGATGTGTAATTATGACTTTTTTAAACTACAGAGTTGATTCTGATGTGCACTCATGGCTGAGAACCACTGATTAGTTCTACCAAGCCTGGCAGGTAAGTCCTATTATCATTCCCATTTGGGAGCTGGCTAACTAGAGCACAGAGCAGCTATCTAACTCCTTAGATCACACAACTAAAAAGTCACAAAGCTGGCCAGGCACAGTGGCTCCTGCCTGTAATCCTAGCACTTTGGGAGGCCGAGGCAATAGGATCGCTTGAGCCTAGGAGTTCGAGACCAGCCCGGGCAATATAGCAAGACCCTATCTCTAAAAAAAGTAAAAAATTATCCAGGTGTAGTGGCACATGCCTTTAGTCCTAGCTACTGGGGAAGCTGAGGTAGGAGGATCCCTTGAGCCCAAGAGGTCGAGACTGCAGTGAGCCTCCTTGATCGCACCAGCTTGGGCAACAGAGCAAGACCCTGTCTCAAAAAAAAAAAAAAAAAAGTCACAAAGCTAAAATTTGAACCAGACTCTAAAGCCCAAGCTCTTATGAATCACTAAGCGCAAGTGCCACTGTTTCTTGAGGCCAATCAGCACTTATCTAATGCCGAGCTACAAACTCTTTGTGCTACCTTAAGCAGCCTTGGAAACATAAAAGACAACACCTTATTTTCAGAGATTGCATTAACTTTCAAAGAAAGCTTTATGGCTAGACTAACTCATTCATCTGGCTTCATCAAGGAATTATGTATGCTAACAATATGCAAACTTTATAAATAACTTGGAATGCCAAAACTTTTGCCTGCTTTTGATAGACTTCCTATTTTTGATGGTAATACCAAAATGTACTTCACACTTTCTTGCTTTCTCGGAGAACACTGAACAGAATGTACCTTTCCTCAGACACGATACACTGTCTTCACCAATGAGCTTTGCGCTTTCACATAGTAATGTATTCAGGAACAAGACAGGTGTGCAGGACCCCTCAGCCCCCTCACTAATTGGCCCCAAGCTGGCTTCGGTGCTGCAGTCCACGTGTCTGCCTCTGGTAGATCCTCACCTCTCACCCCATGCCTACATAGGCACACACTAACAGAACCAATGTGCTGCTTCTCATATCATGAGGCCTTGCTTGACATGACTGCCAAGCTTGTAAGAACCATGTGCAAACTAAGAGTGAATTGGCCCTAGGCAGGAAAGGTGCCAGGTGCAACATATGAGGAGATTCTAAGCAAGGGAAGATCCACGCAGCCTGAAGTTCATTTTCTTGGGCTGGGCACTGTGGTCACTGGTCCCCAAGTCCTCTCTTGCCCCTTCACCTCCCTGGATTTCTCTTCCTTCCTCATGAGTGCAGGCAGCCTGCCTAGTCTCTCTGGAGTAAGTGGGTGGGTCATAGGCATGAGGCCTAGTGTAAAGTGCTGGTTTCAATCCCCCGGGAAGATGTGGGGACATCTGACCAGACACCTCCCTGCAGATACCAAGACTCTCAAAACTCTGAGCCCCTCCCCAGTTGAGGCAGAGCCATGCCCTGGAACAGACTGGATTCCTAGCAGTGGTTTATCATTCCACAAAGATCTGTGCACTGGAGGTGTATTCTGATAGTGGGTTCTGGAGGCTCCACAAAGTGTTTGCCTTTGATCCTTCGTGTGCAAGACTTATCTTGGTGACAAGGGCAGGTGACTCCTTGTGGGGACTGGTACAATGCTGCCACACTCACCTCACCCACACATCCTAGCACGTCTCCAGGCACAAAGAAGGACCTCTGGGCCAGGCAAACATCAGGCAAATGTTGTGAAAGATCGAACAGCATTTGTTCATCATTCAGTCATCCAACAACTATTTATTGGGGGCCTACAGTGTGCCAGGGACTGTTAAGTCACTGGGATTTGATGGAAAACCAGCTTGATGAGCTCCAGTCCCAACTGGGTAGAGAAGAGGGAATAGTAAAGAATAAATAGGGCCGGGCACGGTGGCTCACGCCTGGAATCTCAGCACTTTGGGAGGCCAAAGCAGGCAATCACCTGAGGTCACGAGTTCGAGACCAGCCTGGCCAATATGGAGAAATCCCATCTCCACTAAAAATACAAAAATTAGCCAGGCGTGGTGGTGGGCGTCTGTAATCCCAGCTACTCAGGAGGCTGAGGCAGGAGAATCAGTTGAACCCAGGAGGCAGAGGTTGCAGTGAGCCGAGATCACACCACTGCACTCCAGCCTGGGCGACAGAGCGAGAATCTGTCTCAAAAAAAAAAAAAAAAAAGAATAAACACATAAACAAAGGTTATAAAGGGCTGAGGCTACAGTTTACATTTAACCAGGCTCCAGGGAAGGCCAGAGTAAGGAACAGACCTGGCACACAGTGGGCCCTGAATAAATGGATGTTCTCCCCATATAAATCCTCTTCTGCACCCCCATCTTGGCTATGAGGGCACCACTCTGAGCCCCCTGCCCTCTTACCTATATCTAGTGATTTCCACTGAGCCCCACAGCTGAGGCAGGGTATGGGCCCCACCACCCACCCCAGCCACACCAAAGATGCCTCCTGTTACACCATTCCAGTCCTTCTATGTGCTTAGCCAAATTAGCCACCACTGCAATTGTTAGGACCATGTGCTCTGAAGTCAGACAAACCTAGGTTCAAATCCCAGCCTACTTCCTAGCTAGGTGATTTGGGGAAGTCACTGAAATTCTCCAAGTCTGTTTTCTCATTTGCCATACTGCCAACCTCACCGGTAGTTGATTAAACAAGGTAAAGCACCTAATGGCCCTAGCTTAGTACCTGGCACATACCAATAAGTCTCTAAGTGTTGGCTCTTTTATATTATTACTGTTATGAATAATAATAATAAAACTCTTTGCCAACTCCCCACTGCCTGCCAAGTCCAAACTCCTCAGCACAGTCAGAGCTCTCCTCCTTAGCCAGTCTGCCCTTCTGTTTTGTTTTGGGATGGCTGGAGGGCAGAAATAAACTCACCAGAGTGGCAGAGTATTGAGGGAAGGCAGGGAACAGAAAGTGTCTGTAGCAGACTGTGGGGATCGCAGAGCAAAAAGGGCCAGTTCTGAGAGGGGGAACTACAGGAGGCATCACTTGAGCTGAGCCTTGCAGTGTGCAGGTGCAGATGGGAGAGGGGCACAGGGAGGGGACAGACACTTCATGGCGGGGCCCCCATGGTTGCCTGGTATAGGGGAGGAGCTGCAGAACAGCACCAGCACCACAAACTCTGGGTTGGCCTAGGTCTACCCAACTGTAAAATGGGGATAGCAGTGGGACTGCCTCATGGGGTTCCTCTGAGATTAAATGTGATTACACATGTGAAGGATGTGGCACAGGGCCTGATCTCTTGAAGGGGATATAGCAGTTGTTGACTGTTATCACCACCACCACCATCATCATCATCATCACCATCCTTGAAGGACATGGTTGAAGATGACACCTGCCTGGGAACCTTTAACACCAGGGTTCATGTTAAGAATATTATGTGGCTATGCCAGGCGTGGTGGCTCACGCTTGTAATCCCAGCACTTTGGGAGGCCGAGAGGTTTGAATTACCTGAGGTCAGGAGTTCAAGACCAGCCTAGCCAACATGGTGAAACCCCATCTCTACTAAAAATACAAAAAAATTAGCCAGGCATGGTGGCAGACGCCTGTAATCCCAGCTACTCGGGAGGCTGAGGCAGGAGAATCACTTGAACATGGGAGGAGGGGGTTGCAGTGAGCTGAGATCGCGCCACTGCACTCCAGCCTGGGCAACAGGGTAAGACTCTGTCTCACGAAAAAAAAAAAAAAAAGAATATTTTGGGGCTGTGCTCTTGCAGTGGTGGGAACAGTATGGCATTGCCAAACACAGTATTTGACAAATAGATGGATAGTGAGCTACATGGACATTTGAGGCTTCAAATCCCATACCCAGTAGTCTGCTTCTGCAAAGGCAGGGTGGGTCTGCAGGTGTTTTGAGCAGGGGCTGCTGTGGCCTGGGACTGCTAGCAGCATAAAGGCCGGGTTGCCCTCAGTGCCAAGGATCCAGGGCAGGGCCCTCCCCAGTGTTCTGGGTACCACACTTCCTTGCAAAGAGCCTGAGACCAGAAATAAAGGCGCGAGCAGCCACGTTGCCAAGGCTGTTTGCCATGGCAACATCAGGGAGCGACTCGTGGGCCGGCTGCTGCAACTGCTCAGGGCCTGGTTGGTTTCTAACATCTCCTCGCATTCCCTCTGCTAAATGACTATGTTCTGCCAGGCAATCACAGGGAAAAAATACGGCTGCAGAGCTGTCGGGGAGCATCCATCTCTCAGCCAAGCAGGGCTCACCCGGCTGAGTTCCCAGACAGTGGGTCCCAGACAGTTGAGTCCCAGCTACTCAGAGCCAGCCCGGCCAAGCAGACAGCAGCCGAGGGCCCTGTCTTGCCTCTGCTGAGTGACCTGAAGGCATCCTCTGATCTGTTTCTAGTCTGTTTCCTTCCTTCAAGGTAAGGGCATTAAGCAAGATCGTCTCTAAGGCACTCCCAACTCCCAGAAAGCTCAAATTGACATTTGTGTGTTTTATATTTTTACATCATTGTCGTTGTCATCATCCTAGTGACCACCATTTATTGAGCGCTTACTATATGTCAGGTGAAGCTGCAAGCCTTAATTATCTGCAGCTATCTTAAGTTATCCTACAAAGAGCATACTATTATTATCCCCAATTTGGGGGATAATATATGAAGAAACTGAGGTCAGAGAAGTTAAGATACTTGCTCAAGGTCACATAGCTAGTAAGTGGTAGAGCACTGATTTAAACCATAGGCAGTTAAAACTCCAAAGCCTAGAGCTCTTAACCACTATTGGGTATTTCTTCTCTCTTCAAGTGGCATCTCACTAGAAGTGGTTTCCTAAGTCAGTATTGCAACACTTGCTAAGGCTGGATGGGATCCCTCGTCACCTGCCCCACAAGTAGAGAGGAAAAAACACTCTGCAAGAAGAACCTCAGGGCCTCGACTAGATCAAGGACCTGGAGCTCAGAGGGAAGACAAATGGCAGGGTCTGCATTACATGTGTCCCCTTTTCATAATAACAAGGGTTACTACTCATTGAGCATTTCTGAACACTTTACAGACATTGCCTCAACTATTCTTCACTAAAAGCCTTCAAAGCATATGCTACTATCGTCCCCATTTCCTAGATAGAAAAAGAAGGCCAAAAGAAATTCTCTGCCAAGCTCCCAGGGCTTTGCCCAAGCAGAACCCCATCCTAGAATTCACAGCCCTCTCAGTCACTGAAGCAAACAATTAGGGCAAATGTTTGTTTTCTTACCTAAAACACCAAACAGTCATCACAGGCCTTTGGGGACAGTTAATCAATGGCTTTATCCCACCATTTGTGAAAGTCTCTCAGGTCTCGTCTCTGGTCTCCTACTCCAGATCTGGGTAGCAATTCGGTCTCTATCCTGAGGAAAGAGCAGGGTGGGAGCCCAAGGGTCCAGATGCCACCAAGAGCCTGTCAACCCTGTGCCCAGGCCAGCTGGGTGACCTCAGGCCAGGCCCCTCCTCTCTGAGCTCTGTGAACCCAGCTGCTGACCCCTTGGCTCCCTCTCCCTCACTGGGTAGTCCTGAGCATCTCATGAGAGAACTCGTGGTCAGCTGCAAGGAGGACCTTTGGGATTTAGGAATGACAAGAGTAGGAAGAAAATGCAGTCTGTCCAGGGGTGGTGGTAGACCTTGCCCCAGGGTCCCACGGCCATCCAAAGCCCAGCCACTCAGGGCAATGGTGTCTCTCAGAGGACTACCCACCCTGGCCCTCCCCAAGAGCTAAGGCCCACCGCACCTCGCAAGACCTGACACTGGAAATGAACTTGCCAGGGAGTCAGGGGCCTGGGCTTCCTCCAGCCAAGCAGCTGGACCTCAGCTTCCTCTCTTCTGGAAATGGCAAGGTGTACCTGTATCTCCAAGGGCCCCCTGCCCCAAGCCTGGAAGGAGAGGGAGCTGCTCACAGTCAAGGTTCAAATCCCAGGTAAGCCGCTCACTAGCTTCAAGACCCTGAGCAACTGACCTAACCTCCCTGCACCTCAGTTTCATCACCTACAAAATGGGGAAAGCCAGTCTCACAGTTATTGGGAGAAATCCATGCAATAGCACTCAGAAGTCTCTTCACAGATACACAACGAAATAGTCACAGATGAAATGACGTCTTGTACATGGAGATGGAATAAGAGTGACTGCAAGTCTTTAACAGTGGACGCTGGGTGATGGAGGGATGGGGATTCACCATACTGTTCTCTCTACTGTCTACTTCTGTATGAGTTGACATTTTCCATAGTCAAATGTTTAAAATACAAAGTTCTTTCAGAGAACCTGACATTGAAACCTATAAAACGCTCTTCTAGGCAACCACACTGCTAGTCCAGGATAAAAATAATTTCTTGTCCTCCCAGAGCTTTCAATCCAGTTGTAGGAATAAAAGCACACTCAGATACCATGGGATAGTAAGTGGCACAAGCCACGTGGGTGGTGGAAGCAGAAGAAGTTAGCTTCAAAGGCTTTCTAGAGGCTGGACGCGGTGGTTCATGCCTGCAATCCCAGCATTTTGGGAGGCCGAGGCGAGCGGATCACGAGGTCAGGAGTTCAAGACCAGCCTGGCCAATATGGTGAAACCCCATCTCTACTAAAAATATAAAAATTAGCCAGGTGTGGTAGCACATGCCTGTAGTCTCAGCTACTTGGGAGGCTGAGGCAGAAGAATCGCTTGAACCCGGGAGGTTGCAGTGAGCCGAGATTGCACCACTGCACTCCAACCTGGGCGACAGAGTGAGACGCCATCTCAAAAAAAAAAAAATGCTTTCCAGAGAGGGCAGGCTTTCAAGAGGGGGCTTAAAGTTCAGGTAGGCTATGAATACATTAAAATGGCAGGGATGGTGGCGGGGAGAGGACATTCCAGTTCATTCCACCAGACTTGTATTCCATCCCTTCTCAGGAACACTCAGACTGAAGATATAAAACAAGAAGCAGTGTCTGCCCTGAAGAGGCTCATAGTCTAGCATATTCATTCACTCAATGAGGATTGATTAAATGTCTGTTATGTTCCAGGCACGGATCTATTCACTGTGGTGAAAACAAAAGGTGGGTGAAATGAACGAAAATCCTTGCCTTTGTGGAGCTTAACGTCCAGGAGTGATTTCCTAATCATTCAATGAGGACTGATTAAATGTCTGTTATATTCCAGGCACTGATCTATTCATTATGGTGAAAAACAAGGTGGATGAAATAAACGAAAATTCTTGCCTTTGTGGAGCTTAACGTCCAGGAGTGATGTCCTAACACTTAATATGATCTATAGATGAAGAGATATATCTATTATTTGGTGCTTATTCTGTGCCAGGCATGTGTTACATGCTTTAAATCCATGTTGTCATTCGATTTTCACTGACTCTTCACAACAATCTTTTTTTTGAGACAGAGTCTCACTCTGTCACCCAAGCTGGAGTGTAGTAGTGTGATCCTGGCTCACTGCAACCTTCACCTCCCCAGTTCAAGTGATTCTCCTGCCTCAGCCTCCCAAGTAGCTGGGAATACAGGCATGCGCCACCATGCCCGGCTAATTTTTGTATTTTTAGTAGAGACGCGGTTTCATCATGTTGGCCAGGCTGGTCTCGAACTCCTGACCTCAGGTGATCCACCCACCTCAGCCTCCCAAAGCGCTGGGATTACAGGCGTAAGCCACTGTGCCCGGCCTCTTCACAACAATCTTAATCATCATATCTTCTCACTTCAGGAAACAGAAGCTCAGAAAGGTTATGTGACCCGCCAAAGGCCTCGAAGCTGGCAAATCGCAGAACCAAGACTCAAACCCAGTAAGGGGATTCCAAGGTCAGTGCTCTGCTGGCCCTGCGTACTGCCACACAGAAGATGGAACAGCTGGCTTGGAGGTGAGGGAGAGGGCATCGCCAAAACAGTGGCTGGTGAGCAGGGGCTCGCAGGATGAATCATGGAAATGGAGAAGGAAGACACAGAAAAGGGCAGCCTGAGTCTAAGCCTCCAGGAGGAAAATTCAGGGTTTTCCTGGGGAGGTACAGGATCCCAAAGTAAAAGCAGACAGCTCAAGACAAAGTCAAGGGCCTAACTCTCCAACTTAAAAGTACCCGAAGGCCTTCGGAAATCAGGTTTAAGTTTAGGCTTTAATTTTAAAATACCGGAGAGCTAAGCTATCAAGCCATGAAAGTCATGGAGGAACCTTAAATTCCTATCAGCAAGTGAAAAAAAAGCCAATCTGAAAACACTACATACTGCGTGATTCCAACTATATGACATTCTGGAAAAGGCAAAACTGTACAAACGGTAAAAAGATCAGTGGTTGTCAGGAGTTGGGGGACAGAAGAAATGAAAAGGTAGAGCAGATTTCCAGGGCAGTGAGACTATTCTGTGTGATGTTACCATGGTAGATACCTGTCATTACAGATTTGTCCAAACCCACGGAGTGAACCCTAATGTAAACTACAGACTCTGGGGTGGCAATGATGTGTCAATGTAGGTTCATCAATTATAACAAATCTACAACTCTGGTGGGGAATATTAATAATGGGGGAGGCTATGCATGTTGGGGGCAAGGGTATATGGCAAATCTCTGTACCTTCCTTTCAATTTTGCTGTGAACCTGAAATTGTTCTAAAAAAATAAAGTCTTAAAAGAAAAAAAAATGTACTGAGGAGCCATGGGAGATGTGTGAGCAAGAGAGTGATGTCAGATATGCACTCTAAGAGGACTGATCTGCCATCTGGGCTAAGGGCAAATGGAAGAAGACAAAGTCGGGTGCAGCAAAGATCTCTTTGGTAGTAACTGCAGGAATCTAGTTACAAACAGACAAAAACCTAGATCAGAAGGGGAGAAGAACAGAAAGATCAATCCAATCGATTCTGCATCAGCTGAGTGTCAATGGGATGGATATGAGGCACTCCGACTACCTTGTAGGAGGACAGATAGAAACTGACCCTGATCATTTTCTTCCAAATGACTTTATTTGGGTACCCTTCACTCTCTAATAAGAATTATGCTTCTCTTTTTTACGCAAAAAAAAAAAAAGATTGCATGCATGAAAATTAGCTCCATACTTAATCCTGTCCTTCTAAAGTGCTTCAAAGAGAGAATTATTCCAACTTTCATGAGTAGCAGGTTAATGCTCATTTTAGATATACTGTATTATTTCACTCCCAATCGAGAGGGCCTATTATCCCCATTTCAAGGATTGAAAAACAGGCGTAGAGAAGCAGAGGGACTTGTTCTGCATTCTTTCTTTTTTGTTTTTTTGGAGATGGAGTCTCACTCTGTTGCCTAGGCTGGAGTGCAGTGGTGCAATCTCAGCTCACTGCAACCTCCGCCTCCTGGGTTCAAGCAATTCTCCGGGTTCAAGCAATTCTCTGGCCTCAGCCTCCTGAGTAGCTGGGATTACAGGCACACACCACCACGCCCGGCTAATTTTTGTATTTTTAGTAGAGACGGGGTTTCACCACGTTGGTCAGGCTGATCTCGAACTCCTGGCCTCGTGATCTGCCCGCCTTGGCCTCCCAAAGTGCTGGTATTACAGGCGTGAGCCGCCGCACCCGGCCTCTGCATTCTCTCTATACAATCTATGTGCCTTCATTTGCTCAAGGTGCTAGAAAAACACTGATGAACAAAAACTGAGAGTAGCCCCTGTCTTCAAGGAGCTTAGAGTCAAATAGTCTGGGAACACTGCCCACTAATGCTGGCTCTTCTACTTACTCAAAGGTAATTAGTCTTCCACAAGTCAGTGAGTTCTCTGAAACTGTAAGATCTGTACAGCTGTGCAACAGCACCTACATTTTGCACAATATCTATGAGAATGAAATGTAGTAGTGCAAACAGAAGGCTCAGAAAACTGCATGGGGTATAGGGGATACTCAGTAAACGTCACTGATGATGACGATGAAGGAGAAGGCAAGGATCAACACTGCAATATTCTTGTTAGGCATTTCCAAGCCTGAGCCCCCTTTGCAAGACTGCTTCTCACTCGAGCCAGTCTTTCTTCTATTATTCCAGAGGAAGAAGGAAGAGGGTGACTCACGTGGCATAGTGGAACTTCTGCCTGGCCTGCACGAGCTGCTAAGAGGAGGGCCCTAAGGTAAAGAGGAAATATGAGCCCGTGGGGCACAGCTGCTGGGCCATTGCCCTTCCTGGGTTTCACAGGCATCCTGATCATTAGCACCAGCCAGGGAATCCCAATGAAAGTGGAGCCCAGGTCTCTGGTGAACATGACCCCTTCTGGCTCAGGTGAAGAAGTTACTCTCCCTAAGTCTCACACAGATAAAGAATGGGCAAATGCACCCAGTGAAGGCTATGCTTCAATCTTCTCCCACACACTATACATTTGTCCAAATCTACAAACTGATTTGAAAAAGAAGTTGGCCCTGGCTTCAAGGGGTGTGTGGAGCCATTTTCCCAGTTCTCCATGTGGCAGGGGGCCCTTCTGGGTGCTCAGTCCCAGCTTTAGAACAACGAGGAGACAAGATACCAATTGCAAAATGGGCCAAGTTCAGAAACACAGAACCACAAGTCACCCATGATCATATGGGGAAGAAGTTTAGCATCACAAGTAATCAAATAAATGCACATTAAAACAATAAGGGTAACAGAATTTATTGACGAACAGACTGGTAAAAATGAAAAACAATGAAAATATCAACAGTTATCTGGGTATAGGAAACCAGGTGTTCCCAGACCATGCCAGTGCACAAATAAGTACAATCTTTCTAGAAGAGAATCCAGGAATGAGTTTGATGGAGTAATTTCACTTCTAGGAACTTAAAGGAAGAAACAAAGACATACATAAAAAGATATTCGTTTTAGCATTGCTTACAATAGCAAAATAAAAAAATTAAACAACGTAAATGAGTAACGATAAAGGATTAATTAAATACATCTCGGTTCAATCTTCAACAAAACATTATATAATCATTAAGATACTAAGTAGAATATTTACTGATGTGGAAAGATGTTCACAGCATATTGTTTGGAAGAGGAAAAAAAAAAACAAGTTACAGAACAGTGCAATTCCAAGTTACAAATCAGTATATTCAGGATAACTCCTTTTTTTTTTTTTTTTTTTTTTTTGAGAATGAGTTTCGCTCTTTTGTCCAGGCTAGAGTGAAGTGGCGCGATCTCGGCTCACTGCAACCTCCGCCTCCCGGGTTCAAGCGATTCTCCTGCCTCAGCCTCCCAAGTAGCTGGGATTACAGGTGTGTGTCACCACGCCCAGCTAATTTTTGTATTTTTAGTAGAGACAGGATTTCACCATGTTGGCCAGGCTGGTCCGGAACTCCTGACCTCAGGTGATTCACCCGCCTCGGCCTCCCAAAGTGCTAGGATTACAGGGGTGAGCCACCGTGCCCGGCGACTCCATTTTTTAAAAATAAGATGTGATCTATATGAACAGGAAATAAACAGTCTGGAATATACATGACAATTAAGTGGTTATCTTTGGGTCATGTTACATATTTCTCATTTTTTTCTTTATGCTTGGCAGTATTTTCTAACAATTCTATAATTAAATATTTTTAAATAAGTTGTTAGAACTGATGATTTCTAACATTCCCGCTGCCAACTCTGACATTTTGTGCATCTATGACTGATGCCCTAAGCAACTTCAAATAGCCCATATTTAGTGTGGACTTGCTGTGTGGCCTTTGGGGTCTAAAATTTTGCCCACAGCTGCAGCCCTCTGCATTCCTCTCTCCCACACTCGCTGCCCAGCTGTCTCCCCTGCTAGCCTGGGAGCTTCTGCTTGGCAGGACCCAGCTGCACCCCTGTCTGTAATCCATGTGCCTAGCCAAGAGCTAAGCAAAGGAACACAGCTCAGCATACTGACAGGTGCCTTGCAGGCACAATGATAAAAGGTACAACCCTAGTGCTAGAATCTTACTGGACACCAGACTCACACAAAGTGCTTGGTTGTATCACACAGATGCAGAAAACCAAAGGAGAGAAAGCAGGGCAAGCTGGGCTGGGAGAGCCTAGTAGAGGAGAAGGCCATGCAGGACGGGTGAGTGAGGGTACTCTGGGCCAGGGGCATAGCCTGAACAAAGGTGAAGCCACCCACAGTCCTTTGGGATCCATGCCTCAAAGCTTTCCAAGAAACTTTCGCAATCCTTGTTCTGCTAAATTTCCGTACTTTGGCCCCAATGGGTAAAAGTTAAGTCTCCTAAACAGAAGTCCTCCCTCTAATCTAACCCTGGATTAGCCACCAAAGACAACAACAATCTTTTGGGACAAAGACAATGAATTACCATTTAATCCACTTTCCCCAAAGCTCCCAAAGGGAGATGAAGGAGGGGAGGGTCAGGGAAAGTTTGGGGGAGGAGAGGGGGTTGCAGGAACAACCAGAACATCTCACATGCAAACACTGCTCACCCCCACCACCAGGCCATTGGATTCTCTTGCGGCACCACCAGCCCCATTTGACAGATGGAGGAAATGAGGCTCGGAGAGTTCAAATGGCTTGCTCCGGGGTCACCCAGCCAGAGAGTGGGGAAGGTGACTCCACTCAGGCCTTCTGACTCCAAGTCCAGTGCTATTTCTAGGTAACACACAGGACCTGGAGTCAGGAGCCCTGGGTGGCTCTGTCACCCTCTGGCTGCATGGTCCCATACAAGCCGCTCACTCCTCGCAGCCTCTTTCTCCAGCTGTAAAATAAGGAGGAGCACACTGGGCCCGCCCAGGTCCTCTTCCGGCTGGGCTCTCCGAGCCTTCTAGGGGCGGCTCAAAGCTCATCCTATCAATTACATTTCCCAAGTTGGGCCGGCAAAGATCACCAGAAGATCCTCGGCCTGTCATGTGGTTAAATAAAAAAAGCAAATGTCCCAGATTAACTTTCACTGCACTGCTCCTGCAAACACCTGAGTATTCAATTTTCTAGTTTCCTTAGTTGAAATATTTCTGCTAGCTAGGCTCGCTGGGCGGCTAAAGGGCAAAATAATTAATTATTGCTGAGCCAAACACTGAAGATCGAGTTAAAATCCGGGGTACAGTCCAAAGCGGACAGTTCTTGACATGGGTCCCTGAACGAGTCTCCGGCTATTTCAGGCCTCTCTCATCCGCTTTTCAGCCAAGAGATTCGGAGACGCCCCAGGGCAATTTCGAGATCTGGGGACAGAATCTTCCCAGGAGTGACTCTGCCCCTCCTCCCGCACTCAGTGCCCGCTAGCCCCAAGCTGTCGGCTCTGGGGGTACTGAGGCTGGGACCTGCCTTCGGCGCAGACACCGGCGCGGGGCGTGTGACGGAGCCCGGCGACGACGGCGGGAGCTCCACCGCAGTTTCGTCAGAGGTAAAGGTACGCGCCCGGCGCGCGCGGCGTGTGCACACACACACACACACACACACACACACACACCCGCGCGCGCAACCCGCTCATCACACATTCCCCTCGATCTCGAGAAGCGCAATCACACGCCACTAGCCCCTCCGGCCTCTGCCGCGAACCCACCCGAGCGCGCCCGCCACCGACCACGCGGCCCCGCGGCTCCCCTACGCAGCGGCGTCTGCAGCGGGCCAGGGGCGGCCTGCCTCCCGCGTGGCGGGCTTCCTCTCGGCGACACCCTGCCACGCCACGCCGTCCCAGCCGCCAGCCCGAAGTCGCTGCCCGGAGCTGAACGTCTCGGCTGCGGCGTCCCTTCCAAGTCGCGTTTCACCGCAAGGAGTCAGCTTGCAAGCCTCTCCCCGCCCACCCGGTCCCATGACAGCTGCTGCCGCCCAAAGACAGGCAGATTATAACAAGAAGCAAAGTTTCCCTCTCTCTCCTCCCACCTCCCTCCCCCAATCTCCGCCTTCCCCCTCCCTTCCACTGTTATGCAAAACGGGCCGGCACCGGCGCTCCCACTCCAGGTACCAAACCAGCCCCCGCGAGCCGCGCCCGGTTCCGCCCGGCCGCCCCTCTCCGTGCCCAGGCGTGTGCCAGCACCCGGGGCTCCTCCGAGGTTCCGCCGCATCCTCAGCTTCCCAATGACCCGCAGCCGGGCGCCCAGAGAAAAAGCCCTAACTCTGGAGCCAAACTTTATGCTTGCAACAGGCATTGGGTGGGGAAAATGGGGGAAGGGGTGGGGGCCGCGCACGCCTCGTGCTGACATTTTTGGTGGCTGCTTGTCCCAGCAGCACCCCTCTCCCAGTCTCCAAGCCACCAGCTTCCTCGCTCCCCCGCGCCCCGGCACACCAGAGCACCCTCTCCTGTCACGCGCGTGTCGCCAGTGGGGCTCCCGGGCTCAGCCAGTGCCTGGGACTCCGCCTCGCCTTCCCTTCCCCCTGCATCGTGGAGCGCGCACCGGGGCCGCGCACCGCAGGGGGACCCAGGCGCCCCCAGACAGTCCTTCCGCCCCCATCCAGCCTGGCTTTTCCCCCCAGGGGGCTCCGCCCGATAGCGAAACCAGGAAGACGCTGTCTCCGCCCGCATGTCCACGTGCCCCGCAGACCCTTATGCCTTTAGCCGGCAACTGGCAGGAAACTCCGCGCTGCGGGCGCGGGTAGAAAGCCGCGGGGGGCCAGCAACAGCACTCTGGGGACTACAGCCTGGAGGACTAGGGGACTCCGGAGACCCGGGCATGCACCCGTGCCGGGGCCACAAGTCCACGTGAAAGTACGGCAGCAAGTGCCGGGCGCTGACGGCGCGCCTCCAGCACCCAGCGCCAGCCTGAGGGTACCCCACACCGTGGCGCGCCTCCACCTCCCAAAGGAAGCGCGGTACCCCCCAGTTTTGCCCGCGGGGTGGCAGACTCCAAGCGGCCAAGGCTAGACCCTCCCCAGCGGCCGTAGCGCCCCCAGCGCTCCGGCACGCGCCGGGAGACCTCCGGCTCCCTGCCCCGGTAACGGAGCGCATCGCAGGGCGCCTGGAAGGGGGGCTCTGCAGCCTGGAACCCCCAGTTACCCCAGGGCTCCCACCGCTGCCTCCCGGCCTCCGCGGCTGCAGCTGCGGCCCCCGCAGCTCAGCACCCCTGGCCCCGGGCCCGCAGCCCCAGCCGGCCGTACCTGCGTGTCAGCGAGATAGTTGAGGAAGAAGGAGGAGAGCTCTTCGTCCAGCAGCGCGCCGCAGTCGTTCCCCGCCATCTTCCAGCCGCGGCTGCAGCGTGCGGCGGAGTCAACGCCGAGCCGGCCCGGGGGGAGGGAGCCAGCGAGCGAGCAAGGGAGGAGGGAGGAGGGAGTGAGGCCGGCGGGAGGCGGAGGGCGGAGCTCGAGCCCCCGGCTGCCGCAGGGCCGCTAGCTGCGGGGGCGGGGCCGCGCGGCGCCCGCGGGAGCCGGGGGTCGCTCACCCACTTTCCTGCGCCGTGTCTGGCGCCGCGACCAGCTCACGCAGCCCTCAGCAAGGGGTAAAGCGCAGGCAGCCAGGTGGCGGTGCCCCAGCCAGCAGCCCGATGCCTGCGCAGCAATGCGGGCAGCCCCCGGCTCCTGCCAGAGCGAATCACGTTGCGTTAGCGCTGGGCGGGTCCTGCGAGACAACCTGCTTCTTCTGCACAGCTGGGGAAACTGAGGCTCGAGAAGGAATAGGACCTCGTTCGAAGGCCGGGCGCAGTGGCTCACGCCTGTAATCCCAGCACTTTGGGAGGCCGAGGCGGGTGGATCACCTGAGGTCAGGAGTTTGAGACCAGCCTGGCCAACATGGTGAAACCCCGTCTCTACTGAAAATACAAAAAAAATTAGCCAGGCATGGTGGCGGGCGCCTGTAAGTCACTCTTCATATCCCTCCTGAAAAAAAAAAAAAAAAAAAAATATATATATATATATATATATATGTATGTATGTGTATATATATGTATGTATGTATGTATGTGTATATATGTATGTATGTATGTGTATATATATGTATGTATATATATGTATGTGTATATATATGTATGTATATATATATGTATGTATGTATGTATGTATGTATGTATGTATGTATATACCTAGGACCTCGTTCAAAGCTACAGCGCACATCAGTTGCAGGAAGGGAAAGCTTAGGTCTTACTCCCCTGGAGGACTGTTTCTCTACCCAGGCTACAAGGCCAGAGAAGGAGGGAGAAATACCATAGATCAAAAGCAAAGAAATCAAGGAAGTCTCCTTGGAGGAGGAGGCATTTTTATCTTTTACTTGAAGGGTGCGTTTGCCTATATTCTGTGCTAAACCTGATCATATATCTCTCTCTGCCATCGTCCCCAGCACCCTTCCCCCAAAAAACTCCAATGAGTTCTCTTACCAATGCCCACAATGCATGAAGGGGCTGGGCTCCTGCCAGCCTCCGCAGGCCCGCTCACAACGGGCTTGCCACTCACCTAGTAATCTCTTCGGGGCATCTTTCCCTATTACCCCTTGGACTGTCAAGCCATTTCCTCTCCTTCCACCTCCACCATCATGGGCTCCCTTAGCTCCACCAGCAGGCCTTTTTTCTCTAAAAGCTGGTCACAGTTGCCGTTTTACATTTGTTGCAATGAAGACTTAATCTTTGTATCTCTCCTTACAAGACTCTAACACCATGAAAGCAGGGCCTAAATCTGCTTTTGCACTTGCTGTATCTGCCGTTTCTGGCACATAGTAGGCACTTAATAGATGATGTGTTAACTGAAAAAGCTGGAGAATTTTGATTCTCTGCCACCACCACCACCACACATTATACAGATAAGGAAACTGACTGTCAATGTGTACATGGAGTGACTGCCTGAGCCAGAACCAGAACTCAGACCTCCTGACTCCAACCTTGAACTCTCATCATCATGCCCTGTTGTTTACCAAACAGGAGATGAGGGCACTGCCTGGATGAAGGCAAGAAGGCGGGAAGCTTTAGGTCTGTTTTATTGGGCACGCCTGCCTCCTGCCCTCCTCCCACCCTACACTCATAAGGGCTGCCCCACCCTGCCCACCTAACAAGGGCTCCCTTCCAGCGGGAGAAGGAAATAGAGGGAGAGTCCCCAGCACACCTGCTGAGACTTGAACACCAGGGCAAAAGCTTCCTTCTCCAGTCTGAGGTTCCCAGAACCGCAGGCCGTGATTTCACTCTTTGGGCTTAAGGCCAGTGTGCTTTTAAGGAACAATGCATTCCAACAGAGAGCCTGCATCTAGCCTCAGAGCCCTAGACTAGGAGTTAGGAGTCCTGGGTTCTGTTTCAGACCCTGCATCTGGATACTGGAACATCTTGTTCCAGTATCCAGCAATTCAGGGGGTGAAGAGCGTGGGCCCTGGAGTCACACTGCCTGATTTGGAACCACAGCAAGTCATTTAGTCTCGGGCCTCGGTTTCCTCATCTACACAAATGGGGACCAAAAAACCACCAACTTCATAGGGATGTTTTGATGATTGAGGAGATAATATATGTACAGTGCTTGGCACAGTGCCTGACCTCATGGAGAATACGCTAAGCGCTCTGTTCTGTTTCCCTTCTGTTAAAATGGGAATAAGAAATATATATCCCTTAAAGGCACTAGCCAATGTTACTTGCCTTTTTTCCAGCACTTACAGGCTGCTGGCGTACTTTGGACTCCAGTATATTCAGATTTGAATCCTGGTGCAAACTAGCTATGTGCCCTTGGTCATTTACTTAACCTCTCTGAGCCTCAGTTTCCTCATCTGTAAAGTGGGGATAGCAATGGTACTGCTCCACATAGGGATCTTGTGAGGATGGATTGAATGAAATAATGCAATTCATGTAAAGTCAGTTGCCTGGCCCTGAATCTTGCAGGTAGGAAATGCCCATCATCACTATAATCATCACCAACATCACCAATGTCATCACCATTAGCACTAAGGACTTGAATTCTCCCAAGACCCCATTTTTTTTGCTACTCCCCTGGGCACCAGAGTCAGAGTCCTGTGGGATGGTTTCTGGAGATGTCCCTTCCAGGCCCAGCCTGGCCCCTGACTGGTGGTGTGTCCTTCATAGCCCAGAGGCCAAACTTGGGAGTGTCCCCAAAGCCAGCCATCTCTAGCCTTGGTCCTTGCAGAGCTGCAGTGCCATTCACTGCCTTGCCAGGGAAGGCCTGACAGCACTTTCCCAGAGGCTTTTTTGTTTTTAAAACTCCCGTGTTGATAGAAAAGCCACACATTGCCCAACGTCAGGGACTTTCTCACCAGTCACTACATCCTCACAACAGTCTTCTGGCTGGCAAGAAATTTAGGTGAGAAAGGGCCTCACCTGAGATATCTAGCGTCCTTTTGAAAAGCATATTGTCCCAGAAATTCCTTCATCACAGGTTGCTCACAGAGTCTCAGCCTCATGGAGGAATTTGAAGTTCCTCTGGCCCATGGAAAAATGTGAAGTTCTTAATTGAGATTAAAAGTCCTGGCCTGGGTGTGGTGGCTCATGCCTGTAATCCCAACAATGGAAGGCTGAGGCCAGAGGATCACTTGAGTCTAGGAGTTTGAGAACAGCCTGGGCAACATAGGGAGATCCCATCTTTACAAAAAATACAAAAAAAAAAAAAAAATTAGCCAGGGTTTATGGTGTACACTCGCGGTCCCACCTACACTGGAGGCTAAGATGGGAGCATCACTTGAGCCCAGGAGGTTGAGGCTGTAGTGACCTGTGATCATCACTGCCCTCAAAAAAGCCTGAGACCCCATCTCAAAAAAAAAAAGCCCTCAAAAAACCTGAGGTGCTAGATGATCTTGTGCCATTTGCTTCTCCTCTCTGAGGCTGTTTTCTTATCTATAAAATGAAGGAGCGGCCTGGCCTGGTGGCTCACGCCTGTAATCCCAGCAGTTTGGGAGGTCGAGGCAGGCAGATCACCTGAGGTCAGGAGTTCGAGACCAGCCTGGCCAACATGGTGAAACCCCATCTCTACTAAAAATACAAAAATTAGCCGGGTGTGGTGGCGGGTGCCTGTAATCTCAGCTCCTCGGGAGGCTGAGGCAGGAGAATCGCTTGAACCTGGGAGGCGGAGGTTGCAGTGAGCCTGGGGGTAAGAGCAAGACTTCGTCTCAAAAACAAAAAACAAAAAAACGAAGGAGTGGTCAGTTGGGCGCACTCCAGCCTGGGGACAAGAGCGAGACTTCCTCTCAAAAAAAAAAAGAAGGAGCAGTCCGGGCGCAGTGGCTCACGCCTATAATCCCAGCACTTTGGGAGGCTGAGGCAGGCTGATTATGAGGTCAGGAGATCTAGACCATCCTGGCTAACAGGGTGAAACCTCATCTCACTAAAAATACAAAAAATTAGCAGGGCGTGGTGGCCCCCGCCTGTAGTCCCAGCTACTAGGGAGGCTGAGTCAGGAGAATTGCTTGAACCCAGGAGGCGGAGGCTGCAGTGAGCTGAGATTGTGCCATCGCACTCCAGCCTGGGCGACAGAGCAAGACTCCGTCTCAAAAAAAAAAAAAAAGAAGAAGGAGCTAGCCTAGATGAACCTCTACAGAGTCCTGCAGCCCGGATGTTATGGCAGTTTATAGACATCAACCAAACCTTAGGGCTTTTCTGTACTGAGCATGTGCCCAACGCCTGAGTTTATAGCATCTCTAATCCTTCCAGCAACCCTCCGTAGGGTAAATCATGATGTCCATTTTATGACTAAAGAAACAAAAGTTTAAAGGGGGTTAAAGTGATTGGCCCCAGACTACATAGAGACAACAGCTCAGATTTGAACCTGGGTGTGTACATGGTCTGAGCCACAGACACTGGAAAGGGAGTGTGAAAAGTCTCATAGCATCTAACCTCCCCAGGAAAGCTAGAAGGGCAGCGCGTGTCCTGTTTGATAACTTCCAAGTGAAGGGCAATAATAATGCCAAGCTTGGACATTGTGTGGCTTGACTCCTATCTTCTCTGCCTTTTTTATCAGCCTCGCCTCCCTCAAGATTAGTGAAAGTGAGCCCTGTGCATACCTAGTGCAAAGCCCAGAGCTCCCCAGGCTCCATGGAAATGGCTACAGCAAAATGAACCTATTTGACTTGAATATTTTAGTCACTACCGACAAATGCTCAAAAGTTGAAACATCAGCATTTTCTCCTTTCCAATAATAAGATGATGCTTTATTCAGACACTACATACAGCTGTGGTTCTCAGACTCTGGAGGGCATGACAGTCACTTGGACACTAACGCCAGAGATTCCAATTCAGTAGGTCTGGGGTGGGCCCAGGAATCTGTGCTTAATAGGCTCCCCTACTGTAGGAGATGAGACATCATTCAGCAGATATGTAGTGAGCAGCTACTATGTGCCAGCCACTGCGCTAGATGCCATGGATAAATTGGTGAACACAACAGCCGCCATCTCTGCCCACATTCTACTCAACGCAACTGCTTAGTAAATTTGTGTTGAATGAGGGAGGGAGGTAGGACGTGGGTCTTGGCAAACGCAGAGGCTTCCTGCCAGCCACCCACGATTCTGTGATTCTGTGACCCAGGCCAGGGAGCCAGATGCTCATCTATTTCCCAGCTTCTGTCCAGGAGGCAGGGACTCAGGCCAAGAGGAACTAAAAATCTCCCTGCTTTGTATTGTTGATGCTGAGAACCATCTCCACCTCCCATTGAATGATAGAACTTTAGAACTGTGGAGGGGCAGTGGAAACGTGTTTTCCACCAGCTTCACTGTAAATGTGGAGGAATGTGGCTGAGGTCACACAGCCCTTTAGTGGCAGAGCCAGAACTGGAAGCCAGGGCTTCAGATGGTATGTGGAGTGCTCAGGTGACTTCCATAGGATGAACTTCTCCTCAGGGCTGACCCTTTAGAACAACATCAGCTAGATGGTATCATTTGAGGGTCTCAGAGTCAAGGATTGGGGCCCTTGACACTTGAAAGCCCATGAAGTAAGTAAGGCTCTTCTTGTGTTTAGCAATGCTGTCTCCTTCCTGTAGGGTTAACCTATGAACTCACCAACGCATTTGGGGGAAATAGCTAGCAGATCACTTTCTGTTTCATAAGCTACAAGTGATTAAAGGGCTTTCAAATCAGCAGGTAAGGGGCACTGGCAGCTATAATGTCAGCTATTACTGTTTCCCAGTTTTGCAAGAGCCCCATAAATCCTCCTCCTTCATCCTCCTCAGCCCCATAAATGACTGCACAGAGCATGGGAGCAACAAAATTAGATAGGGATAGAAAAGTGTGCTTTTTCCTTATCTACTCACAGAGCAAAAGATCCTAGAAGGACCCTCCTTATGCCCATTTAATAGATGGATAAACAAAGGCCCCGAGATGAGAGTTCTTTCTTTTCTAGAGAGATACAAATTCTATCAGGTTATTATTTAAATATATATACATATTATATATATATACACATTAGAATGAAGTATATTTGTGTTAAAACAGCAAGATTTAAAGAGACAGTCACCCGACATTAAAAGGCAACATAGTTTATATTTAGTTATTTCTAAACTAAATTTAGGACACCTATGAAATAGGACAAGCAGGTGGAAAGAATACCTGAGTACCTGTTGCTCTTTATACTTTGTCTCTTACTGGCTTTGGGATCTTGGGAAAACCACTTCTTGCTAAGGGTCATCCTATCTCTCACACCTGACCTAGAGTTTTTTAAATTATATATTTTTATTTAGAGACAAGGTCTCGTTCTGTCACAGACTGGAGTGCGGTAGTGTGATCATAGTTCACTGCAGCTCCAAGCTCCTGGGCTTAAGTGATCCTCCCTGCTTAGCCTCCCAAGTAGTAAGAACGATAGGCACGCCACCATGTCCAGCTAACTTATTTATATTTTTGTAGAGACAGGGTCTCACTCTGTTGCCCATGCTGGTCTCAACTGACCTAAAGTTTTGTGTGGATCAAATTCAGTTTACACAGGACTATGAACTTTATGTTCATTATCCTAAGTCATCAATAATGCTCCTTTGGCGAATTTATCCTGAGTCATCCAAAAGATAGGAAAATGACAGCATGATGTTTATTCGGACTTTGATTCAACAGATATTTTTAGATTCTGTTGGGTACCAGGTACCATGCTACAGGTCCACAAATGGTGACTATGATGCAATCTTTGCTGTCATGTAACTCACAGCTCTGATCTCTACAATGTTCATGGGAGCACTGCATGTCACCATGTCACCATGCAACTTGGTAGGGTGTAATAAGTCCTTCAGTGGAGAAAGTTGGGGGGCTGGAGACTGGGGGGGTTGAGGGACAAGTTAGGAGTTGGAAAAGGAGTCTAGGGGAGGGGGGTTCCCGAGCCAAGATAACAGAAGTAGCAGGAAGGAAATGGAGGAAGGATGGGTTAAAGCCATATTTTAGAGTGGGAATCCATAGGCTTTGGCAATAGGTTAGAAGTGGTGAGGGAATAAAAGGAAAGGGTCAGGACACACAGTTTCTGACTGTGTGGATGGTGATCTTAAAAGAAAGGTAGCTCAGAGGAAAGTCTCCCAAGGGAAGCTTTTCAGATGACTTAGGAACATCCAAAGGGAGGCACCCCAGGGGAGCACATTGATGCCAAGCAAAAACTTGGAAATAACTTCAACATCCAGCAAGGCAGAGCAGTTCAATTCCACACCTAGTGACAGATAGACAGAAACTCACATACATGCACAGAGAACTGTGCCCAAGGATGTTCACCTTAGTACTGTTAATTATGATAAAAATGTAGGGTACTGGATAAATGAACTGTGGTGAGATCTCACAATGGATTATTAGGCGACAGTGAAAATGAATAACATCTCCATGATTCCACACAGATACCTCTCAAAAAGAGTAAGACAAGCAACCTAAGGATACAGACAATATGATGCCATTTATGCAATATTTTAAAACATGTAACACAATACTCCATAATATTGGTCTATGCATGTATATGAAGTAAAAGCATAAACATGGGACAACAAAGACACAGATCAATGTTAAGAAAGTGAGAGGAGATGCGGAATTAGAGCTGGCTGCCTGGATGTAGCACAGCTGTCACCTGTGCAGTAGCACTAAGACCTGTACTTAGAAGGGCTCTGTGCTTGGTTTAATGCTCTGCTGTTGCTGTCTTGAAACTCATCATGATTTTTGAATAAGGGTCCCTGCATTTCCATTTTGCACTGGGCCCTGAAAATTATATAGTCCATCCTGGGAGGGACTTGAGTACATCATGCAGAGGAAAGCTCCAACTGTACCTGTAAATGTATCTTTATTTTTTTTAAGAGACAGGGTCTCGCTATGTTGCCCAGGATGGAAAGCCATAGCTATTCACAGATGCCATCCCTCAACTAATCAGCACGGGAATTTTGACTTGCTCCATTTCCAGACTGGGCTGGTTCACCGCACATTAGGCAACCTAGTGGTCCCCTGCTCCCAGGAGGTCATCATATTTATCCCAAACTTAGTGCAGATACCTAATCAGCATAGCACACCACAGCCTAAAATTCCTGGGCTCAAGCGATCCTCCTGCCTCAGCCTCCCAAGTGAGTAGCTGGAACTATAGGCACACACCACTATGCCAAGCTTAGAAATATTTTTTAAATATCAATATTTGTTAAATATGTGTGGTATATTGTTCCTTGCGATTTTCTGTATGATTAAAATATTTCATGATACAAAAACTATGAAGGTGTCATGGTTTACTTACTTGATGAAATACTGTGCAGAAGGTAGAAAGCTATATAAATGTATAACATTGTCTTCTGAATTCAGCTCCTTAAAAATAGAAAAAATAAACATTGAGTGAAAAAAGATGATAAAATGTATATAAAAAGGTTACAGCTGTACGCATAAATGTACACATAAAGTGTGTATGTTAGAATGACATTAAGTAATGTGAACAAATGAAACATGATTAGGGTGGCAGAAAGAATTTCTTTTATTAATAATATTTTCATTTGTGCTGTTACAATTTTGTCTTTATAATAAATAAAATATAACTTATTAGCTTCTTTCTAAATAAAAACCAACCCCTCTGATAGCTATGTTGCAAATGTGTTATTTAAGTAACAGATATACATTGGAACAGGGACATTTTGGAGACCCAAGCAAGGGGTAACTATGATGGTAGAACTTCAGGACCCCCCACCAAAATGAGCTCTGAACTGGGAGTCAGGGTGGAGTCCCACTCTGGCTGGCACCGAACCCACAGTTGGATGAATCTTCTCTCCACTCTGAGGCTCACAATCCCACTCTGCACAATGATGGACTTGAATTGGATCAGTTGTCCCAAGTCTGCTGCAGATGGGCATCTCCCCAGGGCCTCTGCTCTGACTATGAAATGCTCTGATTCCCTCTCCCATTTGTGAGAGAAGTCACCTGGGCCATGTGTAGTTTGACAGCAGAGGTGGTTGGGCTCAAGATGTTGAGAGGAGAATCCAGGTCAGCAGGCCACCCCAGGAGCATTTTACATGGGGTGGAATCTCCCTGGCTTCTAGAGCAGCCAGGAAGACTGCAGAATCCCAGGGAGAGGGCATAGTGTCACAGGCATGGCAAGGTACAGAGAGCATGACATGGCATCATGGGCACAGCATCATGGATACAGCAGAGCATCATGGGCACAGATCATAGGTACAGCAGAATATTACAGTCACAGCCCTGGTTTCCTCAGCTTCCCCAAGAATTCGGACAGACACCTGAGGGGGAGAGAAACATAAAAGGAATATTCTCCCTTCTGTCAGAGTTGTTTTATTATTTCATTTTAAAATTAGAAATTATTTTAAAGTACACAAGTAACACAACTATTTTATCCTCGTATAAAAATTGGAAACAACAGAGAAAGGACAAGGCTCTGTGACCATTCCCTTGCTAGAGGTACCCACTATGAGTGTTTCATGAGTGGACTTCTAGACTTTTTCTTGGATTTACACTCATTTATGTTCATAGAGGAACTCAAGTTTTTGTTTGGGAGATTTTGTTTTTATGAGAACAGCTTTTTTTTTTTTTTTTGAGACGGAGTTTCACTCTTGTTGCCCAGGCTGGAGTGCAGTGGCACAATCTGGGCTCACTGCAACCTCCGCCTCCTGGGTTCAAGCGATTCTCCTGCCTCAGCCTCCCTAGTAGCTGGGATTACAGGCGCCCACCACCATGCCCAGCTAACTTTTTATATTTTCAGTAGAGACGGGGTTTCACTATGTTGGCCAGGTTGGTCTCGAACTCCTGACCTCAGACAATCCACCCCCCTTGGCCTCCCAAAGTGCTGAGATTACAGGCATGAGCCACCGCGCCCGGCCGAGAATGGCATCTTAATGTGATTACTATTTTGTAATTTCCTTCTTAGAGTGTCTTGGAGGTCTTCCCATATCAGTACATATAGATCTACCTTCTTCCTTTACATTGCTGCATGGTTTTCCCCATGTGAGTGTGACACAAACTTGATTTGTAACTATTAGTCCATCGTGATTCTAGACTTGCATTCCCCATTTGGTTGTGTGGTCCTGATTGGATCACTAAAGAATATGCAAAGCTGGGGATAGTTTGTTAATAAAATGATGACAATGGATGAGTTCTTTCATTCATTTAAACAATAAAAGCCTATGGAATGCTTACTTTGAGTCTTCATCTTTTAATACACAATTGAGCCAGATCTACCTACATGAGTTCAGTGAATAACATTAATCATGTTGCTACATTGTTTGAAATTCATTCATCATTCCTTCATGGGCAACCTACTTTGTGGCAGGCACTCTGCCAAGCTTCCTGGGACTGTACTAGTTGTGACTCCTTTGTTTGCAATGAGCAGAAAACCCTACCCAAACCGGCTTTAACAGATAATATATGGGCTTACATAATTAACACACTGAAGGGAGGGATGTTATCAGGAAGATGTGGATGTTCATTTCTCAGCTCTGCTTTCCTCTCTGTTGGCTTGATTCTGAGTCAGGTTCTTTCCTGGTGACAGCGAGGTGACATGTTCCAGGCTAAACCCAAACCTCTTAGCAAGACCCGCAGAAGAAACTCTCCCAGTTGTCCAGCAAAAGCCCTGGATTAATTCTTTTTCTTCCTTTTTTTTTTTTTTGAGATGGAGTCTTGCTCTGTCACCAGGCTGGAGTGCCGTGGCACGATCTCGGCTCACTGCAACCTCTGCCTCCTGGGTTCAAGCGATTCTCCTACCTCAGCCTCCAAAGTAGCTGGGACTACAGGCGCGCACCACCACACCCAGCTAATTTATGTATTTTTAGTAGACACAGGGTTTTACCATGTTGGCCAGGATGGTCTCGATCTCTTGACCTCATGATTCGCCCGCCTCAGCCTTCCAAATTGCTGGGATTACAAGCATGAGCCACCGTGCCTAGCCCAATTCTGATTTCATCCATTTGATTCAAAACTCTTATCCAATCCCTGCGCTGATTGACCAGTATTGAGTTACATGGCTACCTCTGAATCCAGGAGTCAAGCAGTTTGATATAAACCCCCCAAACCAGGGCTTCTTAGTAAGGAACCATTAATTTGGGTGAGAAAAAAAAAATACATCTCTCTTTTCACTAATCTGCAACTGAAATTTAGCATTTTCTTTTCTGTTATAAATATAGCCAACAAGTCATGGTAGTATTAAAATTACCGGCCTGGGCAACATAGTAAGACTTCGTCTCTACAGAAAAAATAAATTAGCCAGGCACAGTAGTCCCAGCTACTCAGGAGGCTGTGGTGGGAGGATGGCTTGAGCCCAGGAGGTCGAGGCTTCAGTGAGCCACAATCACGCCTGCACTCTAGCCTGGGCAATAGAACAATAATTTGTCTAAAAAAAATTACCTATAACTTTGTCACCAATAGAGATCACAGATATTTCATATCACATCACAATTGTCACAGGTATCTTAAAATATCACTTATGTTCAACACTAGTTTGAAATTATACTGGTTATTAGGCCAAGTAGGGCTTGGTTTTTATTGTGCTAATCAAGAAGTACAAATATTTCTATATCAAAAGTTTGTTTTCCTAATAATTTCATAACTGTTTCAATACAATTGGCTTCCTTTAGACCATATGTAGTATATGTCATACCATTTAAAAAATCAATCTGAGGCCGGGCATGGTGGCTTATGCCTGTGATCCCAGCACTTTGGGAGGCTGAGGCAGGCAGATCACCTGAGGTCAGGAATTTGAGACCAGCCTGGGCAACATGGTGAAACCCTGTCTCTACTGAAAATACAAAACTTAGCTGGGCATGGTGGCACATGCCTGTAGTCCCAGCTACTTGGGAGGCTGAGTCAGGAGAATCACTTGAACCCGGGAGATGGAGACTGCAGTGAGCCAAGATCGCGCCACTGCACTCCAGCCTGGACAACAGAGCGAGACCGTCTCAAAAAAAATTAAAATAAAATAAAATAAAAATAAGAAATCAATCTGAGGAGGGGTCCATGGGCTTCTATGGGCTGCCAGAGGGGTCCATGGCACAAAAAAAAACTTTGAATAGAAGGTGAGGAATGAGTGTCTCCCCAAAGGGAAAGCAGGTGCCTTACCAAAGGGAAAGGAGAGTGCTGAGCGGCAGAAACAACAGATGTCCAATCAAAAGGGACACAGAGATGAGTCTGACATGAGCCTGTCCCCCAGGCTAGTTTGACTAGGAGACTCCTGGAGATGCCATGGTCAGCCTCTTCATTTTACAGACAGACAACAACTAAGACTCAAGAGGGGCAGGGACTCATCAGAGGTCACTTAGTGAGCAGCAGTGTCAGGACCAGGCCAAGGCTCCCTGACTCTAGGCCTGATTATTTTACTCCAGCCTCTTCAGGGTGAGTGGGGAGGGTACAATGAGACCCTATAGTCCAAAAGTTAAACATTGGTATACATGACAGAGGGAAATTTAGAATGTTAAATGCCTATATTAAAAATGAAGAAATATGAAGAAAGATCTAGAATCAATAATCTAACCCTCTACCCAGACACTGGAAAAAGCAAGCAGAAAAGAAGAAATAATACAAATTTTAACAGAAACCAACAAAATAGAGACTAGAAAAACAATAGAGAAAAATCAACAAAACCAATAATTGGTCCTTTGAAAAGATCAGCAAAATAAATTAAGAGAACTTCAGTTAGATTGACCAAGAAAAAAAGAGAGATGACTCATATTACTAAAATAAGAAATAATGCCGGGCATGGTGGCTCATACCTGTAATCCCAACACTTTGGGAGGCCGATGCAGGCCAATCACCTGAGGTCCTACTAAAAATGCAAAAATTAGCCGGGTGTGGTGGCAGGCGCCTGTAGTCCCAGCTACTCAGGAGGTTGAGGCAGGAGAATGGCGTGAACTCGGGAGGCGGAGTTTGCAATGAGCAAAGATCGCGCCACTGCACTCCAGCCTGGGTGACAGAGCAAGACTCCGTCTCCAAAAAATAAATAAAATTAAAAAATAAAAGAGGAGTCACTTACAGAAATAGAAAGGATTGTGAGAGAAACTATGAACAACTGAATGGCAATAAATTAGAAAACGCAGATAAAATGAACAAACTCCTAGAAAGGTGCAAACTATTAAAACTGATTCAAGAAGAAATAGAAGTAAAGAGATCGAATTAGAAATAAAAAATTATCCACAAAGAAAAGACCAGACCCAGATATCTCCACTGGTGAATTCTATCAAACATTTGAAAAAGGACTAATACGATTCTCACAACATCTTCCAAAAAAATAGAAGAGGAGGGAACACTTCCCACCTCAGTCTGTGAGGCCAGCACTACTTCGATACTAAAACCAAAGTCATCACAAGAAAACTACAGATCAATATCTCTTATGAATATAGATGCAAAAGCAGTGCACATGAGGACTTAACTACCGAATTAAATATCACAATGGGAAGATGTGCCTAAAGATGTCTCTGGTTTCTGAAAGATTCCTATCATCAAAAACAATAAAAGATCATGGAGATACGTCAGATTAAATTTAAGCATAGAAATATAGTGGGTCCATTTTGGAAAAATTTGCAAAGATAACTCATAAGGATTTTTTGTTCTGTAAAGCAGGATTAATAATACATCTTTGGCCAGGCACGGTGGCTCATGCCTATAATCCCAGCACTTTGGGAGGCCGAGGCGGGTGGATCACGAGGTCAGGAGTTCGAGACCAGCCTGACCAATATGGTGAAACCTTGTCTCTACTAAAAATACAAAAATTAGCTGCGCGTGGTGGCATGTGCCTGTAATCCCAGCTACTCAGGAGGCTGAGGCAGGAGAATCGCTTGAACCTGGGAGATGGAGGTTGCAGCGCGAGATCTTGCCACTGCACTCCAGCCTGGGTGACAGAGTGAGACTCATTCTCAAAAAATAATAATAACAATAATAATAATAATACATCTTTGGGTCAGGCACTGTGGCTCATGCATGTAATTCCAGCACTTCAGGAGGCTGAGGAAAGAGGATAGCTTGAGCCTAGGAGTTCAAGACTAGCCTGGGCAACATAGCAAGACCTCGTCTCTAATTAGAATTTTAAAATTAAAATTAGGCTGGGTGCAGTGGCTCACACCTGTAATCCCAACACTCTGGGAGGTCGAGGCAGGTGGATCACCTGAGGTCAGGAGTTCAAGACCAGTCTGTCCAACATGGTGAAACCCCATCTCTACTAAGAATACAAAAATTAGCCAGGCGTGGCCGGGTGTGGTGGCTCACGCCTGTAATCCTAGCACTTTGGAAGGCTGAGACGGGTGGATCGCCTGAGGTCAGGAGTTTGAGACCAGCCCGGCCAATATAGTGAAACCCCATCTCCACTAAAAATACAAAAAATTAGCTGAGTGTGGTGGCGGGCGCCTGTAATCCCAGCTACTAGGGAGGCTAAGGCAGGAGAATTGCTTGAACTCAGTAGGCGGAGGTTGCAGTGAGCCGAGATCGCACCACTGCACTCCAGCTTGGTGACAGAGTGAGGCTCCATCTAAAAAAAAAAAAATTAGCCGGGTGTGGTGGTGCACACCTGTGGTGCCAGCTACTCAGGAGGCTGAGGCACAAGAATTGCTTGAAGCTGGGAGGTGGAGGTTGCAGTGAGCAGAGATCGTGCCACTGCACTCCAGCCTGGGCGACAGAGCAAGACTCTGTCTAAAAAAAAAAAAAAATTAAAATTAAAAGAAAAAAAAAACCTCTGCCCTGCCCTGCCTTTTTGGAGTTATTTTGAGAATCATTTCAGTTAAAGGATGGGAGAGTATTTTAAAACCCTCTAGGAGGAAAATAACTGCTGGGGCTCTTCGCAGTTTATAGAACACGACCTGCTCCTGAGCTCCATTCCGTTCCCTCTGGCCAGTTATCTCTTGCCCCATGGCCTTTGCACTGCTGTTCCCTTAACCTGGCATGTTCTTCCCTCAGCTCCCTTTGTGGCCTGCTCTCATTCCTCATCCCTTATCTCAAATTCCACCTCCTCAGAGAGGCCCTTCCTGACTTCCTGATATAAATCAAATTTCTGAAATTATCTTGCTTGTTTACTAGCAGAGCAGGAACCACGTTTTGTTACCCCCTGGATCCTCCAGAGTCCAAGACAGTTTCTGCCACATGGAAGGATGCTATTAAGTGAAAAGGGATCCATATTTCTGTGAAATAGGTAGCCAGGCCCACTGTACAGATGAGGAAACTGAGGCTCAGGGAGGAGAAATGTCTTGCCCAAGCTCCTGCGGCAGGAAGGGTGATCATATAATTTATTGCCCAAATTGGAAAACTTTTGCCCTGGACAAATACTAAACTGGACAGGACACGTGACAACAGGCATAAACTGAGACAGTAAACAAAGACGCACAGGGTTACACTTCAGAAGGAGGTCTAAACTCGGGCAAGTCTAAGTCATGTTCGTTTCATGACATCCCAAGTTCTGTGAAAAGTCAAGGTCAGCCAGTGAGTTTTCCCGCATGCCCCGATCCACAGGGAACACCATCCTGCATAGCTCAGGAGCAGGTGAATGTCACAGCTCTTTGCTGACTTTGTTGTTGCCTGGAAGTCCTGAGGATGTTCTCCACAGCAGGAACCAAGATTTCCTCTGTCAAAATAGGTGAAACAATAGAATGAACAAAAATAAACCTGGTCTCCTTTGTGAAGAAAAAGGAGGTGGGGAAAAAAAAGTTTTTAGTCACATACTTAAAGCTCATGAGATTACTTTGTTATGCAAAAGTTGATTTATCTCAGCATAGAGCTCAACATTGTCTGCCCTTTGACCAAGTCTCCCTGTCCTTGGGAATTTACCCTAAAAATGAGTGAAAGGAAGAGAAAAAGCTAGCCAGACAAAAACATTCATTGAGGGGGTATGGGGGCGGGAGCTGAGTTTGGAGCCTGGAGGAAGACAGGCCTGTGTTTGAAGCCCTGCTCTATCACTGTAAAGATGATGGCCAACAGTCCAGCCCATCCTCATGCACACTATGCCTCCAAGCATCAAGGGTAGGGTCTGTTTCCCTCTCCTTGACTTTGGGCTGGCCTTGTGACTTGTTTTGACCAAGAGAATGTAACAGAAATGACACGGTGCCATTTCTGGGGCTAGTTCTTAAGACACCTGGGAGCTTCTGTTTTTGCCCTCTAGGAAGCCAGCCATCATGGAAAGAAGCCCAGCTAATCTGCTGGACAGACCACGTGGAGAGAAAGAAAGAAAGAGCCCCTAGAAGATTAGAGACCACAAAGGGAGAGAAACCCAACCAGCCCCCTGCCATTTCGGCCTCCTCAGCTGAGACACCAGGCACCTGAATGAACTCATCTTGGATCTTCCAGTTCCACTGAAGCCACTCTCGTCAGTACCATGTGGAACAGAGATGAACCAGCCCCACCAAGCCCTGCCCAAATTGCAGAATTAAGAACAAATAAATGGATGTTGTTGCTTTAAGCCACTACATCTTGAGGTAATTCGTTGTAGTAGTAGATAACATGAACACTAGACATTAGCTGTATGAATTTTGGCAACTTATTAAAATAACCTGAGCCTCAGTTTCCTTATCTGTAAAATGGAATTGTTTAGTACTTACAGGATTGTCATGATGCTCAAAGGCTAAATAGTAAACATTTAGTGATTTTGTGGAATATATAAGGTGACATGATAATATAATATTTCCTGCAAGAGTTGAGTTCCATGTTACTGGCTAGATTCTACTGAGTAGAATTCTATGGAACCATAAGAAATCATAAGCATAAGGTTTACATATGAACGTAATTCATTACATAATCTGAAATAAAATTAAATAATGAAAAAAATTTTTTTAAAAAGAATGACACAAAGAGAATCATTCTGATTCCAACAATATAAAAAAAATCTCTGGATAAATGTTGGAATGAAATGTGGAAAATTAAAACTGTTAGCACATTTGAGTGGTGGACTTAAAATAAAAATGTACTCTTGGGCTTTCCTTAATGTTGGTGTCAGATTTTTAATAATAAATCATTTTAGTGCAATTCCCAAATGGGGATAAAGTTTTGAAAAAACATGGAGAGATAAAAACAGTGTCTTTGAATTTAGGTTTGAGTAAAAATGTTCTCTATTCAAATTTCCTTTAATTTGATCTTCATAAAAAATAATTTTAGTGCAATTATTAAATAGAAAAGCTGGTCATTGTGTAATTTATCGAGTGCTATTATAGGCCCAGCAGGGAGCTAAGTGTTTGCATTCCTTTACCTATTCAAAATCCAGAGCTCAAGGGGAGGGCTTCCTACACATTTCTTCTTTGATGCCTTCCAGCAGCTTTAAGGTGTCAGTGCTGTTATTAGCCCCATTTCACAGACCAGGAAGCTGAGACTCAGAAAAATTAAGCTGAGGCTGGATGTGGTGGCTCATGCCTGTAATCCTAACACTTTGGGAGGCTGAAGCGGACAGATCACTTGAACCCAGGAGTTCGAGACCACCATCCTGGGCAACATAGCAAAACCCCATCTCTACAAAAACAAATACAAAAATTAGCCGGGTGTGGTGGCATGTGCCTGTGGTACCAGCTATTTGAGGGCTGAGGTGGGAGGATTGCTTGAGCCTGGAAGGTGGAGGTTGCAGTGAGCTGAGATTGCACCGCTGCACTCCAGCCTGGGCAACATAGTGAGACCCCGTGAAAAAAAAAGAAAGAAAGAAGGAGGAAAGAAAGAAAGAGAGAAAGAAAAGAAAGAAAAAGAAAAGGAAAGAACGAAAAAAAGAAAGAAAAGAAAAGAAAAGAAAAGAAAAAGTTAAGCTACTTGCCAAATCATTCAGCTTGAGACTAGCAGAGCTGAGATTTGAACCCAGGTCTCTCTAGTCTCTCTTCCCACCATTCCTCACTTTTTTGCCTCCAGCAGCACATCTGCTCCAAATGCCTATGGACTAAATAAACAGGAGTGATCATACAAGTTAGCACTGAGAGGTAGCACTCTCACAAAGCAACAGCATGGAGTCAGGAGGCCTGGACTTGGATTGTGACTCTCTATGTGGCTATTCCCACTGGACCCCCATATCCTCATAGGCTCAATGGGGGATTTGGATAGATATTTGGAAAATAACACAAACCATAATCCCTTGGACCTTAATTTTAATTAGTAATTTTAGAGTTAGTACTTCAGTCCTCAAATTGTACTAAAAATATGCCAATGGTACAGATATTATTCAAAGTAGCATTTGAACTTAAAGTCCCAAGATTTTGCTTCAAAGACTGGTTCTACTTTTGAGTGCCTTTGGGCCAGTTTTTTTAGCTCTCTGACTCTCAGTTTCAGACGGTAGCAATCTAATCTCTCTCATTGATCATGTAGACCCAGTGAGATAATCCATGTGAAGGAGCTGAGCACTGAATAAATACCTATGTCTTAAATAAAAGACATTATAATGAATCATCCCTGTAAAATTATATAACATACAATTAGCATAAATCTGTTTTTATGTTTTCTAATCACTTAGCAATTCTTTGATAGGTAGGGTTTTTTTTATATATATAATAAGTAGTTAGGTAGTTTTTTTAAAATATGTTTCCACAAGGAAAGGAAATGAACTTTTGTTCTCACTTTGTAAGATCCTTGAGACAGGGACAATGTCTGTCTGGTTTATACCCATCCTCCCCAGGCCAGCACAGCATCTGGTCCACGTTAGGTGCTCATTGAGTATGTGACGAATGAATGATAACAAGTCCGTACCTCTGTGATGCCACAGTTCAGAGCCAGGGTGGACGTTCCTGTGAACATTCCTCACACCCTACCGCCTGCCAGCACCGTTGACTGGGTAGAGTACTCTTCCTCAGTTTTTCCCTGTGTCCTGGGCTTACCTCTATGAATCCACTAACAGTTTTAAAGAGAAATGTTTCTCTTTTAAGTATGTTTCCCCCCATGAGACTCTAAACAAATCAAGATCAGGGATGGATCTTAATCGTCTTGGGCTCATCAGACCTCGCAGTAAATGACATAGAGTAAGTCATCTGTAAATATTTGTTAAACTGAATTGAATCAATAGAGAGAGTTTGGAGATTTCTAAGAGCAGAAAGAATTGCCTTAAAGTTACACCTATTTTGTTGGAATAGCAAATAAGCACATGGAAAATGCTCTATATCATTAGTCATTAAGGGAATATATGAGAAAATCACAATATGAAAGCACTACGCATTCCCTATGGTGACTAAAATGTTAAAACTGACAATACCAAGTGCTTATGATGTTGTGGAACAACTGGAACTCTCATACCATATTGCCAGGAATGCAAAATGGTATAACCACTTTGGAAAATAGTTCGGCAGTTTTTTCCTAATAAAATTAAACATATATCTTTTATAGTACCCGGAAATCCCACCCTAGGTATTTATATAAGATAAACGAAAAAAATATGTCCACTCAAGGATGTATATGTGAATTTTCACAGTAGCTCAGTTAACAATAGCCAAAACTGGAAACAACACAAATGTCCTTCAACTGGTGAATGAATCAGCAAATTGTGATATGCCCATTTATTGGAATACTACTCAGCAATAAAAGGGAACAAACTACCGACACAACAGCGTAGATGAATCTCAAATACATTATACTAAGTAAACTATTCCCGATTCAAGACCACATAGTAATGATTCCATTCAAATGAAGTTTTAGAAAACACAAAATTAAAAGGACAGAAAGTAGAGACCAGGAGTGGACAGAACAGACGAACTGCAAGGGAATATAAACAAACTTTGTGGCACAATGGAAATGTTAGACAGGGTCTTGCTCTGTTGTCCAGGCTGGAGTGCAGTGACACAATCATAGCTCACTACAGCCTCCAACTCCTGGGTCCAAGCAATCTTCAGCCTCCTGGGTCCAAGCAATCCTCAGCCTCCTGAGTAGCTGAGATTACAGGTGCAAACTATCATGCTCAGCTCTATGATGGAAATATTCTAAAATGGCTTTGCAGTGGTAGTTACAGGACTGTATATGTTTGTCAAACTCATTGAACTTTATATTTAAATGGGTATATGTAAATTATACTTCAATAAAGCTTTCAAAAGCTTTATTTCAAAAGCTTTATTTATATATTTCAAAAAATATATATATCTATTTACTCTTTCATCTGAATGGCTTTTTGAGGTAGTGAATATTCTGTCCTTGGAAAATTCCAAAGACAAGCCAAACGGGTATCTGTCAAGCATGTTGTAGGGGGCATTCCTGAGTTGGGCGCAAGCCCAGAATAGATGGTCTTTAGAGGTTATGGAATTTAGGGTTATGGAATTTAGGCTTAAAGTCAGTATTATGCACAGTAGAAAGAACAATGGTCCAGGAGTCAAGAGTCATTCATTAAGTCATTCATTCATTTACTGGTTCATTGTTTACTAAACACCTATCATGTGCCTGACATGGCTCAATGATGCTGAGTTAAGCTGGTTTGAGGTGGGTTTCTATGCAATCACATCTGAAATATCCTAACCAATAGAAGCCCAGAACTAGGTATTAAACTGGGGGATACTGACTATAAGCACCAAAGGTGGAGGTCAATGAGAGGCTTGAGGAGTCAGGGAGACCACCCACTTACCTCCACTGCCACAGCCCTGGTCCAGGCTGTCACCTCCTCTCACCTGGACAATTACAGCAGCCTCCTCACTGCTCTCCCTGAGTCTACTCTAACTGCCTTGGGTCCATTCTGTACACAACAAACAAAGGGTTTCTGTGGCCACCTGAAATCCAGATATGACCCCATTGTGCTCCTGCCTAAAAATTCTTCCATGGTGTCTCCTTGCCCCAGATTTAAGTCCAGATTCCTCAACATAAGCTCAAAGAACCTTTAGTGACATAGCTCTGGATTGAAAGAAGATCAGCTAGGGAAGTGCTGTGGCGTCCCTGCAGGCCAGAGTAGGGAGAAGGAGCAGGAAAGGATGAAATGGAGAGATGTTTAGGAAGCAAAACCACCTCATTCTGGCCCTGGCTGTACAACCCAAGCCTGTTTCCCAGATCACCCAGCCACAAGTTAGGTGATGTCAAAGGTCTCTTTCAGTTCCAGGTTATACAGTTATGCTTTTTGGTATGTTACCTGGGCTGCCCCTCTATCTCTTGTCTCTCTGTATGTCCCTATCACTCAACAAACACCTGTAAGAAAATTGCTATCTACAGATATGAGTCACAGATTATAACTGGCTTAATCTGCAGGAGGCTTCACAGCCCATCCTGCTAACATGATTCTCTTCCCAGAGGATCCCAAGGGTCATGTTACTGACCTGAAGTACAAAAGAAAACCTAGTGAGTGTCCTTTGAAATGGAGAAGAGGGAATATACTTATAACCATTGATAGTCTCCTGGACAATGATCGTTCTCTGGACTCTAGCAAAAGGGAGGTAGTGGAAGAAGGAATGGCCCAGTCTTTCAGATCTTTCAGATGCTGGGGGTCCAAGGCACTGAAAACACTACTTGTTTCCTTCTAATCCAGTAGAAACGTCACTGAACTGGCCATAAATTGATGGGCCACTCAGTCTTGGCTTGATCTTGACAATGACACTTGACCCTAGCTCAATTTCTTTACCAACCAGTCAAATGCAATAAGGACAGCTCAAGCTCATCCAACAGTTCACGTTATTTTCAAGTTCACAAGCAGTACATATTGATTAAAGAAAAGTTTAAAGCATGAATTCACAAAAAGGAAAAAATATTTCTTCAACTCACCATCCAGACATGAGCAGATGTTTTTCTATTTTAACCAAAATGGGATGCAATTACCCATCCCCTTCTGTACCCAATTATTTTCCTTAACAATATATTGTGAGCATCTTTCCACGTCATTAAACTCTTCTACATTATCATACTCAGATGTGACTGGATGCCCATGGTATTCTCCAATTGAAGCCAGTCTTCTATATTTCATTTCACCTCCTAAAAACACACATGCAATTCCAAAAACACTGCCAGACACTGTATATTTTACTGAAGACTTTGTGGGACATGGAGGAGACAGTCATACAGCCCAGCATCCAACAAACACCCTCAAACATCCCACTTGACAGCTCTTGATAGTTTAACTTTCTTGCTCTCTCCTTAGTCTCTCAACCCTAGCTCTTCTAGTCCACTTTTCTACCCCATGCACCAAAACAACAGCCAGGTGGATGCCTCTTGGCAGTTAATTTTTCTTTGTTCATTCGTTTCTTTGATAAATACTGAGCACCTACCATATGACGAGCATTGTTTTGGGTGCTGAGGGGTTCCCCATTCAACAAAAGGAGAAAACCTTGGCTTTCATGGACCTAATTCTTCATTGCTTGTGATTCCACTGAAGGAAGTTTCATAATTTATTTAATAGTCCCCTATTTTGGGATGTCTATCTATGCTTTTTCCATTTCCCTACATCTCCATGATAAACAATACTGAGGTGAACATCTTTGGCTTGCAATTTTCAATTTTCAAATATCTTTTCCCTTAACAGATCTTTCTTTTTATTGTTTTTGAGACTGAGTCTCGCTCTGTTGCCCAGGCTGGAGTGCAGTGGTGCAATCTCAACTCACTGCAACCTCTGCCTCCCGGGTTCAAGCGATTCTCCTGCCTCAGACTCCCAAGTAGCTGGGACTACAGGTGTGGGACACCAGGTCCAGCTAATTTTTGTATTTTTAGTAGAGATGGGGTTTCACCATGTTGGCCAGGCTAGTCTAGACCTCCTGACCTCTGGTGATCCACCCACCTCGGCCTCCCAAAGTGCTGGGATTACAGGCATGAGCCACCGTGCCCAGCCAGATCTTGCTTTTCTCATTATGATCTTGAGAGATTTTACTGAAAAAAAAAAGGCAAGGAAGGGCTAAGAAAAAACAAGTAATTTCCCCAAGATTACATATTTGGTTATTTGGTAGCAGATAAAAAGCACCTTTTCAGGAGGAAAACATGAATCCATACCACCTGGAGTCAGATGACCTT
Organism: Homo sapiens; assembly: GCF_000001405.40. NCBI lineage: Eukaryota > Metazoa > Chordata > Mammalia > Primates > Hominidae > Homo > Homo sapiens. The sequence continues at coordinate 149,707,355 of NC_000005.10, read as the reverse complement.
TGAGCCCCTTTCTCATGAACAGTAGCAGCTGGCGTTGACAGAGCATTCACTGTGTGCCACCAACCCCCACCTGTACCATCCCATTTAATCCTCTTATACTGTCATCCCCATTCCACAGATGAGCACATGGACAGCAAGTGACAGAAGGGCTTGGAGCCAGGTGGGTCTGATACCAAAGCCCATGCTCTGAAGTACTCCTCTACCCTGCCTCACTACTCTGTGAGTGTCTGATTCCACCAGCAGCACATTTGTCTTACAGTCTTAAAAACTGCATAGGAATTTGTTAATGCTTCTAACAAATACCTTTTCTATGCAGGCCAGTTGTTATTACTTTAAGCGGTTTTTACCATAAGTCTCAACAATAAATGTCACTCCCTCTCTGTGACATTTTTACATTTTATAATCTCATGTGCTATTACATTTGATTCTCACATAAATGCTCATAATTCAAGGCTCGACCAAAAACCTATTTCTCCAAGAAAACCTCTCCAAATGCCCCCCTGAAGGTTCCTATTCCTCAGCCTTTGAGGCCGCCATACTGCAGTTTTTCCAGGCTGTACTGTTATTCTCTGTCCCTGGGAGTAGCAACTAGACCTTACTCATTCCCAGTGCGAGGAACTATGCCTGGCTCACAACAGGTATTTTATAAAAGTCTGTGAGTGAAGCAGCACCATTAGGCACTTTGTAGATTCTTGGAAGGAAAATGAGAATTAGAAATCAGGGGCCTTCACCCCAGCACCACCACCACACCTACTTCGAGCTCAGCTATTTCAGGTAGTTTGAGTCCTGTCTGGTGCTTTATTGCTAAAAATGGATGGATGAGTGGATAGATGGGAGGAAGGGAGGGAGAGTGGAAAGAAATGAAAGAAGGCAGTGAGAGAAGAGAGGAGGTAAGGGAAGGTGAACAGATAGACGGAAGTAAAGAAGGACAGATGGATGAAAGGATGGAGAATAGGATGAATAACTGAATTAAAAAAAGGAAGGAAGAAAAGAAGCAAGGAAGAAGGGAAGAAAGGAAAGAAGGAAGGAAGAAGGAAAGGACAAATGAATGGATACAAAGGAAGAAAAGTATAAATAAATGATTGGATGGAAAAAGGATAGTAAAAGTATGGGAAGGAGGGAAGAAGAGAGAAGAAAGAAGGAGGAAACAAGGAGAAAAGGAGAGAAGGAAGAAAACATCAGCTTGGTTGAATAGCAGATTCAGGGCTGGTTTATCTAGAACCACACTTCAAGAATCACATGTCCCTAAGAGGATCAGGTAAGAAAGCCCTTCTTCACCAAGATTTTACATTCCAAGCCTTAACCAATATTTCATATGTTAGATTCATCCAGAGCTCAGAGGAGTACAGAGTTTGTTCTTATAAGAAGAATTACATTTGTCTAGATAGTCAAACTCGATAGTTAGGACTCCAAAACTAAACCTCTAAGGAACAAGCAAATTAATCTGTAAAGATGTATTGGCTGGGCACAGTGGCTCACGCTTGTAATCCCAGCATTTGGGGAGGCCCAGACAGGTGGATCACTTTGAGCCCAGGAATTTGAGACCAGCCTGGGCAACATAGTGATACCCCCTAATCTCTATAAAAATAAATAAATAAACAAGAAAGGAGCATTTATTTTCTAATGCATTGAAGAGACAAAATTATGAGGCACAGAAGATTAACAAGGAAACAGAAGTTTTGAACACCACTATAAACCTGCTAGACCTCAAAAACATCTACAGACCACTCCAATCAACAAAAGTATAGTATACATTCTCATCTAATGTACATGAAACTTTCTCTAGGATAGACCATATACTAGGTCATAAAACAAATTTGAATAAATTTGAAAGGATTGAAATCATATATAGTATGTTCTCTAATAACAATGGAGTGAAATTAGAAATCAATGACAGAAATAAATTTGGGAAATTCACAAATATGTGGAAATTAAACAACACACTCCTAAAGAATCATTGAATTAAAAAAAATTCCAAGGCAAATTAGGAAAATCTTTTCAATGAATAAAAATGAAGACAAAATATATCAAAACACTTGGGATACAGCCAAATCAGTGCTTAGAGGGAAATTTACACCTACATTACAAAAAAGAAGAAAGATCTCTAATCAATAATCTTAAGACTGGAAAAAAAGCAGAGTAAACTAAACCTAGAACAAGCAGAAGAAATGAAATAATAAAGTTTAGAGCCAAAATTAATGAAATAGATGATAGAAAAATATCAAGAAAATCAAGGAAATTAAAAGTTGGTTATTCAACAAGATTAACAAAATTGACAAACCTTAATCTAGATGGATCAAGAAAAAAAGAGAGAAGATTCAAATTGTTAAAATCAGGAATGAAAAAGGGGGGATTATTACAGACCTTATATAAATAAAATGGATTATAAAGGATTACTATAAACAACTGTATGCCAACAAGTTAGATAATTTACATGAAATGGACAAATTCCTGGAAAGCCATAAAGTAGTAAAACTGTTTCAGGAAGAAATAGAACATCTGAATGACTTGAAACAAGTAAAAAGACGGAATTAGTAATCAAAAAACTACCCACAGAGAAAAGACCAGGACCAGAATTCACTAGTACATTCTACCAAATTTTTGAAGAATTCCTCACAAACTTCCAAAAAATAGAAGAGGAGGAAACACTTCCCACCTTATCCTGTGAAGCCAGTATTACTATGATACAAAAATCAGACCAAAACATCACACAAAAAGCACAGATCAATTTCATTTATGAATGTAGACAGAAAAATCTCAACAAAATACTAGTAAGCAGAACACAGCAATTTATCAGAAGAATTAGACACCATGACCAACTGGTAAATGTCCCAGAAATGCAAGATTAACATCTGAAATGTCAATTAATGTAATACACTTTGTCAATACAATAAAGGACAAAAACCACATGATCATTTCAATAGACGCGGAAAAAGCATTTGACAAAATTCAACACTTCTTCATAATAATAATAATAAAACTCAACAAAATAGGAATAGAAGGGAATATCCTTAACCTAGTAGAGGGCATCTATAAAAAGCCCACAACTAAATCATACTCAATGGTGAAAGACCAAGTGCTTCCCCCAAGACCAGGAACAAGATGATACCTATTCCCCCCTTTTCTATTCAACATTGTACTTGAGTTTCCTGCCGGGGCAATTAGGCAAGAAAATAAAATAAAAGGCACCCAGAATGGAAAGGAAGAGATAAAGCTATCTCTACTTAATTCACGTTTCGGACCAGTATCTCTTTGTCATGGTGGACATGAATTAATTCATTACAGCACACTTACTAATTGCCTTAAGAGATGCGACGTTTTGCACTGCGGACATAGAGATGAACCAACCAGTTGTGGGGCCTGCCCTTAAGCAGCTTCTAGACAGCTTGGGGAGATGAGGCCAACCAACATCTGTAAAATAAGGTGGAAAGTGACCAGAGTTACGTGCGGGCCCAGACGAGGAGAGTCTATTGGAGCTCAGAGGAAAGTTGAGGGGGTCACTTCTAGATAGGGCTGGATCAAGGGAGGCTTCTAGAGTTGGAGCATCAGAGCTGGGCCTTAAATGTTGGAGAGGATTTCATTAAGTTAACAGCATAACAAGAGCAAGGTTGCTCTTCCTAAAGGCCCACAGCATATTCAAGCACCAGGAACCCCAGAGTAGCTGCAGTGGGTAGTGAGTGAGGGAGAGCTGGGAGATGGTCTGTACAGGTGAACTGAAGCCTAGAATACCACACTAAGCGCTGAGGCTTCCGGCTGGAGTGAGGAAGCCTTGCATGGTGTTTGAGCACAGAGGAGACCTGGGCAGACACCACTGGGATAGGCATAGTCCTATGCTTCCTTCAAAAACTTGCTAGATGATAACATCTTCCGGAAAGCTTAATAAAATGGAGATCCCAGGCTCGGGTACAGGAAATGTCGATTGAGTCATTCTGGGAAGTGGTGTTGGGTGGCTGGGTGATGATAGCAGAGGGATAAGTCTGGTTTTGATCTGTGTTTCTCATATCAGGGCTGACCAAGCCTCACCTCATTCGGTCTAAGTCCTCTGTCCACTATGCGTGAAAACTTACGTCCTTCCGCTGTGTCGGGGGAGGGGTGGGAGATAAACAGAGCACCGGGATATTTCTGTGGTGTGATGCATAGGTGGGTCAATGGGGAAATGGCTCCTACCCTTGGTGACCCTAACCCCAGTGAACCCAGCCCAACACTCATGGGACGGTGGTCATTCCCTCTCTCCCTCCAGCCTTGTGGGTGCTGGAGAGAGGCAGCCTGGCCAACTGGGATGAACTTTGGCTTAGTGTTATCACTTTTCCTGAGAAACCCAAAGTGGCCAAGCAATTCAAAGGTCTTTTATGACCAGGAGAACAAAAGTCAGCCCCAGCCATTAGTTATTGATTACTCTTTGCCACACCTTGAGCAAGATCTTTGACCAGGTTTCACAGAGAGTGAAACTGAGGTCTCAGGGTTATTCCAACAGGCGGCTGTGATGCCAAGATGTCTTATCAAACTCTTAGGCAGGCGTGTTCCGAGAGAGAAGCCGTCTGAATTCACATCCACTAACGTTGTGTGTGCTGGAGTCAGGGAGAGAGACTCAATGCCCTGTACTCAGAAGACAGAGTTACACTTAACGCCAGGAGTCTTCTTCTCCTGCAGGAGTGTTGATGGCAATCTATATCAAGAACTTTAGAAAGGCCTGGGACCAGTAGCCGTGGCTCTCACGCATAATCCCAGCACTTTGGGAGGGCAAGGTGAGGGGACCGCTAGAGACCACCCCGGAGAGCTTAGTGAGACCATCTCTCTACAAAAAAAACCATAAAAATAAAAAAGGCCAGGCATGCTGGCTCATGCCTATAATCCCAGCACTTCGAGGGGCTGAGGTAGGCAGATCGCTTGAGGTCAGGAGTTCGAGACCAGCCTCACCAACATGGTGAAACCCCGTCTCTACTAAAAATGCAAAATCAGCTGGGTGTGGTGGCAGGCGCCTGTAGTCCCAGCTACTCAGGAGGCTGAGGCAGGAGAATCACTTGAACCCGGGAGGCAGAGGTTGTAATGAGCCGAGATCGCACCATTGCACTCCAGCCTGGGTGACAGAGGAAGATTGTCTTAAAAAAAAAGAAAGAAAAAGAAAGAAAGAAAAAAGGCCTATACCCTTTGGTTCAGCAACTCCATGTCCAGGAATCTCTTGAAAGAAATTAATCCTCTCTATGGATGAGGCTCTAGACACAGAGGTGTTCAACATTGGATTATTCACCCTAGCTGAAAAGCAAAATTCAACTTCGTCCATGCTAGCAATAGATGAATTGCTAATATTTGTTGAATGTGGCTGTTGGCAAAGCATTTTACCTGCACTATTTCATTAAATCCTTACAGGAGCTCGGTAGGATAGATACTGGTATTGTCCTCATTTTGCAGATAAGAAAACTGGGGCACAGAGAGGTTAACACACCCCAAATTACAGAGCTAGTAGCACATCAGAGCCAGCACTTAATAGCAACATAAAAAAAAAAAGCTTCTAGTTGGGCATGGTGGCTCATGCCTGTAATCCCAGCACTTTGGGAGGCTGAAGTGGGCAGAGCACTTGAGCTCAGGAGTTCAAGACCAGCCTGAGCAACATGGCAAAATCCTGTCTCTACAAAAAAGTACAAAAATTCGCTGGGTGTGGTGGCATGCACCTGTGGTCCCAGCTACTCAGGAGGCTGAGGTGGGAGGATCACCTGAGCCTGGGAGGCAGAGGTTGCAGTGAGCCGAAATCTTGCAATTCAGCCTGGGCAATGGAAGTGAAACCCTGTCTCAAAAAAAAAAAAAAAAAAAAAAAAAAAGCTTCTGTTGATATGGTTTTTATTTAAAAAAAAAAAAGATCATTGATGTATGGACTAATCACAATATTAAGCAATGATAACAAAAATGACTCTGATATTTATTTTTAAAGACTTCAAAGAAATACTCCAAAATACTAGAGATCCTCTCAAGGTACTGGGTGTATGTGTTTTGTGACATTTTTGGTAGCAGAGAGGGAGGGGTTGTTTCTACTTTTTGCTACTTTTCACAGTGATATATTTTCATAATTCAGGGGAGAAAATGAACTTATGGGGTTTTTAAAAACACAAATTAAAAATAAGATGGTTCTTAAATGGATATATTTCAGGTAATAGGGTAGCTACTGGAGACAGTAAGAACCTTGCTGGAGCTGCCCCCAGCAGACCTTGGAAATGTTTCTGACTGGCCCACTTTAATCTGACTTAGCATCACCTCAGACGTGCGGGGACAGCAGAGAAGAGAAGCCAGGATGGGGAAAGGCTCAGAAAACGAGTCCCAGGAGAAAAGCTCCAAACTCTTAGTCCCACATCATGTGAGTGGCCCCAGGGGGGTTTTCCAATGGCATGTCTGGGCCCAAGGCAGATGGGAGAGCCTGTGTCTGCCTCTGTCCTCTGCAGAGCGGAGATGGGCAGATGAACATCAATGTCCCTCCAGTGACGGCCACACCAGTGGGGACAGGGAGGGTAGTCCAGGGGCTGGCCCACTTCTCAATCTCCATCAGGTTCCCCCAGCACCTGCTGCCCCCTTCTTCAAAGTAATGTTTGTTCAATCTAACATAAAAGCATGAAGAAAAAATTCTTTTAAAACTTTGTCTACCATACGCTATCAAAGTTGGCTTATAGGGCAAACATAGCTTCAAAACAGCCCCCATGCCCCTCCTTGAAAAATATCCAGAAGCACCCTGCCCCCCATCCCGTCCTAGTTCTCCACAGGGAGTCCTGAGGGTTGGTGGCTTGGCAGTCTGTGCAGGCCACGTGAAGACAGCTGGACTGGCAGGGCCCAGGGTCTGGGCCAAGGAGGCTGCAGAGATCAGGGCCAGAGGCAAAGGGTCCAGGGCTCCATGGAGGTCAAGGTCAGGCCAATGCGGCTTCACCAGCTGCCTAAAACCCATGGCTTTATGTTTAAAGACTCAGCTAATTACAGACATTTTCCAACATGAAATAATAGATAGCACTGTAGAAAATTTAGGGGAAAGGAAACCAACAGAGAAGTTTTTTTTAAAAAAAGACCATTTTTCTGATACCTTTATTTCATTTTAAAATACATTTTATTATAAATATATTTTCCTTTTGAAAGAAAACTGGAAGGAGGAGTGTTCTGTTTTTACTTTAAACATTTCTGTCTTACTTGAGTGTGTTAAGTAATATCTGCCTTTTATGCACTGTTAAATAATATCTGTTGTTATAAAAATTTGGTAAATACAAAAATAGGGCGGAAACCAAACAAATTTTTTGTTTTGGAAATTTTGTTTTTGTGACATAAAGAAAGTGCTCAGAGGAAAAAAATATCTGTCTTTGAAAGTACATGCATACAGCTGGGCGCAGTGGCTCACGCCTGTAATACCAGCACTTTGGGAGGCTGAGGCGGGCAGATTGCTTGAGCTCAGGAGTTTGAGACCAGCCTGGGCAACATGGTGAAACCCCATCTTTACTAAAAATACAAAAATTAGCCTGGTGCGGTGGCATGCGCCTGTAATCCCATCTACTCTGGAGGCTGAGGCAGGAGATTTGCTTGAACCTGGGAGGCGGAGGTTGCAGTGAGCCAAGATTGTGCCACTGCACTCCAGCCTGGGCAACAGAGGCGACTCCATCAGAAAAAAAAAAAAAAAAAAGTATATACATACTACCAAATACAAAAGATACAGAGATGGAGAGATGGGTAGATGGGTATATACAGTGAAATGTCTGTTTCCTTCTCTTTCTCTCCTGTCTAATCACCAGTTGCCCTCCCTGGGGAAAACCATTCTTGCTGTTTTTCAGCCATTTTGGTAGAGGGTATCTTTACATTTGCAAATGCATACGCATACACATTTTTTGGGATGGAGAGACAGGATCCTGTTCTATCACCCAGGCTGGAGTGCAGTGGCATGATCCTGACTTACTGCAGCCTAGACCTCCTGAGTTCAAATGATCCTCCTGCCTCTTCCCTGCAAGCAGCTAGGACTATAGGAATGCACCACCACACACTGCTAATTCTGTATTTTTATTTTTTGTAGAGGCAGGATCTTGCTATGTAGCCCAGGCTGGTTTAGAACTCCTATCCTCAAGCAATCCTCTTTCCTTGGCCTCCCAAAGTGTTAAGATTTCAGGCGTGAGCGACCAAGCCTGGCCGGCATGCACTCTTTAGTAATTACGACTGTATGTGCAGGAGCGTGTGTGTGTATGTGTTTGAGTGTATAATTACACTAATTGTCACACTCTGTCCTAAATCTTGCTCTTTATACAATATATCTTAGGGATCTTCCCATAGGATATGTAAAGAGTTCTGTTGGTTGCTGACCTCAATCCTATTAACCTAAAAGGTCCTTCTTGGTGTCTAACCAGAAACCCATACAACCCCCAGCCTGACACTAGCAAGGCCTGCACCTCCAAAGTAATGAGAGAGATGAGGGAGTTGTGGGGGGTGGGTTCAAGGACTCCCTTTTTTTCTTCCTTCCGCTCTCTCCTTCCCTCTCCTTCCTTCCCTCCCTCCCTTCCTTCCTCCCTCCTTTCCTTCCTTCCTTCCGTCTTTTCTTCCTCCCTTCCGTCTTGCTTCTTGCCTTCTAAAGTGAAAACAGTTCACTATGGCTTTTATTCACTCTGATTACTAATGCAAAACATGCTTCTCATAAAGTATTCATATAGTATAAAAAGAAAAATAGGAGAGTGAAAGTCACTCCTACTGTTATCCAGAAATAATCACTGTTAACATTTTATTGTTCATCCTTCCAATTATTTTTCTGGAATACCCACAACAATTTTTCACCATTTTAACCATTTCAACCATTTCGAAGTGTACAGTTCAGTGGCATTTAGTGCATTCTCAATGCTGAACAATCATCACCACTATATAATTTCAGAATAATTTCATCACCCCAGATGGAAATCCCACATCCACTGAAGAGTCACTCTCCATTCCCCTCTCCCGACAGCCCCTGGCAACCACGAATCTGCTTTCTAGCTCCATGGATCTGCCTATGCTGGGTATTTCACATCAGTGGAACCATACAATATGTGATCTTTTGTGTCTCACTTCTTTCACTTAGCATAATTTTTTTTTTTAATGGGGACAGAGTCTCGCTCTGTTGCCCAGGCTGGAGCGCAGTGGCGTGATCTAGACTCACTGCAACCTCCGCCTCCCGGATTCAAATGATTTCTCCTGCCTCAGCCTTCTAAGTAGCTGGGACTACAGGCATGCACCACCAAGCCTGGATAATTTTCATATTTTTAGTAGAGATGGGGTTTCACCACATCAGCAAGGCTGGTCTCCAAATCCTGACCTCAAGCGATCCTCCCACCTTGGCCTCCAAAAGTGCTGGGATTGCAGATGTGAGCCAACACACTCAGCCAAGCATAATGTTTTCAAGGTTTTTAAAAAAATTTTTTTTCTTTTTCTTTTTTTTTTTTTTTTTAGAGACAGGGTCTCTCTCTGTCTCTGTCACTCAGGCTGGAGTGCAGTGAAATAATCATAGCTCACTGCAGCCTCAACCTCTTTGGCTTAAGTGATCCTCCCACCTCAGCCTCCAAAATAGCTGGGACTACAGGTGCAAGCCCAACTAATTAAAAAGAAATTGTAAAGACAGAATCTCACTATGTTGCCCAGGTTGGTCTTGAACTCTTGGCCTCAAGTGATTCACCCCCCACCCTCAGCCTCCCAAAGTGTTGGGATTATAGGTGTGAGCCACCAGGTCCAGTCTGTTTTCAAGGTTCATCCATGCTGTAGCATGCATCACTACTTCGTTCCTTTTTATAGCCAAATAACATTCCATCGCATGGATATGCCATATTTTGTTTATCTATTCATTAGTTGAGGGACATTTGGGCTATTTCCACCTTTTGTCTGTTGTGAATAGTGCTGCTATGAACATGTAAGTTTTTATTTGAATACCTGTTTTCAGTTCTTTTGACTATATACTTAAGAGTGGGACTGCTACATCAAATGGTCATTCTGTCTTTAACTTATTGAAGAAACACCAAACCGATTCCCATAGTGGCTACATTTCCACCAGCAATGTATGAGGGTTCCAATTTCTCTACATCCATACCAAAACTTGTCATATTCCTTCTGTTTGTTTTGTTTTGTTTTATTATAACCAACCTAGTGGGTATGAAATGCTATCTCATACCTACATTTTTGTGGTTTTGAATTGCATTTCCCTAATGACTAATGATGTTAAACATCTTTTCACGTGCTTGTTGACCATTTGTATATCTTCCTTGGAGAGATATCTATTCAAGGCCTTTGCCCATCTTTTTTACACTCGGGGGTACATGTACAGGTTTTCTACGTAGGTATATTGTGTGATGCTGAAGTTTGGGCTTCTATTGATCCCATCAACCAAATAGTGAACACAGTACCCAATAGGTAGTTTTTCAGCCCTTGCCCTCCCACCCCTCCTCCCCGCTTTTGGAGCCCCCAGTGTCTATTGTTCCCATCTTTGTGTCCGTGTGTACCCCATGTTTAGCTGCCACGTACAAGTGAGAACATGTGGCATTTGGTCTTCTGTTTCTGTGTTAATTTACTTAGGATAATAGCCTTCAGCTGCATCCATGTTGCTGCAAAGGACATGATTTTGTTCTTTTTCATGCCTTTGTCCATTTTAAAAATTGAGTTGTTTGTGTTTTTCTTGTTGAGTTGTACAAGTTCTTTCTATATTCTGGATACAAGATTCTTGTCAAATATATGATTTGCAAATATATTCTTCCATTCTGTGGGTTTCCTTTTGCATTCTTGATAGCGTTCTTTCATGCACAGAAGTTTTTTATTCTGATGAAGCCCCCAACTTATTTTTCATTTGTTCCTTTTGTTTTTGGTCTAAGAAACTGTTGCCAAACCCAAGGTTATAAAGCTGTTCTTTTCTTAGACTTTTATGGCTTTAGCTCTTATATTTAGAATTTTATTCATTTTGTGTTAATTTTTGTACATGATGTGTGGTAACGTCTAACTTTGTTCTTTTGCATGTGGATAATCAGTTGGCCTGGCACCATTTGTTGAAGAAACCCTTCTTTTCCCCCATTGAATGGTCTTGGCACCCTTGTTGAAAATCAATTGACCATAGTTGCATACGTTTATTTCTGGATTGTCAATTCTATTCCATTGATCTATATGCATGACTATCCTTATGTTGGTAGTACATGATTTTGATTACTGTAGCTTTGTAGTAAGTTTTGAAATTGGCAAATGTGAGTCTTAACACCTTGTTCTTCTTTTTGCAAGATTGTTTTGACTATTTGGGATCCCTTGCAATTCTATGTACATTTCAGAGTCAGCTTTTCTACTTCAGCAAAACGGAATTTGTGGGATTTGGGGACTTTGATAGGGATTGCATTGAATCTGCATATTGCTTTGGGGAATATTGTTGTCTTAACAAAATCAAGTCTTCTAAGACTCTACTCTCAGGGCTCATTTCTGTCATTCAATACTAGAGAAGTTTCTCTGAATGTTTAGAGCACTGGAAACCAAACGGAGGAGGCGGGCATTCTTTCCTGAGCATGCAGCCAGCTCATAGTGTTGTTTTGTTGCAGCTGCCGCTTGCCATTGATGATCCTTCTTCTCTTCCTTCAGGGGAGTAAGGAGACGACGCGGTCTTAGTGGTTCCCATAAAAATAAACAAATAAATTAATGATAGAAATTAAAATTTAATTTAAAAAGTGAGTCTTCTAACCCATAAGCAAAGAATGTCTGTATATTTAGGTCTTCTTTCATCTCTTTTGGCAGTGTTTTAAAGTTTCCGTAAAGAAGTCTTACACCTTCTTGGGTAAATTTATTCTTACGTATTCTGCTCTTTTTGGTACTATCCCACACAATTTTTTGAACCAATTTTTTTAACTTATCATATCATGAACATCTTTCCATGTTAATGGTATAAAGGGCAAAAATTATTTTATGGCACTTTATAGATATACTGCAATTTTTTATTTTTTATTTGAGACAGGGTCTTACTATGTTGCCCAGGCTGAACCCCAATTCCTGGGCTCGAGGGATCTTCCTGCCATATCCGGGACTATAGACATGTGCTACCAGTCCAGCTAGACTACAATTTGCTTCAACAATCCCTTATTATTGACTGTCTTGGTTATTTCAAATTTTTAATTGTCGTAAATAAGGATTCATTGAGTTTCTTTACAATGTACATCTTTGTACACTTATCCAATTATTTCCTTTGGATAACCTCCCAGAAATGAATGTATTAGGTCAAAGGAGAGGAATACTTGTAAAGCTTTAATGAATGTTGCCAAATTTTCCTCCAAAAATATCAGACCAACACCCACTCTGAATAGCAGTGGATGGGGTTCTCTTCCTCATGCGGGATCCAGGTTGCTTTTACCCAATGTCTCTTCCAGGAGGAGAAAACAGGAGCCCCGACATGCTCCTTCACTGGGCAGAAACTTTGAACAAGACAGTGACCGTCCCAATCAATACAGACATCTTCCTCTTAGGCCTAAAAGCGCCCTTTATTGGAATTTTTATTGCAAAGACAAATTGTCTGGATTTTTTTTGTCTTTATTTGTCTTTTTCTCCCTCTAGTCTGCAAGCTGCATGTGGCCAAAGACTGTATCTGGCTTGTTCACTGTGTATGTCGAATGTCTTGTAAAGTGCCTGGCATAAGAAATTTCTCAGAAGATGTGTGTTATCTTTAAGCTGAGGGACAAGACAGCTTACAAGCTAAAATTCCATGAGGGAAGAAATAGCATCTATCCTTCCCTTTTGTGTCTCCAGTGCTAGGACAGTCTCTGGCACACAGTAGGCTCAGTAAGTATTTGTTGAATGAATAGAAAAAAGTGACTGGCTCCAGAAAGTCAATGGTAGTAGCAGATCTGAAGGCTCCTAGTTCAGTGCTCTTTCTGCCTACCGCACCCTCTTTCTCACTTTTATTCTAATGTTTGCACTGCATTTCTGTGTTTATGGTCCCTTGGTTTCTCTCCTTCAGCAAAACAGTCACATATATGCTGCCAAACAGAGACACACAGGAGATTACCTGGCAGCAGCTCCAAGTCCCGGCTAACACCCTCAAGCGATTTTCCAATGGCGAGGACCAGGAGGGGAATTTCCCCATGCATGCCCAGCTCTGACGCATCTGTGCCCCCTTGACTTGGATGCTATTCTGTGGGCTGGAGTCAGCATGAAAGCTATTTTTGACTAAGTGGCTACCTAATCTTACATAACCCTGAGCGATTCAGGCCAAGGTCATTCGGCTTAGTGCATGAAAGACACTTCAGAGACCAGTGATTCCCCTTCCCCAGAGTCCCTCCAGAGAAGCAGAGCTGGGAAAGTCATTTCCATGATCATGGCTCTGGGCCTCCACAGCAAAGCCCAGCTAGGACTTTCTGAGCACAGCCCTGCCTCTGCAACTTCTAAGAGAATTCCCCAAGTGTCTCATTCCCCAATATCCCTGAAACACGGGTAGAATATGAACCCAGGAAGCAGGGAGTGTGGACACCTACCTCTGCTACACACACACCCAGTCCTGCTTCCTCCTTTAATGTGGAGATGCAGGAGCTGAAGATACCTGAGAGGGCCCATGCATGAAGAAGACGTGTGTCTCTCCTATGAAAGAAGTGATAAGCCCACATTTTCATCTCAATTTTGTTTTATTGGAAAGGAGACAGAATAGCATTCAAGGCCCTTTGGACTCTAATCTCAAATGCCTTTGCTATTTCATCAGCAAGCCCTTAGCCAAAAGCCTGACATATGCTAGATGTTCACTACCTGCTCAGTTAATGAAATTCATTGTCTGCTCCCTCGTAACTCCTGCCACACCTGACCACCAACTCCAGGTCCTGCTGGTAAGCTCTCTGCACCTTTGCATGTGCTGTCTTCCCCATCTGATAAGCCTTCACAGCATGCTGTACATTTGCAGGCCAGCTCAAAGCCCAACGCCTCAAGACCACCTTTACAGAGCCCTCTAAACAGAACCAGTTGTCCTCTGGTCTATATTTCTCTAGCACATTGCTCACACTTCTGTTTTGAGCTTCTTGTAACATAACTGGTTATGTACTCATCAAAATCTATGTTCCACCAGACTGTGAGCTCCTTGGAGGCAGGGTCTAGCCTTTAGTGGTCATTGTATCTCCAGCACATTTTGCTGCCTGGCACTTACTGGGGCCCCTGTCAACATCCATTTGTTGGATGGATGGATGTCTGGAGACACTAATGAGGTCTGCAGTTCACAAAATCACTTGCATTTCAAATCCAGCATGGGCTGGCTGAAGGAGAGAGACGTGAGGAGAACTGCTTGAGTGGTTGTTCCACATACTCATGGAGTCAATATAGCTTTTCTCTCTTAAAAAATTTTTGAGCTAGGCATGGTGGCTCATGCCTGTAATCCTAGCACTTTGGGAGGCCAAGGCAGCTGGTTCACCTGAGGTCAGGACCAGCCTGACCAACATGGCAAAACCCCATCTCTACTAAAAATACAAAAATTAGCCAGGTGTGGTAGCGGGCACCTGTAATCCCAGCTACTCAGGAGGCTGAGGCAGGAGAATCACTTGAACCGGAGGCAGAGGTTGCAGTGAGCTGAGATCACACCATTGCACTCCAGCCTGGGCAACAAGAGTGAAACTCCATCTCAAAAAAAAAAAAATTGTTTTGATCTCACAAATAGTTGGTGTTCATCATAGAAAACACAGCACAGCTGCAAGAAAACAACTCTGAACATTTTAGAATATCTTTTCAGACTTTATTTCCTCTATGCACTGCCCTTCCGCCATTTCTTTACAGAAATGAGACGTTGCTTTGGATGAGCAGGGTGGGGCTCAGCCTGTTCAGGGAATGAAGAAGCCCGCCTGAGCTGAGGCTTGAAGGATGCATACTGGTAAGTACAATGAAGAGTGAACAGTATCTCAGTAACAAAACTGGTATGTCATTTTGTTAACCATCTCACTCAAAAATAGGTGGAGGATAACCCAGATTATCAGCCCTGTACCCTTTCCCAGAACTACTCTTCCTGCCTTCTCTGTTTAGTTCAAGAACTCCCATGTTAGGTCAAAGAGACCCTGCGCCCTGGTCTTAGTTGTTTGGTCCAGAGGGAGGTCTTGACTCAAGCTGGGCCAATCACAGTGCCTGGCTACCCTGTCCACAGTTGACTGGTTCAGACTTGGGTAATTGAACTAAGGTGGCCAGTCTATTCCTTGCTTGGGAGTTCTGGATTGAGGGCTAGAGACAGCTTCAGGTATATACTTTCCTATGTCTCAAAATGTATTCCCCACTATCTGGTCTGCAATGAGAAAATGAGGCTGACACACAGGGAGAGGCAAACACAGCAGATGGAGAGAAGGTCTTGGAACTGCCTGAGCCCCAGACCCCAGGTGTTCTTTGGCCCTGGCCACACTGTGGTCCTTCCGAACTGTGTTGTCCAACTCTCCTCTGGATTACATGAGCTAACAACAAATCCTCCCTTGTGCTTTTCCCATTTTGAGGTGGATTTCTGTCACTTGCCACTGAACAGCTTCTGACCCACACACACCGTGTGTCATGGTGGTGACTCCAGGTCGGTAAAGTACACGCACAACATCACATTTAATGGTGGCAGGGTATTGTCTGTGTCTCCACTTTCAACCAGTCTCTCATTGTTGCATATCTTGTTTTTTTCCAATGTTTCGCTGTGATGAGCAATGCTGTGGGAAACAGCCTCATAAATTCATCTCTGCTCCCATGCATTATTTTATCAGAGTGAATTCTTAGAGGTGAAATTCCTGCAGCAAAGGATGTTCATATTTTTAAGGTTTGTGACATGGTTTTTAACGATGCCCTGTGGCTATTCTTTTTTCAGCGTCGCTGCCCACACAATCACTGGACACCTTCTTGGGATTAGGTTATTTCAGACTGAATTGGCCTTAGTGAGTCTGACCCTCATTGGTCCTTTGGTGGGAGGAGGGGTGTCCAGATTTTGTCTCCTGTCTTTTTTTTTTTTTTTTGAGACAGAGTCTCACTCTCACCCAGGCTGAAGTGCAGTGGTGCGATCTTGGCTCACTGCAACCTCCACCTCCAAGATTCAAGCAATTCTCGTTCCTTAGCCTCCTGAGTAACTGAGATTACAGGTGCCTGCCACCATCCCGGCCAGCTAATTTTTGAATTTTTTAGTAGAGACAGGGGTTTCACTATGTTGGCCAAGCTGGTCTTGACCTCCTGACCTCAGGTGATTTACCCGCCTTGGCCTCCCAAAGTGCTGGGATTACAGGGGTGGGCCACAGCGCCCAGCCCCCAGGTTTTGGTTCTAATCTGCCTAAAAATTGTGCCCAAGGATTCTGTTGAAAAAGTAATTGTGGAGTCAGTTATGGTCATGAGCATTTTCAGGGGATTTTGCAAATCTACAGACAAGCCCCTGAGTGCAGAGTGAACGCTCAGTCTCACTGGGGCCTGGGGATGTGGACAAAGGGATGCCCAGCTTCAAGGTTATCAGTTTAGCCCAGAGGGCAAGAAAAGCACATGGCTGTGAGGACGTGTTTGGTACCCAACGCTAGGGAGCAGGACACAGGCTGACTGGGGGGGACAAGGCAGACACAGTCCCCACTGCCCTGGAGCTCACAGTCTGATGGGGAAGACAGATGCTGAAAGAGGAGTAGGGCTCAGATCAAGGGCAGTGCTGGGTGACCTGAGTGAGTAGGGCAGGGCTCAGGCTGTTCAGGGAATGCAGAAGCCTTCCTGACGAAAATGGTTTTGACCTGAGGCTTGAAGGATGCATACAGGTAAGTACAAAGAAGACTGACCAGGTATCCCAGGCACAGAAAAAAGCCCGCAAAAGGCCTGGAGATTAGGAAGAATGCAGCGCACTCAATAGACAGAAAGAAAGCCCTGCATGGCTTGAACAGAAAGAACCCATAAAAAGAGTAAAAGATGAGGCTGCAGAGATGCAAAGCCTCCTCATGGCCAGGACTAAGGATTCTTTCCTGGGGACAATGGGGAGCCTTGGAAGAGGTAAGCAGGGGAGAAGTGTGATCCATATTCCTCAGGGGGAGGCAGGGACAGGGACTGAATTAGAAGGTAATGGAGCCCACATCTCCAGCAATTGTGCCTTGTCCCCAGGGTCCCAAGGCTGTCGGAAAGCATCTCTGCCCACTACATTTGGGTCTTAGACTGCTTGGCTCAGCCCCACTGCAGTGAGAGCCAAACTCCCAGAACCCCAATCAGCCTTCTCATCACGGCTGATGCCCTCCACGGGTTAGCTCAGGCTCCCATCCCAGGCCTGCTCTCTTTTAATGGATAAATATAGCGTGTTCCAGTAACAGCACACACATGAATATCTCTCTAATTTCTACATAAAGACATCACATTCCCCTCATCCCACCCACACTTCAAAGACAAGAATCTTTGTCATGAAATTAAATAGAATGAGATAATGGAGCTGAAAGTGCTTTGTAAAAGAAAAAATTGCCAGAATGGTGGCAACTTTTTTTCAAACTTTATTTTTCTCTTAAGCAGCAGAATCTTTTTTTGTTTTTTTTAAATGAAGTCTCACCAGACACCTATCTGCTCCCGTGATGTTGCCTTTTGGAGACATTTCAAAGTTTACATGTCCAAAATGAAGGTCTTGGGTTCTGCCATCCTCTTCAAAGCTGCTCCTCGCCCACCTTCTCCATCTTAGTTCTGACACCTCCCAGGTGCTCATGCCAGAAGTGGAGAGGCACTGCTGATGCCCTCACCAGCTTTTCTCCAAAACATGTCCCTGCTCCGTCCTCAGGTCTCCCTGGCCCCTACCATCCCTCTAGCCAGCCATCATTCACCTGAATTTTTCAACAGCCCATACCTCGTCTCTCCAAGACTGCATCTTCCACCTTTCTAGTTCAACACTCACATACTGGCCAGAAAGGAACATACAGAGAGACTCGTGCACAAATCATAAATGTTCAGCTTGATGGGTTTGTCTAAATGGAACACACCCACGTAATCAGCACCCAAATGAAGAACAGAATATTACCAGAAGCCCGCCCCATGCCCCTTCCTTGTCACTTCCATATCTCCCCCGGGGCTACCATTATCCTGACTTCTAACACTGTAGATTAGTTTCACCTCTATTTTTGAACTTTATATACATGGATTCATATCATGTATACTGTTTTATGTCTGCCTTAACTCATTTACCACTGTGAGATCCATCTATATAATCGTGTATAGTTATAATTTATTCATTTTCATTGCTGCATAGTGTTTCACTGTGTGACTATATCATCATTTATTCAGTCAAGCACTGAGAAGCATTTGAGGGGTTTGTGGATTGGGGCTATTACAAAGGGGGCAGTTGTTAAGATTCTGGTCTTTGGCGCACATAAGTGTGCATTTTTGTTGGGTACCTACCTGCCTGGGAGTAGAATTGCCGTAATGTACGCACATATTCACAAAGTGATATTTTTAAAGCACAGCCAGATTCCAGCATTCTCTTTCTGAAACCCTCCATGGCTTCCTGCTGCATTTATAATAAAGTTCAAAGTTTCACCTACGCCCACAAGGGGCTTGTATGCCCTGGCATCTACTGCCCTCGCACTTACTGCCTGCCTGCCATATTGACCTTCTTTCCATTCTTGGAGACTGCCAAGCTCATTCTCCGCCAGAGAGCCCACCCATTTGATATGCTGCAGTTTCAAACTGGCCTTCCCTACTCATCCTTTATGTCTCAGCTCAAACAGAATGTTGTTAGAAAGGCCTCTCCTGATTCCCCAGCTTGAAATCACAATTGGTGTGATTATCTCTCATTACACAGTGCACAATGACACCCACAATTTGCAATTGTCTGATTGTCAATCACTGCCTCACCGACTAGACTGTAAGCATCAAGAAATGGAGACTGTCAGATTCTCTGCTGTCTCCTCAGCACTTAGCACTGGGCTGGAATATAGTAGGTGCTCAATAAATATCAATGTGGTAAGGAGAGAGGACAAGATAACAACCAAGGTCTTAAAGGCATGCAGAAACCAGGGTGTAAATCTTAGCTTCATCACTCACTACCTTTGTCCCCTTAGGCAAGTTACCTAGGCTTTCTGGGCCTAAGTTTCCTCCTCTGTAAAATAAGAATAATCCTGCTGGCCTCTCAGGCAGAGAGGTGGCTGTGAGGACTGACTGAGAACATATATATGTATATTGCCTAGCACAGTGTCGAGCACATGGTAAGTGCTAATTAAGAGGTGGCTTTCCATGGATCAACTCACTGGAGGCTCACCACAATTCTAGGGGGAGGCACTATTCTCAATCCCCATTTTATAGACTGAGAAACTAAGAAACTAAGCCCAGAAAGGTTAGGTGCCTTGCCCAAGAATTCTGGCTCCAGAGCCCAGGTTCTCCTCCACTAAAGTATTAGCGGTAGCATGTAAAGGATCAATAAAAAATAGAGGAAGGGGAAATGGTGAGTTCCTGACAGCCAGCAGCTCCATTCACCCCCACCCTCTTGACATCCATTCATCCCCATGAAACCCTAAGTTTAGGAAACACAGTATGAAAACCACCGGGTTACACAAACATCCGTGGTTATTAATAGCCATAAAGGAAAAAATAGAGAGATCTGATTGCATAAAAATTTTAAACTTCTGTTTAACAGAAGACACCACAAACAAGGTCAAAAGATAAATGAGAGTCCAGGATAAAACATTAAGACTTCATATGACAAAGGCTTACTACCCCGGCATGAACACACTCCTACAAATTAACTGGGGGGAAAAATGAATAACCCGACGGAAAACTTGGCAAAGAATGTGAACAGTATACAGAAGAGGAAATGAAAATGGCCAATAAGCATATGTATAAGTAGGGAAATAAAAATTAAATAATGAGTTCCCATATGTCTTCTAATATTGGCAGAAACAAAAAGATTGGTAACGTTTATAGCTGATGGCAGAGTAAGAAAACCAACTCTATCATATCCATCGTTGGTTGTAAAAAATTACAGCCTTGTAGAAAAATTTTTCCAAAATATTATGACAAAAAATATGTGACAACTTTCAGAAATGAAAGTAATAACACATAAGCTCCCTAGCTAGCTAGATACAAGAATATTCATTGCAACATCTTTGTAACAACAAGAAACTAGAAACATCCTGCTCCCATCAATACAATTGCACATTATGCAACTCTTTTTTTTTGAGACAGAGTCTCGCTCTGTCACCCAGGCTGGAGTGCAGTGGCGGAATCTCCACTCACTGCAAGCTCCACCTCCCAGGTTCACGCCATTCTCCTGCCTCAGCCTCCCAAGTAGTTGGGACTACAGGCGCCCACCACAACGCCCGGCTAATTTTTTGTATTTTTAGTAGAGACGGGATTTCATCGTGTTAGCCAGGATGGTCTTGATCTCCTGACCTTGTGATCCACCCGCCTCGGCCTCCCAAAGTGCTGGGATTACAAGCGTGAGCCACCGTGCCCCGCCATTATGTAACTCTTAAAACAAATGAAGTAGCTCCATGTGTATCACCTTAAAATTATCTCCAAAATGTGTGGAGTGAAAGAAAGATGTTAAAGAATAGTGTCGGCCAGGTGCAGTGGCTCACTCCTGTCATCCCAACATTTTGGGAGGCCAAGCAGGGAGGATCCCTTGAGCCCAGCAGTTCGAGACAAGCCTGGGCAACAAAGTGAGACCTTGCCTCTGAAAAAAAATCGTTTAAATTAGAAAAAATTAGCTGGTCATGGTGGTGGCGTGCCTTTGTAGTCTTAGCTACTTGGGAGGCTGAGGTGAGGATCACCTGAGCTCGGGAGATAGAGGCTGCAGCGAGTTCTGATTGTGCCATTGCACTCCAGCCCAGACAACAGAGAGAGGTCTTGTCTCAAAAAACAAAAAACAAACAGAAAAGAATAATGTCTATGGTTTGATACCATTTTTATAGAAAACAGACAATAAATATACCCAAATGACACTGAATACTTTATCAAATAAAAGTAGGAAAATCAAATTTCTAATTACAATGTGTCAAAGGAGTTGGATTGGAAGGTGTTAGTTTTGCTTCAGATACATCTTTAAGTTTGAATTGTTGCAATAAGCATGTATTATATTCCAATATTAATAAGCATTGCTCATTAGTAATGACTTAATAAATGTTGCCTCTCCATTTAGCCTTACAAAACCTTTTCTGCATTAAGATTGACCTTGCCTTAGTTCCTACAAAGAAGCTGCTGGTTGGAGAGGTGTTAATTGTCTTCTAAACAACTTCATCTGATTAACCTCTTGGCTTGCTCCGGTGCCAGCCTCCCAGGGAAAGAAATCTTATATCATTATTACTGTTAAAAGAAATATAAGCTCTGAATATGCAATACATGCCCAGGGTAGCAAGATGAATAAAAGGTTATATAGTGAAAAGTGAGTCTCATTCTCATCCTAATATTGTAGCCAATATCCTAGTCCAGCTCTACCCTGAGAAGGCAATCAGTACACCAACTTCTTTTGTATCCTTCCAGAGATAGACTATGCATATATTAGAATAGACATGTATTACAATATTCTATTTTTTAAACACAAATGTCGTACATAATGTTTATATACACAAACAAATATGTTCATATGGAAGATGCCTTTCCATTCTTTCCAGCTAGGACCTGATTATTTCCTAGGTGGCAGCTTCTTCCTGCTCAAGAAGCCAAATTTCCCCAACTGAGGCAACTTATCCATCCATTCATCTATTCATTTATCCATCCACTAACAGCACTAGCAAATATTTGCTGACCACTCACTCTGTGCCAGGCACAGAAGCTGGAGATAAAGAGGTGAAAGATAAGGTCCTTGCTCTCACTCAGCTGACCTTAAGTGGGGAAGGAAGAAATTATGTAGAAGAACACAAGTTGTAGAAGAAAACTAACAAATTGCAGGTAATGAAAAGAGCCATGGAGAGACTCATTCTCAGTTAAGAAGGGAAAGAAAGAGGGGAAGAGGGGAGAGGTGAAAACGGAGGGGAGGGGAAGAGAGGGCCTATTTTAGATGGGGTAGCCAGGGACGATCTCCCTGTGGAGGTGACATTTAAGCTGAGACCCAAATGACAAGAAGCAGCAAATGTTCCTTTCCCTGCTGGCTTTCCAGTAAGGGTTTCTATGGGCAGGGTGTCAACCTGATTCTAGTGGTGACAAGGGTGGGCTCTGACGTGCAGTTGAATCCCAGCTCTGCCAGTGAATGCTGTGTGAGTCCCAGGAAAATTATTAAGCTCTCTGTGCCTCAGTTTCCTCATCTGTATTATGAGGTTATATAAGAATAGCATTAACAATATAGGATTGTAGTAAAGATTAAATAATTATGCAATGTGGGCTGGCACAAAGAAAGTGATCAAAAATGATAATATGAGGCAAAGAGTTCTTATATGTAACACTAAAAGTATCATCTATGAAATTTAAAAATTGATTAAAATTTTCTTCATCAAAACTAGAAATGTTTGCTCTATGACAAAGACCACTGAGAGTAAGAACAGACAAGTTATAGTCTGGGGAAAAATATTTGCAAATCACATATCTCACGAAAGACTAGCATCCGGAACATAAAAAGAACCCTCAAAACTCAATGTAAGAAATGAAACAACCCAACTAAGAAATGGCCCAAAGACTTGATCAGAGAGCTCACCAGAGAGGATACAAATAAGTACATGATAAGATATTCCACAGCATTAGCCATTAGGGAAAGGTAAAACAAAACCCGGATGAGATACCACTGTGTACCTATCAGAATGGCTTTAAAAAGAAACAAACAAAAAAAAAACCCCAAAAACCCTGACAACAAATGCTGGCAGGATGAAGACTGACCGCAACCCTCATACATTGCTAGTGGGATTGCAGAATGCTGCAGCCTCCCTGAAAACAGTTCGGGAGTTTCTTATAAAGTGAAACCTTTATTTAACATATAATTCAGCC
The DNA here is from genome assembly GCF_000001405.40 of Homo sapiens. Classification (NCBI taxonomy): domain Eukaryota; kingdom Metazoa; phylum Chordata; class Mammalia; order Primates; family Hominidae; genus Homo; species Homo sapiens. Next base: position 149,684,537 of record NC_000005.10, on the reverse strand, counting down.
ATCTCATTCTTAGGTAATTTCCCTAGAGGAATGAAAACTTACATGCACACCAAAACGTGTACACAAATGTTTATAGCAGCTCTATTCACAATCACCAAAGATTAGAAGCAACTCAAATGTTGCTCAATGGGTAAGTAAACTGTGGTTTGTCTACTAGACCACCACCAGAAACCTACTCAGCAGTAAAATGGTACTCACCACTGATACATGGAACAACTGAGTGAAAGAAGCCAGTCTCAAAAGGTTATGTGTTGTATGATTCCATTTACACAGCATTCTTGAAAGACAAAGCTAGGGCGATGAAGAGCAGACCAGCGGTTGCCAGGAGTCAGGGCTGGGAGAAGGGCGTGACTATCAAGGGCAATTCGAGGTAGTTTTTTGGACAGATGGAACTGATTTATATCCTAATTGCAATGGTGGTTACACAAATCTACATATACGTTAACATTTGTAGAACTGGCCGGGCACAGCAGCTCACACCTCTAATCCCAGGCTTTGTGAGGCCAAGGTGGGTGGATCACTTGAGCCCAGGAGTTTGAGACCAGCCTGGGCAACATAGTGAGACCCTATCTCTACAAAAAGTACAAAAATTACCTGGGCATGGTGGCAATCACCTGTAATCTCAGCTACTCGGGAGGCTGAGGTGGAGGATTGCTTGAGCCCAGGAGGCGAAGTTTGCACTGAGCTAAGATTGCACCACTGCAGCAAGGCTCTTCAAAAAAAAAAAAAAAAAAATGTAACACACACACAAGTCAATTTTACTGCATGTTAATTGTCAAAATAAGAAAAACAAGTCATCAGTGGTATTGTCATTCCGACTCAGCCACTCACTCCCAGCCTCTCTTTCCTCCCTTTTCCTCATTCTCTGCAACCAGAAACTCCTTAAAGAATAGGCACTTCTACCCCCCAAATATTTGAAGACGTCCTTAATAACTTGGCTTTGTTACTTTTTTTTTTTTTTTTGAGATGGAGTGTCGCTCTGTCACGCAGGCTGGAGTGCAGTGGCGCAATGCACGATCTCGGCTCACTGCAACCTCTGCCTCCCAGGCTCAAGTGATTCTCCTGACTCAGCCTCCCATATGGCTGCAATTACAGGCGTGAGCCACCACACCTGGCTAATTTTTGTATTTTTAGTAGAGACGGGGTTTCACCATGGTCAGGCTGGTCTCAAACTCCTGACCTTGTGATCTGCCCGCCTTGGCCTCCCAAAAGTGCTGGGATTACAGGCGTGAGCCACCATGCCCGGCTGGCTTTGTTACTCTTAATACAAAGGTAATTTTTTTGGGGGGAAGAAGTTAAGGGAGGGAGAAATCATAAAAGAAACATGTGATGTAGAAACAAACGCCCTCAGGAATCCCACCCTCCAGAATGAGCTGCTTTGGAGGAGCTTCCACCATGACCATTTCAAAGCAATTTTATGCAGCTCTTTCCTCACAAGGTTTAGAACTCATAGGGTCGGATTTACTCCAATGGATTCTTCAGGTAAACGAGGAGGGCCTGGGGGACCATGACCTTAAAGGGTTGACATCTGGGACGCCAGCCCATCCTCACATCAAGTAACAGCATTTCAAGGTTGGATGGAGTCTTGGGGTAATCTAGTTCATCACAGGCCATGCAGTTCCTTCCTCTCTCTCTCTGTCACCGCCCCCAGGGAGGCACTGTCTCTCACGGTAGCATCTTCCCCTCAGCCTCCCTCCTGCTCTGCACAACGGCTGCTACATCCCATCAGCCAAATGCATTTGAGATCACTGGTTCAATCATCCAGTCAACGTTTGACAAATCATTCATTCATTTGTTCCTTCCTTCCTTCCTTCCTTCAAAAGTACTTACTGAACACTTACTATGTGCCAGGCACTGGGCTAAGTTGCAGGAATATCTCGGTGAACAAGATAGACACGGTTCCTGCTTACATTCCTTTCAGAGACAGATACCATAAATTCTAACACACATTTCCATAACAACTGTGCTAGAGCCTGTAAGACAGAGTTACATGGCGTGGTGAGACTGAATCTGGCCAGGTCAGGCTTCTCTGAGGAAAGAGCTATTAATCTGGGCAGGAGTTGGCCAAGTTCAGCGCAGAGGGAAGGGCATTTGAGACAGATGGAACTGCGTATGCAAGGGCCCGAGAGGTCAGGGTGGCTCGACCTCTGACCAAGCCATTGCTAGTGGGATTGCAGAATGCAATTGTGGGGACACAGCAGTGGACAGGGCACAGTGAAAGTTCTCCAGGGAAATGTTCTGGGGACTCTTGCCACTGGCCTTGAGCCTTTCTTTCCTGTTCCCTGGTGGGTCCTTCATCTGAAACAGAACATTTTCCGTAGAGGCTCAGAGTATGGGATCTGGAGTCAGACTGTTATAAACCATCTCATCTGGGCTCCATCACTGACTATGTGTGTGCAAATGGCAGCAACTTAATCTCCCCAGGTCTCATTTTTCCCACCTGTAAAATGGGTATGAAACTATAACATGCGTTGTTGTGAGGATTAAGGGAGATAATCCACATAAAGTCATGACCACAATGCCTGGTACATCAGCAGTGCTCCATGCATGGTAGCTAGTGTTGTTATTATTGTTCTTATTAATATTTTCAGAGGCACCAGGGTCCTTGACCCTGGAGGTGCAGTCTCTTTATGGCTAAATATGGAGTTAACACAGAGCCAGGGAGGGTCTCCCAGCCCCTGGATTCCTAGAGACAAAAGTCTGGGCAATTACTCGATTGGAACATTCCATGAATCCATCAAGTAAGTTTTGGAAGTGGACTTGTGTTTGTTAGTGACACAGACAGAAGAGTGGAGGACAGCTAAGACCCAAGAAGATTTCTTAGATGACAGATGTGTGCTGCTAGTTGACATCGGCTCCCACTCCCCACCCCGCCTTCCACCCCAAAAACTGGACTCTCTTCCAAAGGATTCCAGCGATGCTCTCGGTAAGGAGAACCCCACTAAGTATTCTCTGGGCTGAGGAGTCACGGGTTCTGCCTTCCCAGAAAAGCACCTTTGCTCCACTGGGAGAATGCCTTTGGACTGATAAAGACTCTCTGAGTCCAGTTATGGGTAGGAATACTGCAAGGAGGTGAAGCTATTTTTTGCCACATGCTCTATCTCTCCAGCAGGCACAGTGACATTGCCCAGGATCCAAATAGCCCTAGCTGTAGAAGGTCATGGAGTTGAAGGCTAGAAGGCTTGGCTCTTCCAGAGCCAGGGTGGGGGGTGGGGGGACTATTTGCATCACCACTTGGGGGAGTCCTAAGACCTTTAGCTGTCCCCCCACCTTCCGTCCCCTCGCCCCAGCCTCAACCCACTGTCCACAGGACTCCTGTGGAACCCATTCCCCCCTGGGCCCAGAGTCTGGTGGCAACTGTTTATTTTTAGCCTTTGATTCCCCAAGAATGCAAGAGTGGGTGCTTGTGGAGCAGGGGAGGGAGGAGGGAGGAGGAAGAGGAACTTCAGGGCTTGGAGGGCCAAGGAGGACATAGCCCAGCCCAAGCCCAATTTCAACCCTGTGACAGCCTGTGGCAGGGTCAGGGCCAAGTCCTCGCCCTTCTTGGCCCACCCAGCTCAGGACCAGGTTGGGCTTATGCCTCCCTGTTCCCCTTTTCTTCTTCTCTGAAGGCCCTAGAGACTCATGGGCTTTCCGTTCCTCTTTTGAGCCACCCCCATGCTCTCAGTCCTCTGGAGTTCTCATTCTCAGCCACAGTGGGTGCATCACAGGACTCCTCAACACTTCCCTTCCTCCTGCCTCTGAAAAGACATCTCCCCAGCCCATCTCCTTTTGCCTGCCTGGCACTATAGTAGGCACTTAATACATATGGGTAGACAGAGGCTGTGTTTCATTGCTTCTTCCCATAGGCAGAAGGCCTGAATAATGGAAGAACCAATAAGAGGAAGTTACAAAGGTTTAGAAACTCTTACCAAACCCTTAAGTCATTGTCCCTGACTGCCTGTTTCCTGAGAAGTTCCCTGGCACCCCCAGGGCTCATCTTTGCCTCTGTGATCCTGAAGGAGATGCATTTATTCTTCCTTCCTCTTCCATTCTACCTTCAGCCTTTCCTTGGTCCTTCTCTCCAGGATACCTAGGCCCTGCCCCACAGCCTACATGAGAGTCTGCCAAAAGGGAAATGGGCAGGTCGTGCTGGCTGAAATCCTGGCTCCAAGACACACGAGCCGCGTGACCTAGGGCAAGCTGCCCTGGCCCCTGCAAGAGATCATACAGCTCTCTTGGGGGTTGCTGTGAGGTCTTGGAAGAATGTGCATAAAATGGCTGGCAAACAGTAGGTGCACAATGAGTGGTTGTTATTGTTATCATTTAATAAAGAGTGCAGAAAAACAAGCCTTCTTTTTTAACATCTACTTTCACTCTATACCTGATCATTCTTCATGTTGGTATCATGCCTTAATATGTTACAAAGCACTTTCTCCTCCATTAGCTCAGCTGATCTCCACACAACACCTTGAGAAGGGCCAAGTCATTGTTGTGGGATTTTTGTCCCCACTATACCGATAAAGATATTCAGGCTCCAGGGAGATGTAGAACTGTCTTGCTCATCATTGTGTGGACAGCACCTAAAGCAGGGCCTGGTCCACCGCAGGTGCTCAAAACAGAACCGAGCAAAATCCTGTTGAAGAAATGGCCTATACAATGTCACCCTACAGCCACCTACCCTTTCCTCATCAGTAAAATGGGAATTAACACTGCAGGACATCAAGTTACGACTCTAGAATTCAGCTACATGTTAACAGGCGGCAGGGGGTGAGGCATGTGTATCCACACCCTCTCCCCTTCTTCCCAGAAGGGAGACTGCCTTGGTCTTTCAGGAGAATAATTGGGAAATGCCTTTGACAGGAAGATGGGTATAGCTCATTCCCTGAAGATCCTCAGAACAGACCATCCCTGTCCTTGCGTCCTGGTATTTTGGTTTCTTCAGCTGGGAGCTGAATTTACGAGAGAGAAGAGGGGCCTGAGTGTGTGCAGTCATGGGAAGCAAATTCCAAGGAAGAGGGAAGGGTTCCAGAGTAGAAATTATGATTCCCTCTAATATTGACACCTTGGGGAAAAAGATTCTGTTGCATTTGGAAGAGATGGGGTGCGGTGAATGAAAATTTAAGGGAAAATTAAACTATGTGCAATCTCTTTTTAGGTGAAAAATAATTTCAGTAATTTAGGGACATAAAAATCCATTATGTATAAGTTGATTTTCTCTGCAAGTTATCATAATCAGTATATTACATTTCAAAGTGTAATACTTCAGGCAATAATTATAAATCTGTGGTTTACTTTTAATTTGGTGATTTAAAAAAAACAAATGGAGCTATAGCTATTAAATTTTAGGGAGTCTCTTCAGTTTGCCTGTTGATTAAAAGCAGAGGTCACCCACGCTTGACTTCAGTAAAGCCTCTAACATTTTGAGCGCTTGGGGTTTAAACAGAGATCATACATCTTTAGGAAAGTTGCTGAAACTATAGGAGGGAAAATCCCCAACTCACTGATAACAACATTTGTCTCTTGGAATTTACGTCACCCTTCTAAATGTACACTTTATTTGTTAGAGACCATAAATCCTATTTTCCCTTAAAATAATTTGCAATGCTTTTATATTCTTGGAATTCGTCTCATTATATTACAGAAAGGAAAAATGGAAGAAATAATGATTAAAGCTGATATTTTTTGAGCACCTACTATGGACGATACTGTTTGAAGGACTTTCCATGCACGCATTTATTTAATTCTTAAAACAGTTCCCCAGTTCCTCATAACATAGGTACCATTATTATCCCCATTGGAGGAAGTGATGTGACTTGCCTAATGTCCCATGGCTACTAAGGGAAGAATCAGGATTTGTGTCCCCGTTGAAAGCAAAGTGGTGGTGAGCTAGGGTGGACATTAGGCACTGGTCAGCCCTAATGTTACCTCTCCAGAGTGAACTGGAGCAAACCACCCTCCTCCAGCTGCGCTGTCCCATGGAACCATGTGGAACCCTCTCGTTCCCCGGATCCAGCCCCAAAGGGAACATTTTTGTGACTTAGGTAACTAATGAAAGCATACCAATGCTCCTTAAATATTGCTTTAGATTTTTGAACTCAGAGCAATTTTAAATGCCTTAAACTTTCATTTTAAAAGGATTCATTCCTTAAGACTTTTTTTAGATTAAGAGGTCACAGGGGCAAGAAAAAGCCAATTTCCAACTCACTCCCAATTCCATATTTTGCAATCATGCTCTAAGGAGTCTGTCTGGGGCCTTGTGAGGAAGCTGAACGTTAAGATTACATTCTGGTCCTTCCCATTCATTTGTTTCTTCAACCATCCTTATTAAGCACAAGACACTGCAAAAGGTGTTGGGCACACCAGTGAGAACAAGGCTCTGTCCTCATTCAGCTTACCTTCCAGGAGTAGGTGACAACTGGCAATAAGAAGTAAACAAAGAGAGAGATTCAACTGTGGTGACTGCAGAAATGCCCTGAAGGAAATCCCCTGTTTCACAGTCTGGCAGTGCCCATGCTGGTCAAGCTCCCGGGCACTGGGGCCTGGGGAGTGGAGTAGGCAGGAACACACCCACCAACATCAAGATCGAAAGTTTGTAAGAGGAAGCCCCCAGGAACGGGAGCACTGAGTTCTCAGTCTTGCAACAACAGCAACTCCCCAGGCCACAGAGAGGTCGCTTCCCCTTGGCGACCAATGCCAGACTGCCCTGCTCCTGGTGCTCAGGAACTGTACTGAGTACCAAGCTGACACCGGCGACAGCCTCACATTCTAAACCTTCCTGTGGCTTCAGTTTTAGACACCACTTCAGGAGAGCAAAGTATACCTAACAGTGTTTGGACAACTTATGTTTTCTTATTTTTTTATTTTTTATTTTTTTTTGGAGACGGAGTCTTGCTATGTCACCCAGGCTGGAGTGTAATGGCACAATCTCAGCTCACTGCAACCTCCACCTCCCGGGTTCAAGCGATTCTCCTGCCTTAGCCTCCCGAGTAGCTGGGACTACACGTGCACACCACCATACCCAGCTAATTTTTTTTGATAGAGATGGAGTTTCACCACATTCATCAGGCTGGTCTCGAACTGTTGACCTCAGACAATCCACCCACTTTGGCCTCCCAAAGTGCTAGGATTATAGCCATGAGCCACCATGCCCGGCCTTGAATATTTTATCTTTGGGGAGATTTGCTTTTCAGGCTTAATTTCTTTTATGAACCAAAAAAGTTACTAGAATGAAGTGGACACTAACCTTACCCCACACTGCTAACTCCCACCTTCATGCCCAGGACCCAGTGGGAGGATCAGGGTGGAGACTGCCTCCTGTTGTTATTCTGACAATAAGGAATGTCCCAAGAGGCCCCAGGGTTCCTGGAGCCCTTTCCCATCCTGGATGTCAACGAGTCCTCACAACTGGGAGGAGGAGGACATAAGTGCTTACACACAGTTTCAGGACTCCAAACCCAGTGCTCTTTTTACTATCCAAGTTTTTCCCAACCTTCTGTCATCTGAGTCCTCCCCTCCTGTTTTTTGCCATAGCTCTAGACCACTTGTACCATTATTTACTTAATATATGTTTAAAAGTGGTCTATTTTCCCCCTTAGCTTAAATGCCTTAATGAAAAATGAAACTCGATATCACTGCCATAATTGGAAACTTGATATCACTGACCATAAATGGAAGGCAGCCATAAAAATACATGCAATGAAATGTTATCAAATCCCAGCTAGACACTGTTGCCTGCTGAAGGCTCTGAGACTGAGGCTTGCTCTCTCTTTATAGAAAAGGGAGGTTAGTAAATGTCAGAGAGGTGTTGGAGAGTCTAGCACCCATTCAAGGCTTTCTCCTTGAAGAACTGAAGGGGAATTGAGAAAGGGATGAACTTTTCTGCCAGGTGAGTCAACTCTGTCATGCCCATCTTGGACACTGCCCACCAGTAGCACCTGTCTCGCCCTTGGGACAACCTATGGTGCCACACTCCTTTTGGAGAAGGGAGGATTCATCTTTGGTGACTCAGGTCCCATCCAGTAGGTTCCCCCAAGCAGGAGCCCTGTCACCACCCTGACCTGTCTCAGAGGCTGCCCTTTGCAAGTCCTCTTGTCTCTGCCTTCCCCACTGTGAGGTCCCAAGTTCCATCCCCGCCTACTCTTGTTCTAGCACAGGTCTCTTCTCCAACCCACAGCCTGTAAGGTGTCAAGGTTCTGCTGCACTGCTGCAATCCCCTCCCAAATGGGCCCTCTGCTTCCCATTTCTCCCCATTCAGCATATTGTCCAGGCCCAGCCCAGGTGCCCTTCGAAAGCCCAGTTCTGATTATGTAGCTTTGCTGCTAAAAAAAAACCCTCAGCCTCTCCTACCCTCAGGATTACATGCTTCCTCCTTCTGGGACCTCCGAGGCCCCACCTGCTCTGCACACACCCGACCTGCACGCACCTGCCCTGCACACGCCTGCCCTGCCATACCCGCCCTACACACACCTGCCCTGCCCCTGCCCCTCCCAGCCTCATTCCTCACTTCACTCCTCCAGCTCTTGCATCTCGCAAGGTCGGACTTCCTCCATTTCCTCATCAGGCTCCCCCGACTTGGGAATTTCATAAACAATGCTCCCTCTCCTTGAAGCATAGCTTCTCACCTCACCCACACATTCTTCCTGTCTCAGCTGAAATGTCAATCTCTCCTGGCAGCCTCTCTCCCCATGACCTGTGTTTCTCCCATGCCTCCCCTCTATTGGAACTGCCTGCGACCATTTGCCAGTCTCTGGCACAGTGCCTAGCACGTGGCCAGGACTGTGTGGAGCCGCAGCAATGCTTGTTGATTGAATGGAAGGTTATTCATTCCCTGCACCTACCAGTCTATACGCCTACTTTCTAACTGCCCTGCTGTTTTTCTTGACTGAACTAATTTCTACCCTTCCCCTCTCATGATTTTCCAAGTCAATTCCCACCCCACCCATGAAGCCACCCCGGATCACTCCAGCCCACAGACTCTACCTCCCACTGAGCCACACAGCATCTGGTTGTTTATTGAATGAATGAATGGGACAGTGCACATAACAAATGGGGCAAAGTCAGAAAATAATGTCATTTCAAACTCAAACTCACTGCAATGGCTTCTGCTTTCTAAGAGGGAAGGCATAATTCCAATAGAAGGAAAAACAAATCTCCATACTATCTCCTTCCTTGGAGAGGCTGATAGGAGAAAGAGATAAAATGGATTAAAATTACAAAGCTGTTTTTGTTTTTTCTTTCCAGTAAAAGGTGAGATCCTAAGAAGAAAGTGTCTTTCAAAAAAGTATTTGGCTCTTTGAGAATAAATAATAGTTGCACATGGTACAAAATTCAAAAGGCAGATGGCCCTTCCTTAGCACATCACATTAATGAGTCTTAGAATGTGCAAGGAGTTCTTTGGAAATGGGAATGGAAAATCCATTGCTCCGAATGATACCTTGAGGGAAACTGCATTCCTGGGGGTGGACCTCAAATATGGACTCTAAGGGCCAGGAGACCAGGCATCCAAATGGAGAGGTAGGGGCCAGGGATGGTGGCCCACACCTATAATCCCAGCACTTTGGGAGGTTGAGGTGGGAGGATCTTTTGAGCCCAGGAGGTTGAGGCTTTAGTGAGCTATGATCATGTGATTGCTCCACTGCACTCCTTCACGGGCGACTGAGTGAAATCCTTTCTCTATAAACAAAACCAAAACCAAACAAGAATAAATGGAGAGCTGAGGTCTGTGAAGAGAGGTGGCCAAAGGACTTGGTGGCATAAGGAACTCCAGGCCTGGGGCTGGCCAGGATTTCGGTTATCAATGCTTGCCTTATTGACCACACCAAACCACTGGCAGAGTTGGCTACACACAAAACCTCTGGAGGGAGAGTTTTAGAGGAAAACAAGGAAAGACAGTTCCCATTACCCTGGAATTGAAACAGCCTCATGGAAGGCAGGAACCCAAGGTCTGGGGACATGGGAAAGGCAGAGGCCCCTGGGAACATGAGGAAACCTTTGGAGGGCATTAGACCGCCCACATGAGGAGGGATATGGCACTAGCCAATTTTATTTAATCTCTGAGGACGTGTGACCTGAGCTAACACTGGCGTTACAAGGAGCCTTGCTGCCTACCAGTGTTTTCTTGGTTGATTATCACTCTGCATTCCTAATGAGACCAGAGGCTAAGGCCAGGGACTGGGTATCATTTCTTCTTGTTCCATCCCATCAACACCACCTGCCCACCCACCCACCCAATAATAGTGGGCTCAGCACTGAATCCATTTGTTAGAACTTTTTTTATTTTGTAACATACACATAACATAAAAACTATAGTCATAACCATTTTTAACTGTACAGTCCAATGGTGATAAACACGTTCATAATATTGTGCAACCATCACCACCATCTCCATTGACTCTTTCCATCCTATAAAACTGAAGCTCGGTGCCCAATGAACAATATCCCCCCTAATTCTCCCCTACTCCTAGCCCCTGGCAACCGCCATTCTACTTTTTTTTTTTTCTTTTGTGACAGGGTCTTGCTCTGTCTCCCAGGCTGGAGTGCAGTGGCATAATCACTGCTCACTGCAGCCTCAACCTCCTGTGCTCAAGCAAGCCTCCCATCTCAACCCTGAGAAACTAGGACTACAAGCATGTGTCACCATGCCCGGCTAATTTTTTCAATTTTTTGTAGAGACGGGGTCTCACTATGTTGCCCTGGCTGGTCTCCAACTCCTGGACTCAAGTGACCCATCCCCCTCGGCCTCCCAAAGTGCTGGGGTTACAGACGTGAGCCACCACACCTAGCCCATTCTACTTTCTGGCTCAAGGACTTTGGCCACTCTGAGTACCTCACATAAGTGGAATCATACAGTGTTTGTCTTTCTTTTTTTTTTAATTTTTTTTTCCCCAAGATGGAATCTTGCTTTGTCACCCAGGCTGGAGTGCAGTGGTGTGATCTTGGCTTACTGCAAATTCTGCCTTCTGGGTTCAAGCGATTCTCCTGCCTCAGCCTCCCGAGTAGCTGGGACTACAGGCACGCACCACCATGCCCAGCTAATTTTTGTATTTTTAGTAGAGATGGGGTTTCACCATGTTGGCCAGGCTGGTCTTGAACTCCTGACCTTGTGATCTGCCCTCCTCAGCCTCCCAAAGTGCTGGGATCACAGGCATGAGCCACCGTGCCCGGCCCAGTGTTTGTCTTTTTGTGACTGGCTCAGCATAATGTCCTCAAGGTTCATCTACATTACAGCGTGTGTCAGAACATCCTTCCTTTTTAAGGCTGAAAAATATTCCATTGTATGTGCATGCCACATGTTGCTTATCCATTCATCCATCAACGGGCACTTGGATTGTTTCCATGTTTTCGCTATTGTGAATACTGCTACTAGAAACCTGGGTATACAAGTGTCTCTTAGAGACTGCTTTCTACTCTTTTGAGTATACACCCAGAAGTGGAACTGCTGGATCCTATGGCAATTTTATTTTTAACTTTTTGAGTAACTTCCATATTATTCCACAGGAGCTGCACCATTGTATTTTCCTATCAACAGTGTACAAGGGGTTCCAATTTCTCCATATCCTTGACAACACTATTTTATGGGGGTTTTGTTTCTCTGTTTTATAGTAGCCGTACTAATGGGTGTGAGGTGTATCTCATTGCGGTTTTGATTTGCATTTCCCTAATGATTTGTGATGCTGAGCTTCTTTTCATGTGTTTATTGGCTATGTGTGTATCTTTTTTTTGGAGAAGTGTCTATTTGGACCCTTTGCACATTTTTTTTTGAGACAGAGTCTCACTCTGTTACCCAGGCTGGAGTGCACTTGAATGATCTCAGCTCACTGCAGCCTCTGCCTCCCAGGTTCAAGTGATTCTCCTGCCTCAGCCTCCCAAGCAGCTGGGAATACAGGCACACACCACCGTGCCCAGCTACTTTTTTGTATTTTTAGTAGAGACGGGGTTTCATCATGTTGGCCAGGCTGGTCTCAAATTCCTGGCCTCAAGTGATCCACCCGCCTCCATCTCCCAATGTTCTGGGATTACAGGTGTGAGCCACTGCGCCTGGCTTCTTTGCTTATTTTTAAATTGGGCTGTTTGTTTTTTCCTTGTTGAGTTTTAGGAGTTCTCTATATACCCTAGATATTAATCCCTTATCAAATGTATGACTTACAAATATTTTCTCCTAATCTGTGGGTTGCTTTCTTATCTGCTGATAGTGTCTTTTGGTGCATAAAATTTAAAGATTTTCATGTAGTCCTATATGTATATTTTTTCTTTTGTTACCAGAGCCTTTAGTGTCATAGCCAAGAAATAACTGCCAAATCTAATGTCACGAAGCTTAATACTGAACCCATTTTGGTGGCCGTCCACAACATCCTCGTTGAGAGAAGGACTATGGCTGAATGACTAATAACTACCCCCTCTATCCAACACACACACACACACACACACACACACACACACACACAGAGAGACACACACAGCTCTTGGAAATAGCCCACAGGAGGGAGAATGTACTATCTGGGCTGCCAAGAGCCCTGGGTTCTAGCCTGTCCCCTACGACCAGTGTACCACTTTGGGCAACCTTGGGGCAAAGCCCTTGACTAATCCAGTTTCTGTTTCCCTCCACACCCTTCAATCAACAGCTCAAGGAACGACAAAGCAATCTTTATGGCTGTCATATTGGCTGGATTATAGGACTACAAATAAGGCCGTTTCTAAATAATTCCCAAACTGTTCAGATATGAAGGGTGTAATGGGCAGAGACTGGCATCGGCTGGGGAGCCGGACAAAGCAAGATTGCCAGAGGCCTTGGTAACTGCTTATGGTGGCTACACTGGCCTGGAACCAGTGCCAAGTCAAATATATGTACAAAGAGGAGGCTCAAATTCCCCTTCTCAGGCCAGCCCTGGCAGGCTTGCTGCCTCCACTGGAAAGATAGAAAGCAAAGGCACAGAGAGGTTAATGTAGCCACGTGAGCATCTATAGGGTAATCAAGAATTAACCCCATTAGGGCAACACCCAATTCCTAACTTCTTACAGGCTCTAAGTTACTGAATTTCTGCCAAATTGAGGTTTTCATTACCTTCCACAGAAAATGATTCTCCAAATGACATCATTATTATAATAACAGGTGGGGCTCTCCCTCTCCCTCTCCCTCTCCCTCTCCCCACGGTCTCCCTCTCCCTCTCTTTCCATGGTCTCCCCCTGATGCCGAGCCAAAGCTGGACTGTACTGCTGCCATCTTGGCTCACTGCAACCTCCCTGCCTGATTCTCCTGCCTCAGCCTGCCGAGTGCCTGCGATTGCAGGCGCGCGCCGCCACGCCTGACTGGTTTTCGTATTTTTTTGGTGGAGACGGGGTTTCGCCGTGTTGGCCGGGCTGGTCTCCAGCTCCTAACCGCGAGTGATCCGCCAGCCTCGGCCTCCCGAGGTGCCGGGATGGCAGACAGAGTCGTGTTCACTCAGTGCTCAATGGTGCCCAAGCTGGAGTGCAGTGGCGTGATCTCGGCTGGCTACAACCTCCACCTCCCAGCCGCCTGCCTTGGCCCCACAAAGTGCCGAGATTGCAGCCTCTGCCCGGCCGCCACCCCGTCTGGGAAGTGAGGAGTGTCTCTGCCTGGCCGCCCATCGTCTGGGATGTGAGGAGCCTCTCTGCCTGGCTGCCCAGTCTGGAAAGTGAGGAGCGTCTCTGCCCGGCCGCCATCCCATCTAGGAAGTGAGGAGCGTCTCTGCCCGGCCACCCATCGTCTGAGATGTGGGGAGCGCCTCTGCCCTGTCGCCCCGTCCGGGATGTGAGGAGCGTCTCTGCCCGGCCGCCCCGTCTGAGAAGTGAGGAGACCCTCTGCCTGGCAACCGCCCCGTCTGAGAAGTGAGGAGCCCCTCCGCCCGGCAGCCACTCCGTCTGGGAAGTGAGGAGTGTCTCCGCCCGGCAGCCACCCCGTCTGGGAGGGAGGTGGGGGGGTCAGCCCCCCGCCCGGCCAGCCGCCCCGTCCAGGAGGTGAGGGGCGCCTCTGCCCGGCCGCCCCTACTGGGAAGTGAGGAGCCCCTCTGCCCGGCCAGCCGCCCCATCCAGGAAGGATGTGGGGGGGTCAGCCCCCCGCCCGGCCAGCCGCCCCATCCGGGAGGTGAGGGGCGCCTCTGCCCGGCCGCCCCTACTGGGAAGAGAGGAGCCCCTCTGCCCAGCCAGCCGCCCCGTCCGGGAGGGAGGTGGGGGGTCAGCCCCTGGCCCGGCCAGCCGCCCCGTCCAGGAGGGAGGTGGGGGGGTAGCCCCCCGCCCGGCCAGCCGCCCCATCCGGGAGGTGAGGGGCGCCTCTGCCCGGCCTCCCCTACTGGGAAGAGAGGGGCGCCTCTGCCTGGCCGCCCCTACTGGGAAGAGAGGAGCCCCTCTGCCCGGCCAGCCACCCCATCCGGGAGGGAGGTGGGGGGGGTCAGCCCCCCGCCCGGCCAGCCGCCCCGTCCGGGAGGTGAGGGGCGCCTCTGCCCGGCTGCCCCTACTGGGAAGTGAGGAGCCCCTCTGCCCGGCCACCACCCCGTCTGGGAGATGTACTCAACAGCTCATTGAGAACGGGCCATGATGACAATGTGGAATAGAAAGGGGGGAAAGGTGGGGAAAAGATTGAGAAATCGGATGGTTGCCATGTCTGTGTAGAAAGAGGTAGACATGGGAGACTTTTCATTTTGTTCTGTACTAAGAAAAATTCTTCTGCCTTGGGATCCTGTTGATCTGTGACCTTACCCCCAACCCTGTGCTCTCTGAAACATGTGCTGTGTCCACTCAGGATTGAATGGATTAAGGGTGGTGCAAGATGTGCTTTGTTAAACAGATGCTTGAAGGCAGCATGCTCCTTAAGAGTCATCACCACTCCCTAATCTCAAGTACCCAGGGACACAAACACTGCGGAAGGCCGCAGGGTCCTCTGCCTAGGAAAACCAGAGACCTTTGTTCACTTATCTGCTGACCTTCCCTCCACTATTGTCCTGTGACCCTGCCAAATCCCCCTCTGCGAGAAACACCCAAGAATGATCAATAAAAAAAAAAAAAAGAAAGAAAAAGAAAATTGGAAAGGCTTCAGGATTGTCAGTTAAATATAATTGTTTTTGCCTGGGTCTACTGACAGACAGGTTTACATTGTCTCTATTACTTTTTTTTTTTTTTTTTTTTTTTTTTTTAATTTGTTTTTTGTTTTTGAGCTGGAGTTTTGCTCTCATTGCCCAGGCTGGAGTGCAGTGGTGAGATCTCAGCTCACCACAACTTCCGTCTCCCAGGTTCAAGTGATTCTCCTGCCTCAGCCTTCCGAATAGCTAAACTACAGGTGTATGCCACCATACTTGGCTAATTTTTGTGTTTGTAGTAGAAACAGGATTTCACCATGTTGGCTAGGCTGGTCTCGAACTCCTGACCTCAAGTGATCTGCCCACCTTGGCCTCCCAAAGTGCTGGGATTACAGGCATGGGCCACCGTGCCCAGCCTATTACATGTTTTAAGGTCATAAAACTGCTACTTCTGGAATATTTCTTAAACTTGCTTGATTTGTCTAAATTGAGCTAAAGCTGTAAGGTCTGGCTGCTGGGCTCCCTGAAACCTTGCACATATCTTACTGTATGACTGTATTTCGTTTTGAGTCTCTGGATTCTGGGGTTTGGACAGATGACCATAGTGAGGCCTGCAGAAATATATGCATGTCCTCAGTGTTTGGACTGCCAGCTGCAAGGCAGAGCCAAACCCAATATGGCCCCATCATCCCTGGCTCAGCTGTGCTACCTGGCCATGCTGGAAGGGGTTTGATCTTCCAGGAATTTGCTTCACAGCTCTTTCCTGTCCCAAGCTCTATGCCTGATGTGTAAATTCAGGACCCAAAAGGGCACAAAAAAGCAATAACTACTAAATATAAAGAAAACAACTCTGTATACAGCATGTATAAAGAAAAGCAAGATATATTTGGGGAGATAAAAGTTGTAAAGGCATTAAGATGTGTGTTTGTTGAGAAAAAATAAATTTGTGCATTTAAGAAGTTAAAAAAAAAAATAACAGGTGGGACTGTTGGGGCTTCTAGGAAATTAGCTAGCCATCAGCTTGCTACCTTAGATTCTTGGCATTGTTTAATTTAAATGTTTGGTTTCAATTATTTGTGAGCAAACCAGAATGTTCATGGTATATATTAGTCATTGTGCTGGGTCCAGATGTAAATCATGGCCCTGGGAAGCTGGTATGCTGGGAAGAATAACAACAGTCTGTAAGCCTAGCCTGCTGCCCAGCAGGTACAGGTCAACACTTGTCACCTATCCTGACATTCTCCAGGGATAATTTTTTTTAAAAAATGGCTTTCTACAAGATACACTCGTTGAAAAATAAGCCGACTTGTGTTGGTGATAAAAGGGAAGAGGAAGACAAGTCTAAGTGTGTGTTAGTTCTTAAGCCAAAAAACAGAAGTTTCAGATCAACTGAAGAGTGGAAGATTAGACTCAGTGGTGGCTCAGAGCCTAAAAGTGACAGACTCCACCTAATTCCTAACGAGTAATAAGAAAAAGCAATCTATAAAACCATTTCAAGCAATCAACAGCAACACTAATAACAGAAAACACCTCTTTGGTAAGCGAGAGAAGAAACTTCAGAGACATCAAAAAGTGTTTAATGTGTAGCATGAAGACGTAACCCTTAATGGAAATGGGGTTCTGGAGTAAGGCAATTACCTGAACAAAGATTTCCACACATACAAATTTAAGGATCACGAAGGTCTCCAGCTGTCAGTCTGGAGAAGATCAGAGGCCCCCCGGCCTCCTTCCACCAACCTGCTCATCAATTTCACGCCCCTCTCCCAGCCCATCCCAATTGGGACGTCATAGTCGTGTGCCATCTAGTGGTCAATATGATTACTGCATGTAACTGCCTGGGGCTTTCTGTTTTGGTTTTATTAAGCTTTCACTAACTCATTGTTATAATATGTCTGGTGCTGAGAATATAATAGAGAACACGATAGACACGGCCCTTCCTTCAGGAACCTCACAGTATAGCAGGGTGAATTAAACACATAAAATACAATATGAGAGGTACAATCAAGACATATTAAGGGAGGTAAGGGAGCCCTGAGGAAGGACACCTAATCTAGATTTGGTGATTGGAGGAGGCTTCCCAGAGGGAGGGCCATTAATGCTGGGATCTGAAGGATAAGCAGAAGTTTGTTAAGCAAAGGAGGGGAAGGAAACAGACAGCATTTCAGGCAGAAAGGTGAGGTATGCCTAAAAGCCAGGTGTCAAGAGAGCACAACCAGCTCATGTTGGGTGCAAAGCTTTGTTAAGAACTTTGAACTTGGCAGGGTGCGGTGGCTCATGCCTGTAATCCCAGCACATTGGGAGGCTGAGGCAGGTGGATCACCTGAGGTCAGGAGTTTTAGACCAGCCTGGCCAACATGGTGAAACCCTGTTTCTACTAAAAATACAAAAAAAAAAGTTAGGTGTGGTGACAGGTGCCTGCAGTCCCAGCTACTTGGGAGGATGAGGCAGGAGAATTGCTTGAACCTGGGAGGTGGCGGTTGCAGTGAGCTGAGATTGCACCGTTGTACTCCAGCCTGGGTGACAGAGTGAGACTCTGTCTAAAAAAATAATAATAATAACTTTGAACTTCATTCATGGGGCTGTGAGAGCCATTTCTTTTCAGGGACAAATGAAGAAAGCCTATAGAATTTGAATTTCTCCTGGGCCCTGGCTTATACCTCTTACCTCTTAGAGTCCAGACACTCACAACCCACCCCCTGAAGAGTGGAATGATGTTATTCTTTAAATTTTTGTTTTATTCCCAGGCATGAGTTGCTTATCCACATGCCCTTGATCTCTCCTTTCCCTGTGTCAGCAAAGAAGTTTGTCTAGCGTTGTCATCATTTCTGAGCTAGGGCAGAGCTTCAGCTCCTGCAATAATAGATCTGGCAATGCCAAACTCCTTTCTAGCGCCAAAGTCCTTAATGGGGGAGACAGTGGCTACTGTCAGTGTAAGGTCCTGGGGACCTCATGCTTCAGTATCCCCTGGGGTATTTAACAAAGCAGATTCCCAGACCTTCCCATCCTCACTCAGGGGATGTGGGTCCCTGGAATGGGCTCCTGTGCCCTGGTGATCCTGGGGCTCACTTGGGTTAGAAGCACTGGTGTGGCGATTGGGGCACAGGCCCTGGGGTTAGTTCCCTCCTACAACTCTGTCTAGCCCTGCCTCCCACTGTGTGTGACTCAGCTGTTTGGTCTCAGGCCAGTTACTTCATCTCCCTAAGCCACTGGTTTCTATTCTTGAAAATGGGAATAATAATCATAAAACCTACCCAACAGCATTATTGAGAAGATTCGATGAGATTATGTATGTAATGAGGCTGGCACAGAGTCTGGCAAATAGGAAGTACTCATCAAAGCTTAAAGAACATCAACTGTTGTGTCTGGGACACATTACAGTCATAAAGGGGATGGGAGTTAACACCAGGCCATGGGCTTGGATCCTCAGGGGCTGGAATTTAGAGGGGTGGGTTGCCAAGGGGAGGAGAGAAGACCTAGGGGGTCGGATATCTCACTCAGAGAGGTGTTGAGAGCCAGCAAGCCAGAGAGGCAGACTGCCCCTGGACAGCTGGGAGCAGAGGGTTGTAAGTGCACCGCAGAGTGGGTGGAAATGAAATCTTCATGAAATGCTCAGAGAATCTGACAGGAAGCTTCCCTCTGCTAACACTGCTTTTCAATGACTCTTATCGACACAAACCAGCCAAAGCAAAAGAGGGAATTTTGAGTTTATTTAATTGAAAAGGCCAAGGGTAGATATGAATCTGGTGTAAACACTGCCATCAGGAACCAGTCTCCAATTCTCAGCTCTACTTCTGCCCATCTTAGCTTTGTTCTCAGGCTGGCTTGCTCTATGTATTGACAAAAGTCAACCAGCAGCTCTAAGTGTAGTTCTGCAGGTAACAAGCCCAGCCCAGAGACAGCACCTCTCTCCTGATAGCATCAGCAAAAATCTTGAGGCTGACGTTCATTGGCTTAACTTTGGGCCACTTGCCCATCTCTGAACCAATCACTGTGACCAGAAAAATGGAATTTTCTGATTGGCCAGATCTGTTTCTTGTGTTCAATTTTGCATCCAGGGTTGGTTCAGCCCCACCCAAATTACACGGAGTGAGCATAAAGAGTTCCCTAAATAAAAATAAGGGCCCTGTTTCTGGGAGAAGAGATGGAGGACAAGCCAAACAAAACTGAGGCATCCTCAATTTGCCCATGTGTGAGACACCCTCTTGCCATTGGTCCCTGGAGCCAGGCTGTTCTTGGGCGCCTGAACATCCGTTTTCAGTTCTGCTGCAGCCCCCACAGGCTTGGTCCTTGGGAAGGGGAGTCTTCCAGCACTGGGTAGCAGGCAGGAGTCACCTCCCCCACAGAGAGCAGTGACACCACAGATGGTGCTTGCTGAAAAGGCAGTTCTAGGGAGTAGCAGGCACAGGTGGTGCTGCACAAGCCCCTAGCTAGATTCCCCTAATGTCCTTCAAGAGAGGCTGTAAAAGGAGAAAAAGAAAATCAGAGACTTTATGAGGGTAGGGGAATGAGGACAGGCTAAAAGACTACGACTCCTCAACCACGGCGGCTGCCGACCCTGGGGAGCTGATGGCCCTGGACTAGGAGGCGCTAGGGACTATGTCCCTGCTCTGCCACTCTGGCCCTCCCTTCACCCTAGATCATCCCGCTGCACCCCAGCCCATTCTGAACTGTGCATTCCTGTGAGCACGCTCCCTCACTCCCTCACTCTTGGCACACACACACATCTCCCGGCCCTCGCACTCATTCAACCAGCTTAGGGCCTACAGAGGGCCATGCTCCATGCCAGGAGCTACCATGGCTCCCCAGGAAGAGCCTACCTCATGGAACCTCATGGAACACACAATTCAAGAAAGTGCAATGAGGGCCATGTTTTATGAATGCACTCTTTATTTTTATTGCACTTTTATTGCATTAAATCATACATTAAGTGATTCTCCTTGTAAACTATTCCAATCATACATTTACTACTGAAGCCACTTAACTCCCCTCTCCCCAGCCAGGCCCCTCCCTCAAAGTAAGTAGTCTGTTATCCATTTGATGGATAGCTGTTGAAATATTTTTCTACATGTATACATCCTAATATGTTCACATGCAGGAATATATAGCTTTAGTTTTGTTGACATCTTTTGAAGAGGTCTGAAAGGGTATCCAGTGAGAAGTCTCCCTCTTACCTCATCCCTCAGCTGTCCCTTCCTCTCCCAGAGCAGCCAGCCAGGTCACCAGTTTCCAGCATTTCCTTCCAGCTAGGCTAGGCCAGGAGTCAGCAAACTTTGTCTGTAAAGGGCCAGATCGTAAATACTTCAGGCTTTGCAGGCTAATGGTCTCTGCCCCAACTGCTTAACTCTGCCATTGTATTGCAAAGGCAGCCATAGACAATATATAAATGAATGAATGTGGCTGTATGCCAATAAAACTTTATTTATAGACACAGAAATTTGAATGTCATATCATTTTCAAGTGTCATGAAATATTATTCTTCTTTAGTTTTTCAACTACTTAAAAATCTAAGCACCATTCTTAGCTCCCTGCTGTACCAAGACAGGTGGCAGACTGGATTTGACATGTGAACTGGAGCTTGCCGACTCCTGGTCTGTGCATATGAAAACCAAGTAGGGATGGACGTTCTTTCCCCTCTTTTTTACATGAGGGGAACCTGCTATGCTAAAGTGCTTTTCTCACTTTGCAATATATCTTAGAGATCATGCCACATGAGTTTGTACAAAAGGTCCTTGTTTTTGCCTTTGGCATAACATTACATTGTATTCCATTAGTATATTTTACCGTAATTTCCTTAGCCAATCACTTACTTACCGGTATCAGGCTATTTCCTTCTGCTACTTAAAAACAATGTTGCATTGAAAACATTGTACATATTTGTATATGTTTTTATAAGATTTTATTGAAATATAGTTAATGTACCACCTAATTCACCCTTTTTAAGTGTACATTTCGATGGTTTTTAGTATATTTAGAGAGCTGTACAACCAATTTCACAGTAAATTTTAAAACATTTTAATTACTCCAGAAAGAAATTCCACACCCCTTAGCTCTCATCTTTCAGTCCTGTCCACCCCTTCCAGCTCAAGACAACCACTATTTTCTGTCTCTACGGATTTGCTTATTTTGGACATTCATATAAATGGAATCATACAATACGTGGTATTTTGTGAATGGCTTTGTTGATTTTGCATAAACTTGTTAAGACTTATCCATGTTGTAGCATGCACCAGTACTTCATTCCTTTTGATTGCAGAATAATGTTCCATTGGATGGCTATACAGTATTTTATTTATCCATTCACCAGTTCTTGGGTTATTATAATAATGCTGCTATGAACATTCACGTATGAATTTTTGTATGAAAACATGTTTTTATTTCTGTTGGTTACATACCTAGGAGTGGAATTGCTGGATCACATGGCCATTCTATGTTTAACCATTTGAGGAACTGTCAGACTATTTTCCAAGTGGCTGCACCATTTTACGTTCCCATTTGCAGTATATGAGGGTTCCAATTTCTCCACATCCTCACCAACATTTGTCTTTATATTTTGTTTTGGTTTTTTTAGACAGAGTCTTGCTCTGTCACCCAGACTGGAATGCAGAGGTTGATCATAGCTCACTGCAGCCTTGATCGCCCAGGCTCAAGAGATCCTCCCGCTTCAGCCTCCCTAGTAACTGGGACTACAGGTGTGTGCCACCACACCTGGCTAATTTTTAAAAATTATTTGTAGAGACAGGGTTTCCTTATGTTGCCCAGGCTGGTCTCAACCTCCTGAGCTCAAGTGATCCTCCCACCTTGGCCTCCCAAAGTGTTGGGATTACAGGTGTGAGCCACTGAGCCTGGCCTCTTTTTTAAAAAAATTATTATTATACCTATTCCAATAGGTATGAAGCAGCATCTCATAGTGGTATGCGGGAGGATGTGGCAGGGGTGGGTGGATAGGGGTGTGTGTGTGTGTGTGTGTTTAACCAAATATATTCTTTTTTTTTCTTTTTTTGAGGTGGAGTCTTGCTCTTGTTGCCCAGGCTGGAGTGCAATGGCACGATCTCAGCTCACCGCAACCTCCACCTCCCAGGTTCAAGCAATTCTCCTGCCTCAGCCTCCCGAGTAGCTGGGATTACAGGCATGTACTACACGCCCGGGTAATTTTGTATTTTTAGTAGACACGGGGTTTCTTCATGTTGGTCAGGCTGGTCTTGAACTCCCGACCTCGGGTGATCTGCCCGCCTTGGCCTCCCAAAATTCTGGGGTTACAGGCATGAGCCACTGCGCCAGGTTTTTTTGTTTGTTTTTGTTTTTTAGACAGAGTCTCACTCTGTCGCCCAGGTTGGAGTACAGTGGTGTGATCTTTGGCTCACTGCAACCTCTGCCTCCCAGGTTCAAGTGATTCCTGTGCCTCAGCCTCCTGAGTAGCTGCGATTACAGGCGCACACCACCACGCCCCGCTAATTTTTTGTATTTCTTTTAGTAGAGATGGGGTTTCACCATGTTGCCCAGGCTGGTCTCAAACTCCTGAGCTCAGGAGCAATCCGCCCGCCTCGGCCTCCCAAAGTGCTAGGATTACAGGTGTGGGTCACCGTGCCTGACCTAAGAGTTCTTCTGAGAGTTCTGAGAGTTGCTTTTTAAAATGTATATATCTTGGAAATTTGTTTGTGTCATTATATGGGGATCTTCTTTGTGCTTGTTAAATGCTGCAAAGTGCCAGAGCATGAATATAGCCCAGTTTAGCCATTCCCTAATGAATGCTATCTTGGCTATCTCCAAAAAATACATACAACACACAACACACCAATGAACATTCTTGTTTTGCTTCCTTGTGAATAGAGCAAGCATTTCTTGAAGATAGTCTTAGAAGTGGAATTGCTGAATTAAAGAGTTATGTACTTAAAAATTTAGGGGGGGTTTATAATCTATCCTCTGAAAAAGCTGTGCCAGTTTACACTCTACCAGTAGTGTATGAAAGTGCTCATTTCACTACATCTATGCCAGCCCCGGATATTAACCCTTTCATTGGTGGCAAAAAGTATTTTGTCTTAATTTGCATTTCCCTGATCAATGTGAGGCTGAGTACGGGGCCATGCCCCCACCCATGGCACTCCTCCTTGGCACTAGGGTGTTGCCCCTTCACTTCCGTGTCTTCCATGGTCCCCAGCACAAAGCTGAATGTAGTAGGCACTGATCAATATTGATGGAGTCAGGGCACTGTGATTTTTGCAGCCTATCTGATGAAAATATGGTCTGAGACTCTACAAAATTCTGCAGTGTCTTGTTAGTCCTCCAAGATTTAATTGCAACTGTTAGACCTTCTGTCTGAGCTGTATGGTCTTTTAAGCCTTGAAAAAAAAATTAGGAACCCTCGACTGGTCTAGGGAGTAATTCTTTAGTAATCAGCAGACTGACTATGACACCTGGTCAGGATGGACCATAATAGTATTTCAAAATAGGTCCTAGGATCCCAGGACCTATTTCTGGGTCCTAGGATCCCAGAAAGCAGAACTGCTGGAAACTTCCTGATAGCATTATCCAAATGGATGATCCAGAAATGAAAAAGACCTTAGGGGTCAATTAAAGCCCTTCCGTTGTACGGAAAGGAAGACTGAGATCCCAGCTAGGGAGGCCCCAGCTAGAGAAATGACCTGTTCCAGGTCATGTAACTAAGTAGGAGTGGGGCTGTGAGTGCAGCCCAGGTTCTGATCTCAGGCTAGTGCTCTTTCTTTAAAATGTGTGGAGGCTGGACGTGGTGGCTCACACCTGTAACCCCACCACTTTGGGAGGCCGAGGTGGGTGGATCACGAGGTCAGGAGATTGAGACCATCCTGGCTAGTATGGTGAAACCCCATCTCTACTAAAAATACAAAAAATTAGCCAGGCGTGGTGGCGGGCGCCTGTAGTCCCAGCTACTCAGGAGGCTGAGGCAGGAGAATGGTGTGAACCCAGGAGGTGGAGCTTGCAGTGAGCCGAGATTGGGCCACTGCACTCCAGCCTGGGCGACAGAGCGAGACTCCGTCTCCAAAAACAAACAAACAAAAAATGTGTGGAATCAGAGGAGTCACCTCTAAACTCCTCCGCAAGCCCCTCTACTCCTAACTAGAGAGCATGACTTTTCCCAGAAGGCAACATGGAGCAGGAATAAAGGTTTTCAAAACAGCCCAGGATTCAAATCCTAGCTCAGCCACCAGGGTCTATTTAATGTACCCTCTGATCCTCATTGTCTTCCTCTTTGATATTTAATATTACCTACTTCACAGGATTATATCCCTATTTAAGATTACCTACCTCACAGGGTCATGTGGGTTTAAATAAGATAAATACTTTGTCTGATATATACTTGCAGTAAGCACTCAGTCATGGCTATTATTTTTTTCCTCTAGTTCTCCTCCTCTTGGCTGAATCAGCTGTGTGGGTATAAAGATTGATTTGCCATAAGGTAGGAAATTCCAGGTTCAAATTCCACAAAGTTCAGTGGATTATATGTCCCTGGCTTTGTCTCTTCATTTGCCTTGGCTTGAGTTGCTATCTTCCAAGTCGTTCCTTTAATAAACCGTCGTTCTCAGCAGAGGGACCATCCACTTCCTTGTTTATCGCCACTTCATAAGTTAGAAATAGTTGAGAACAAGAGTTTGGTTGAGCTCAGTTGTTCTTTCAAGCTGGGCTTCCATTAGAATCACTTGGGGCAACATTTTTAAAAGCATCAGGTCAGCGTGTTGGCTCACGCCTGTAATCCCAATGCCTTAGGAGGCCAGGCAGGAGGATTGCTTGAAGCAGGAGTTTGAGACTAGCCCAGGTAGTCTACAAAATTAAAAAATAAAAAAATTAGCCTGGCATGGTGGCATGCACCTGTGGTCCCAGCTACTCAGGACGCTGAGGGGGGAGGATCGCTTGAGCCCAGGAGTTTGAGCTATGATTGCACCACTGTACTCCAGCCTGGGCGATAGAGGGAGACTTTGTCTCAAAAAACAAAAACAAAAACAAAAACAAAAACAAAAAACCAAACAAAAAACACTAATGACTGGAACTGGTCCCCTCCCTTTTCCTGATAAAATTCGTTGAGAGAGTAGGGCCCACTCTCAACCCAGGTGATTCTGATGGAAGCAGGGGCAAGATCCACTGGTTTCAAACTTTAGCATGCATCAGAATTGCCTGTAGGGCTTGACCTGTGAATTTGCATTTCTAACAAGCTCCCATATGATGATAGTGATGAGGCTGCTGCCAATCTGGGGAGCACACTTCACTGACACAGATGGACATGAACCTGAGTGGACCTCTATGGGCTCTTTCCTTCCCAACATCCTGTCCCCAGCTGGTAGCAGCTCCTGATGTGCCTTTGGAGAACTGCCCCTCCTTAACCCTTAGACCGAAACATATAAATGACACTCACCCACCTCCTAACTTCAGAGACAGACACATGGGCTAGGTCTGGCCAATCAATACAATCTATACCCTGGCTCCACTGAGTGACCAGGTCAGCGATGGGCATGTCACTTCATATAGTCCAGTGACAGTCAACACTGGGACTTCTGCTGGAGCCCTTGGGAAAAGGTGTTAAGGTGGCAAGGTGTGAACCTGACGCTGCTGGTGGCCACGCTGCCTTTGTCTAGGAAGAGCCTGCCTGAAGGCAAAACAGGCAAAGGAAAACAGAAGAGACTAAGAGAGACCGAGTTTTGATGACAGCCTTTTATTCCCAGGATCCAGCCAAGCCTGAGTCTAGATCTAAATTTTTCAGGTGCATGAGCCAACACATTCCTTCTTTACTTAAGCCAGTTGGAGGTGGATTTTTCTCATATGCAGCTCAGAGATCGCTGACAATGTGGGACATCTCCAGCGCCTTTTCACCCAGAGACTGCGATTCCAGCTTCTCCCCTGGATGCTGCTTCCATCAGGCAATGACCTTCAACAAGGCCCCAGAACTGAGCAGCAGAACTCTGAAAGGTCACTTAGTCCCATCCCCTCCTTGTTTATATGGGAAGACCCAGGGCCCAAGAGAGGCAAGGACTTGCCTGGAGTCATGCATACAACAAAGCCAACTGTGATATCAGCCCTGGCTCTGTCAATAAATACACCCATACCAGAGGGGTGATAACAGCAGAGGCAGTGCCAGAATACCAGTCAAGTCTCCTTCTCAAGGACAGTCCCTGCAGGGACAGGGGCTCACTTCTTTAGCATGAAAAAGGGTCTTATTGACCTTTTCTCAATGCCTCAGTTTCTCTAATTACAATTAAAGAAACACACTCATATATGTTGTTACTCTTAATCATCAATGGAGTGTATAGACATGGCAAAAAAAATTTTCAAGGGACACAGATGAACAAAAAGGGAAAATGAAACACTCCAATAATCTCAGCACCCTGGCTAACACTGCTAACATTTTGGAGTTTTGCATATTCCCTCTCTCTCTCTCTCTGTGTAGATTTGCCTTGGGCAAGGGACCCAAACTACCCTCCTGAAGAATGAATTGGGTCACATTGTTTTTTGTTTTTTGAGACACAGTCTCTCACTCTGTCACCCAGGCTCCAGTGCAGTGGCACAATCTCCACTCACTGCAACCTCCACCTCCCAGGTTCAAGCGATTCTCCTGCCTCAGCCTCCTGAGTAGCTGGGATTACAGGCGCACCACCACGCCCAGCTAAGTTTTGTATTTTTAGTAGAGATGGGTTTCACCATGTTGGCCAGGCTGGTCTTGAACTCCTGACCTCAAGTAATCCGCCTGCCTTGGCCTCCCAAAGTGCTGGGATTACAAGCATGAGCCACCACGGCCAGCCCAAAATGTACATCTTAAAGGTGAGAAAGGAAGAGACTTCTTTGATTCTCTGGGGTTTGTCAGACAGGGTTCTGCAAGCACCAGAAACTAAAGAGAAGGGGTATTGTTTTTGTTTGAAGACCAATGGAAATTTACAAAATTGTTGAAAGACTAGAAGAGCAGACGCAGGTTAGCAGAAATTAAGGAAACTCTGAAGGGCCAAGAAGCAGGAAGCAGGAAAAGCAGTCACTGCCTTGAACAGGGACATAGGTCAGGATGCTGTAAATGGCCCCTCCACAACTGCTATTGCTACAAAGACAATGGCCAGAAACCATTCCCCTCTCCTTGCATAGTCAAAGTCCTGGGAAATAGCATCTTAAATAATGCATTTCCCACTGATTTGCCCAGAAGGTGAGGAGAGGAAGGATCTGACTCCTTTGCCTTCAATTGGAGGAGGCTAGCGGTGGGAGGCAGGAGCCAAGAATGACCCCTTTCCCAAGGCAGTGGGGAGAGGAGACACTTTCCCTTAATGGAACTGGGGTGTTTACTGGAGGAGGAACGGTCCTGTACAGTCCCAAACCAAGAACTGCCCACTAGTGCAGCCTAGAAAGAGCAAGAGCTTGGGAGGCTGCTGCTTCTAGGAAGAGTTTGTAACTGAGCCTGGAAACTGGTCCCAACCTAGCTACCCTAGCGCACTGTTGGTAAATGTGTAAACAATTGTGTTTGAGCGTGTATATAAATAAAAGAGCTGTAACACTAGATGTTCAGTGTGTAATGGAGTGACCATAGCTATGTGGGAGATGTCTTTTCCCTTTCCCAAAGCCCCCGGAGTAACAAATGGAGAACCAGCCAAATGGAGCATGCCTGGATCAATAAAGCGGGTTTCTATAGTGGGGAGTATAGACTGCACCTGGGCCTGGGCCTGCAGGTGTTATCTTCCAGGCGCTTACAGACATGGTCTCAGGGGACTGCCTCTAGGCAACAGAGTAGCTTCTTTTCAACAGTGCCCTCATGTGGCAGTGCCAGAAACTGCAGGGCACCTAATGAGGCTTCCTAGGTTTTTGTCCTTCAGGATATGGGAACTAGCAGTGCCCCTTTGGACTAAGTAAGTAACTATCCTAGACAACCTAAGAGGGAGGGTCTCAACTAGGGAAGAGAGTCGTTTTCAGAAAAGGTGGGCCAGATGTGGCAGGTCAAGCCTGTAATCCCACCAACTCAGGAGGCTGTGGTGGGAGGCTGAGGCGGGAGGACCACTTGAGGCCAGGAGTTCAAGATGAACCTGGGCAACATAGTAAGCCTCACATCTCTAATAAATAAATAATAATAATTAAAATAAAGAAGAGGTGGGAGAGACGCTCAAGTCATTAAATTTTAGGAATAAAAAATCATGGGGCAAAGCATCCTTCTATGTGGAAACCGATTCACCAAAATTGTTTGGGTGCCAGTCTTCTACTGACGGCCCTTGAATCCATCTCACAGTTTTCCATCATGCTTGACCATGGGAATATCATGCACCTGCTTGTCCACTGCCTTGCTCAAGTTCAAATATACTAGGTCACTGTTACTTCCTTATTAAAGAGGGAGTTTAGGGACTCAGTAATTGAAGGGAAGAGGGTAAACAAAACCTCTGCCCTTCAGCGTCTGCTTTGATCCTGGACATGGTTTGTAGGAGACTCCCACTGCACTGGAAGTCGGTAGTCTTGATCCTTGGTCCCAACTTGGCCATTAACCTGCTGCGCAATCTTGAGCAAGTTGCTGGAGCTCTCTGAGCTCCTCATCCCTCCTCAGGCAAAGAACCTCTGCATTGCCCACACCAGGGGCCTGCTTTGAATGAAGTTAAGGCTGTAAAAACCTAGAGAGGACAAAGTAGGTAAGTATTAACAATAAATAATGTGGGGAGACTTTTTACTGCAATAATGCCTTTTCTGTGTCTGCAGAGTTGGAGAATGAAATACGGTTCCGGGCCAGAAAAAAACAGCTCTTAAAGGATCTCTTTCTGGGTGTGTGGTGTGTGTGTGGTGTGGTGTGTGTGTGTGTGGTGTGGTGTGTGTGTGTGTGGTGTGGTGTGCATGTGTGGTGTGTGTGTGGGGTGTGGTGTGTGTGTATGGGAGTATGGTGTGTGTGTGGAGTGTGTGGGATGTGTGTGTGTGGTGTGTGGTGTGTGTGGGGTGTGTGTGGTGTGTGTGTGGTGTGTGGTGTGTGTGGTGTGTGGTGTGGTGTGTATGTGTGGTGTGTGTGGTGTGTGTGGGGGGGTGTGTGTGGCGTGGTGTGTGGTGTGTGTGGTGTGTGTGGTGTGTGTGTGGGGTGTGTGTGGTGTGTGTGGTGTGTGTGTGGTGTGTGGTGTGGTGTGTGGTGGTGTGCATGTGTGGTGTGTGTGGTGTGTGTGTGGGGGGTGTGTGTGGTTGGTGTGTGTGGGGTGTGTGGTGTGTGTGGTGTGTGTGTGGTGTGTGTGTGGTGTGTGGTTTGTGTGTGTGTGTGGTGTGTGTGTGTGGTGTGTGTGTGAGGTGTGTGTGTGGTGTGTGTGTGGTGTGTGTGAGGTGTGTGCGGTGTGTGTGAGGTGTGTGTGGTGTGTGTGTGGTGTGTGTGTGAGGTGTGTGTGTGGTGTGTGTGGTGTGTGTGAGGTGTGTGTGGTGTGTGTGAGGTGTGTGTGTGGTGTGTGTGGTGTGTGTGTGAGGTGTGTGTGTGGTGTGTGGTGTGTGTGTGGTGTGTGGTGTGTGTGGTATGTGTGTGGTGTGTGTGCAGGTGTGTGTGTGCAGTGTGTGTGTGCGGTGTGTGGTGTGTGTGTGGTGTGGTGTGTGGTGTGTGTGGTGTGTGTGGTGTGCGTGGTGTGTGTGGTGTGCGTGTGGTGTGTGTGTGTGGTGTGTGGTGTGTGTGGTGTGGTGTGTGTGTGTGAGGTGTGTGGTGTGTGTGGTGTGTGGTGTGTGTGTGGTGTGTGTGTGGTGTGTGGCGTGTGTGTGGTGTGTGGTGTGTGTGGTGTGCGTGTGGTGTGTGTGGCCTCTTTGTCACCGTCTCTTCTGCTTATTCTCTCTCTCCTCTCTCCCCTTCTGTTTCTCTGTCTCTTCCCCTCCCTCACTTTTCCCCAACCTTTTCCCAGACTTGGCTGGACCAGAGCTGAAGTGTTTCACGGGTGGCAGCTCAGGGCCCTTTTAAACCAGGTCTTCCCTTCCTTAATGGCTGTGGTTGGCAAGAATGGACCAAGTCAAGATGGCCTCTGGGTTTTTCTGGGGCTCTGATTCCAGACTTGGAAAGCAGAGCGTTTCAGCTGCTTACAAATCCCAGGAGGGTGTGACAATGGGACCATGGTGGCAGAACAGAGCAGAGAGGCCCCTGGTTACTGCACTCAGTTCTCGGGGTTGCAGGGGGCAGGGGGAGGATAGGGGAAGGGAGGGGAGGTTCTGCCAGCTCTTGGTGGACTGTTGGCTTCAGGCCGAGTTAGGCTGTGCTGAAACCCCCAGCTCAGCCCTGCTTCCTGCCCCCCTGCACCAGCACTCCTGCCCCTGCAGGAGACAAGACAAACCTGGTTGCAAATCCCAACTCCCCAACCTGCTCATTAGGTAACCTTGGGTAAGTCATAGCCTCTTGAAATTTCACGTCTTTATCTGGAGATGGAGATAATAAGGAGGTGAGCTATAAGGAGCAGGTGAGGGCAGTCGCACAGCACAAAGCAGAGTGAGCAAAGTAGAGCCTGCAGGCCAAATCCGGCTGCCACCTGTTTTCATATGACCTGTGAACTAAAAATGGACTCTATATTTTTTAATAGTTGGGGGGAAAATCAAAAGAAGGGTACAGTTTTATGACACTGAAGATGATACGAATTTCAGATTTCAGTGGCCATAAATACAGCATTATTGCATACAGTCACACCTATTCACTTATGTATTATCTATGGCTGCTTTGCACTACAGCGACTGAGTTGTGATCAATTGTTCATGACACTTAATGTCTAAAATAGTAACTGGCCCTTTACAGAAAAAGTTTACCAACCCTTGGCACAGGTTTAAGAATGCAGACTACTTGGGTTCAAGTTACCATTCTGTCACTTACTAATTTTGTGACATTGGGAAGGCCATGTAATCTATATGTGCCTCAATGTCTTCTTCTGTCAAATGAGGATAACAACTCTTACTGAGTTGTTTTGAGGACTAAATGAGTTAACATTCGTAAAGCACCGGACCAATGTCTGCACACAGAAAGTAAATACATAGATGAGATCATGTATATGGAGTATATGAAGAATTAAGCATGTATCTGTTGATTTGGATTTGGTTGGAAGAAAACCAGAAGGAATAGTGGCTTTGTCTCTGGTACTGTTCCGGGCAACATTTTCTTTTGTCAGACACTTGCAGGAAGACCTCAGTTGTGAGATAGAGGAAGGCCCTGAGGATGCAGGTGGAGGAGAGTAAATGAGGGAGGACAGAACTGGATTCCTAGAGGCTCTGTCAAGAACAAATGCACTGACTATACTAGAGGATGATTTGAACGAATGCACTGACTATACTAGAGGATGATTTGAACAAATCCACTGACTACACTAGAGCATGATTTGGAGGGGTTAACCCAAGTATGTTAATATGTAGTTTGCTTTTCTGTTTTGTTTTGGGTTTGTTTGTTGTTTTTGTTTTGCTGCTATTAAAGAGAAAAGAATGAGAGCTAATTTTTGACTTACAGAGTCTTGAAAAGGAGTTGAAGGTGGAGGCAGTTCTCTCAAGGTGAGACTTGAGGGGACTGGGGAGACATGACTTAGTGGCAGCATTTGTGACATTCATTTAAATGCAACTCATGTCCAGTCAATGGTGGCCAAAAAAAAGTGCATGATGTGCTGCCACCAAAGTGAATGCAATCTCAGGCTGCGTTAACAGAAGTAGGTCTTGTGGAAAGAGGGAGGTGATGTCTTTCCCTTTTCTCTAGCTAGCCCATGGCCTACCCTGAGCAACTTGAGGGATGTGGACACGCTTGATGGCATCTCCAGACCTTCTCATTGGTTGCATTGGGTTTTTCCCCACCCTCACCATCTGTGACCCTTAGGAGCAGTTAATAAATGCCAGCAGCTCCTGTCTTCCAAATATCTATGTAGAACTCACCCAACTCTCCCCTGGACAATGTATGCCTAGAGAATGGGTCTTACTTCAAGTCAAAAATTCTACTTTATCAGCAGCTACAAAAACATTAACCTGATCCCTAGAGGCAGAGTTTAGCCCATTTGGAAACTCCTGTAATCACCCGGTCTCAGGAGATCCATGATCCTTCAGTGGTCTCAGAGACTGGGGGGGCCCACCTTAGACTTGTCCAGGCTCCTCACGATGTGGCTCCAGCCTAATTTCCCAATCTCACCTCCCATTACTCCCCTTTACATATACTTGTCTCAGCCAAAGGAGACCTGTTTAGCTTTTTCAAAAACACATGCTATATTAGTTACCTTTGGGTTGCAAAGGGGCAGAATGCCAATGTCCACTGGGTTGACCAAGAATGGGATTGGCTCATGTGACTGAAATATACAGGATTTTCTAGCCTCAGACCCAGTTGGATCCAGCAGCTTAGGATTTCTCTATCTCTATCACTTGTGTTAATTTCATTCTCAGACCAATATCCCCCCAGGAAGCTACAAAATAATTGCTGAAAACTCCAGATTCAAATCTGGCAGCTAGTGGAAATAAAACTTCTCTCCCACAAGACTATGAGCCCAAGACCTAGGAACTGACTCTCATGGAACAGATTGGGGCTATTGTCTATCTCAGATCAAGTCCCATGGCAAGAGACATTGAACACAATAATTGAACAGGCCTAAGTCACATGCCTCAGGAGGCAGGGGAGGAGACCCCATAAGATTTGGGGGTCATGTCTGGAACTGCAGCAGCAATGTGTAACCAAAAAGAGAGTCAGCCTGAGAGCCAGTTGACACCTGAGAAGGGCAGAGCAGAGAAATGGAAAGAACCTGAGCCCTTGACTATGGCATTGGGCCAGTGAATTAACTAACCCTGGGCCATCCTACTTTGGGATTTATGAGTGTAGTATAAGAAATTTTCTCTTATTGTTTTGGCCAGTAGCACTGGGGTCCTCTCTAACTCGTAGCCATAGCACTAAGTGACTCAGACAGACTCATTGATTGAGAGTCCCGGAAGAGAGATGACATTTTCAATACCAGCTATATATATATAAATATATAAATATATTTATATATCTATAATATATAAATATATATATATGTTTATATATCATCTATAATATATAAATATATAAATATATTTATATATCTCTATAATATATAAATATATAAATATATTTATATATATCTATAATATATATAAATATATTTATATATATCTATAATATATAAATCTATAAATATATTTATATATATCTATAATATATAAATCTATAAATATATTTATATATATCTATAATATATAAATCTATAAATATATTTATATATATCTATAATATATAAATCTATAAATATATTTATATATATCTATAATATATAAATCTATAAATATATTTATATATATCTATAATATATAAATCTATAAATATATTTATATATATCTATAATATATAAATATATAAATATATTTATATATATCAATAAATATAAATATATAAATATATTTATATATATCTATAATATATAAATATATAAATATATTTATATATCTATAATATATAAATATATAAATATATTTATATATATCTATAATATATAAATATATAAATATATTTATATATATCTATAATATATAAATATATAAATATATTTATATATCTATAATATATAAATATATAAATATATTTATATATATCTATAATATATAAATATATAAATTTATATATATCTATAATATATAAATATATAAATATATATCTATCATATATAAATATACAAATATATATCTATCATATATAAATATACAAATATATTTATATATATCTATCATATATAAATATACAAATATATTTATATATATCTATCATATATAAATATACAAATATATTTATATATATCTATCATATATAATATATAAATGTATTTATATATAAATATATAATATATTATATATTATAGATAA
Organism: Homo sapiens; assembly: GCF_000001405.40. NCBI lineage: Eukaryota > Metazoa > Chordata > Mammalia > Primates > Hominidae > Homo > Homo sapiens. The sequence continues at coordinate 149,650,722 of NC_000005.10, read as the reverse complement.
TATATGTATTATCTATAATTATATAATATAATTATATATAATATGTAATGTATTATATGTTATATATTTAAGACATATATAATATATTATATTAATTAATATATTTATTATATAATATATTATATTAATATATTTATTATATAATTAATATATTTATTATATTAATATGTAATATATTATACTATATAATAAATATATATAATATATTTATTAATATATTATATAATAATATATAATATTATATAAAATATATAATATATAATACATAATATATTATATATTATGTATTATATATTATATTGTTTTAATTATATTAATATAATTATATATTAATATGTAATATAATTATTATATAATATAAATCTTATATAATATTTATATTATATTATATAAATATTATAAATATTATATATTATATAATTTATAAATATCAAATATTATATATTATATTAATATTATAAATATTATGTTATATAATATATCATATAATATATATTATATTAATATAAATATTATATGTTATATATTATATATTATATTAATATTATACATATTATATATTATATAATATTAATTATATAACATAATTATAATAATTATAATATAATATATTATATAATATATAATATATAACATATAATATTATATCTTATATAATATATAATATATAAGATATATATTATATAATATAATATATATTATATATATTATACAATATATATAATATATAATATTATATTTATATTTAAGACAGAGTCTTGCTCTGTCACCCAGGCTGGAGTGTAGTGGCGTGATCTTGGCTTACTGCAACTTATAATATTTATATTATATTATATAAATATTATAAATATTATATATTATATAATTTATAAATATCAAATATTATATATTATATTAATATTATAAATATTATATATTATATAATTTATAAATATCAAATATTATATATTATATTAATATTATAAATATTATGTTATATAATATATCATATAATATATATTATATTAATATAAATATTATATGTTATATATTATATATTATATTAATATTATACATATTATATATTATATAATATTAATTATATTACATAATTATAATAATTATAATATAATATATTATATAATATATAATATATAACATATAATATTATATCTTATATAATATATAATATATAAGATATAATATTATATTATATAATATATATTATATAATATATATAATATATAATATTATATTTATATTTAAGACAGAGTCTTGCTCTGTCACCCAGGCTGGAGTGTAGTGGCGTGATCTTGGCTTACTGCAACTTCTACCTCCCAGGCTCAAGCAGTTCTCATGCCTCAGCCTCCCGAGTAGCTGGGATTACAGGCACGTGCCACCACACCCAGCTAGTTTTTCTATTTTTACTAGAGACAGGGTTTCACTGTGTTGGGCAGACTGGTCTGGAACTCCTGGCCTCAAGTGATCCACCCACCTTGGCCTTCCAAAGTGCTGGGATTATAGGCATGAGTCACCACGCCCAGCCAATGACAGCTATTGAAGCTCTAGGCAAACCACCTCTCCACTCTGGGCTTTAATTAAGAAGGAGGTATAGAATGGTGGCAAGAGGATGAGCTTCAGAGTCTTATAACATAGATCCATCACTTACTAGCTATGTGCCTGATATGATTTGGCTGTGTCCCCTCCAAAATCTCATCTTAAATTCCCATGTGTTAGGGGAGGGACCCAGTGGGAGGTAATTGAATCATGGGGGCAGGTCTTTCCCATGCTGTTCTTGTGATAGTGAATAAGTCTCATGAGATCTGACAGTTTCAAAAACAGGAGTTTTTCTGCACAAGCTCTCTTTTTGCCTGCTGCCATCCACGTAAGATGTGACTTGCTCCTCCTTGCCTTCCACCATGATTGTGAGACTTCCTCAGCCATGTGGAACTGTAAGTCCAATTAAACCTCTTTCTTTTGTAAATTGCCCAGTCTCAGGTATGTCTTTATCAGCAGCATGAAAATGGACTAATACAGTGCCCTTGAACACATCCATTCTTCTTGCTAAGCCTCAGTTTCTCCATCTGTAAAACGGGAAGAATAACCTGTACTTCATCAGGCTGCTGTGAGGATTGAGTCCATGTGTATTAGTCTGTTCTGGTATTGCTATAAAGAAATACCTGAGACTGGGTAATTTATAAAGAAATTAGGTTTTATTGGCTCATGGTTCTGCAGACTGTACAAGAAGCATAGCGACTTCTGCTTCTGGGGAGGCCTCAGGAAACTTACAATTACGGCAGAAGGCAAAGGAGAAGTAGGCGCATTTTACAGGGTTGGAGCAGGAGGAGGAGAGCAAGGAGGGAGGTCCTATGCACTTTTAAACAAACAGATCTCACAAGAACTCACTATCGTAAGGACAGCATCAGGGGACGGTGGTGCTAAACATTTCATGAGAAACCACTCCCATGATCCAGTCACCTCCCACCAGCTCCCACCTCCAGCACTAGGGATTACAATTCAACATGAGATTTGGGCAGAGACACAGATTCAAACCATATCACCGTGTGTAGGGTATCTAACCTGCAATTACAGTATCATAATGGCCATTTACAGAAAGATCACTTTTATCATAATGGCCATTTACAGAAGGATCACTTTTGTCTGTGCTTCATTAGACCAGGATCTCAATGATGCCCAAACAATGACTGATGAAGGGGTGAACCTTTATCAGCATTTCCTGAGAAGCTTTTTGAGAAATACAGATTCTCAGACTCCATCCATGGAGATCACAATTAAATAGATCTGAGAAAGGTTCTGTGTATTAGTCAGGGCTCTTACAGTGGCAAGTAGCAGAAACACATGTCAAGTAAAACTGGGTGAGGCAAAAAATAAAACAAAGCAAAAATAAATTTATTGGCTCATGTACCTGAATAAACCAGGTGTATAAACTTCAGGCATGGCTGAATCCAGGTGCTCATAACATGACACCAGATGTGTCTGTCTGCCTCTGTTTCTTTCAGTGTCTCTCTGTTTCTCTCTTACTCTCTCTCCCTCTCTTTCATCCTTTGTCATGGTTTGCCTCTTTGTTGGCTTCATTCTTAGCCACCAGTTCCAAGATGACAGCCACCAGCCAAAAGCCTAAAGTCTCCGAGAAAAGAGAACCTCTCTTCCTTTACAGCCTTGACACAATTCTGGGGGCTGCCACTCCAGCCTCTGGACGGATCACTCTGTCTGTGACTGGCCAGGCCTAGGAAAATGCTTGTGCCTGGAGTTTCAAGGGACCAAGCAGGGTGTTCACTCACACCACACGGTTGATGTGTGGGGTAGGTATGGCTCTCAAGAGAACATGGAATCTATCCTTGGGGGAAGAGGAAATAGGTTCTGAGCAGATAAAAATGCTACAGGGCTCAGCATCTGCGTTTCTCACCAAGTCATGCAGTTAATTTTGATTCCCAGGCAAGGTTGGGAATGACTGCTGGATAGATCACTGGTTTTAGGCCTCATTGGGGCTGTAGACTCTCCTTCCTCCTAGGAAATCTTAAACTAGGGAATAAACAAAATAGGCTAAAAAAAATGACCCTGTCCTGGTAGAAAGAGGGCCTTGGGGGCCTCCTATCATCTCCCAAGTAGCCCTTAAGACACCTCAGGGGCTCCCTGAGCTGCTACCTTTGCAAAGCTCCAATTCTCTGATTGCATTGCTTTCTCAAACCCCTTTGGCTCTGATTCTTCAACCCTGCATTTGGTGCAACTGGCCAGGATGAGGCTCAAAGAGCTCACTCAATGCTGTCACCCACCGCAGCCCCCACCCGCGTCTTAGAAGTCAGTGAGCCAGTGCCAGAGGAGTAAATAGGGACAAAAAGAGCCGGTGGCGGGCTTAGAAGGTGCATCAGACATGCCACGTCTGTCAGATGCTTCTGGCTTTGAAAGCCTGTCTTGGCCTGAGGCCAAATGACTTCCTGGGCTCTGCAGAGCTGCTGGGCCCTGGGGCTGCGTGGGTGGTAATGACCTGCCTGCCTGTCAGTGACGGAGGGGATGGCGACAGTGCTGCATCAGTTGTAGCAGAGGGAGATGCTACAGGGATACTTTGGCTGGGGAGATGTGGTGGAGGATAAAGTCAATTTCACACTTTATTAGTCAGTTCAGGGCCAATTGAGGCCATCCAGAAATGGGGCTGAGGCCCCAACTCTCTCTCCTTCCTTCACCAGCAAGAAAAGCCTCTTTCGCCTGAAATTCTTCTTGTCAAAGGAGGAGTATTTCTTTCTACTCAAAACCCCACAGCATTCAAACAAGGAGTTGCAATCCCTTTTATTCTGCAAGAGATGCTGCAGTTGAGAGAGGCCTGCAAGCTAAGAAGTGAGCAAATGGTGCTGGGGTGTGGAGGTTGAGCCATGTTTTTAATTCATTTGTTCATTCCTCTGTCATCCACTCAGTGTATGTCTCTGGGAGCCTACTATGTACCAGCAAACTGAGCTTGATGCTGAATGTAAATAATAATAATAATAATAATAATGGAATCCTCATTTGTGTACTTGTCCATTTATTCAACAGCTTTTCACTGAGTACCAACCACGTAGTAGACATGGTGCCAGGCTCTGGGGATGAAGTGTGAACAAGACAGACATGGACTCTGCCTTTATGAAGCTGACTCAGTGGGAGAGACCCTCAAGTAAAACAGTAAAACAGCAACCTCAACAGAGAGGGAGAAGGACCTGAGTAGAAGGCTATACAGAAAGAGCACCTGAACCAAGCAAAGAGGACTTCCTGGAGGAAGCGACATGTCACTGAGATTTGAAGGATAGTTTAGCAGGGGTGAAGGAGAGTGGGGAAGATGAAAGAGCACGTGTCAGAGAGAGCAATAGAGAAACTTCAGCTCAGCCAGGGCAGAGAGTTCAAGTCGGGGTGGGAGGGGACTAATAAACAGAGGTCGGACCATAAAGCCTTGGAAGGAGTGACACAGTGAAATCTGTGCTTCTGAAAGCTGGCCCTGGTGGTGACCTTTCGAAGAAAAGAGGGAAGGCAGGAGGAACTGGGCTGGAGATGCCTCGAGAGGCTATTGTAGGATAAGAGATGCACACTCAGGGACCCCAATGTGGGGCGTTCGTTGGCAGTGGGCATGATGAAACGTGAGTGCTTTCGGGAGATCTGAGGGATGTCATGCTCTGCTGGGGCTCCCTGTAGTTCAGACAGTTGGGTACAGTGGACAGACTAGACTTCCAGTCAGACGAAGCTGAGTTCAGAACCTGCTCTTTTCTTAATTCCCGTGTAGCCCTTGGCAAGTCCCTCAGTCTCTGGGCCTCCGTCATAGGATGGGACTCGTAACAGCCATCTAGTGAGATGACAGTGCATTAAAAAGTGTGCACACAGGGCATCTGTAAGGGACATGAAGAGAATGGTAAACTGTCAAAACTCAGCCCAGGCCAGCAGTAGTGGCTCATGCCTGTAATCCCAGCGGAGGCGAGGGCATCTTTTGAGGCCAGAAGTTCAAGACCAACCTGGGCAGCAAAGCGAGACCCCTTCTCTACAAAAAGTAAAAAATTAGCTGGGTGTGGTGGCACCTCTGTAGTCCTAGCTACTTGGGAGGCTGAAGTAGGAGAATCTCTGAGCCCAGGAGTTCGAGGTTGTAGTGAGATCATGTAGTGTAGATCATGCCACTGTACTCCAGCCTGGGCAATAGAGTGAAACTCTATCACAAACACACACACACACACACACACACACACACACACACGAAGAAAGAAAAAAAGAGAAAACCTCAGTCCACAGGAAAACATCTCAGTGCAATCCATCCACTTCCCCGCTGCATTAAAGCAGACACAGTCACTGAGCTGGTGTCCTTTCCTTATGGACTGGGGTTGAGATCTTAGCTCTGGATTTCTCTCTGTGGCCTTTCTGGTCAATTGATTTCATGGGACCTCAGTTTTCTCATCTGTAAAATGGGGATAACAATACCTACATTGACAGGAGATTGACCGAAAGATACCTGTAAGGTGCTTAGCACAATGCCTGGTATGTAGTAGCTGTTGAATAAATGATCATTAGGATTCTCGTTAATATTCTCCAGTCTCATCATCAACCATCAAGGTAGCCTAAGCACTGGCTTTATGCCAGATCCTGTGCTGGGTGTCAGAGATGAACAGAAGATCATGAAAATGTCTGTGAGTATTTTTAAATGCTTACTTGATGTAACTGCTGTGTGTGTGTGTGTATCTCAGTCAGTCACTTAACCTACATATCAATCAACCCTAGGACATAGCTAATGTTAGTATCAGCTCCATTTTACAGAAGAGGAAGTTGAGGCTCCGAGAAGATAAAGAACTTTCCCAACATCATGCCAATCTGCCTCTTGAGGGTCTGGGGTCACCATTCCAGTGTGAGCCAGCCTCTCTGCTGAATCGGCTCTACCCAACTGCCACTCAGGAACTCCTTCGTTGCAACTGACAATGACCCCACGTGGCAGTCAAACGCTCTGGCGACTAACTGCGTGGGTTTGAATCCCACCTCTGCTGCCTAGCATCTCTGTAACCTTGGGCATGTTATTTAAAGAACTGTTCCTCAGTTCTTCCTCTGCAGAGGGAATCACACAGAAGCATTGTGAGGGGACGGGATAAAGGAGACAGTCGCCCGAAGCATCTGGCCCCAGCCTGGCATGCACAAAAATTCAAGAGATGTTGGCTACTATTCTTAAGCAAAAGGGAAGTCTATTGGTGCCTGTAAACAAACTACAGAAAAAGCAGGGGTGGAGCTGAGCCTGGGTCACTGAACTATGGGACTTGAACACTATCAGAGGGGCCTGTTGGTATCCCTGTGCCTCTCTCTCGACCTTTCTCTGACTCTCACAATTTCTCTCTCTGTCTCTCTGACCCTGTCTTATTCTATGACTCTTTCTTGTTTTTCTCTTTTTCTGTCCCTCATTCTCTCTTGGCGTCACTTTTATTCAATCCCGCTCATTCTCTATGCTGTCTCCTTCTCTCTCTCTCTCCCTGACACTCTGTCTTCCTTGTGTCCTCTCTGTCTCTCTCCACTGAAGTATTTTCTCTCTTGTCTCCTCTTCACATGCCAGCCTCACTCTCCTGGGCCCATGTCCCCAAGATGTGAGACCGTGGGCCTCAAGTAAGGTTGCCAGATAAAATGCAGGGCAGCTAGTAAAATGTGAATTTCAGACAAACAGTGAATAATTTTTTAGTATAAGTATGGTCCCAAAATGTTGCATTGAATAAGAAGGATAAAGACCCTGCCTTTGAGGAGCTTACTTTCTCTTGAGTGAGCCAGACAATAAACAAATACAGAAACAAGAAAACAAGGAGTGATGTGTTCTGTAATGAAAATAAGACAAGACCAGGCACAGTGGCTCACACCTATAATCCCAGCACTTTAGGAGGCCAAGGTGGGCAGATTGCTTGAGCTCAGGAGCTTGAGACCAGCTTGGCCAATATGATGAAACCCCATCTCTATAAAAAATACAAAAATTAGCCAGGCTTGGTGGTACAGCTATTCGGGAGGCTGAGGTGGGAGAATCACTTAAGCCCAAAAGGCAGAGGTTGCAGTGAACTGAAATTGCACCACTGCACTCCAGCCTGGGTGAGAGAAAAACCCTGTCTCAAAAAAAAAAAAGGTTTTATTTTAACAAAATAAGAAAATAAGACAGGGTGATACAATAATGAGTGGTGAGGGGTGAAATGGGGAGGGCTGGAGGCCACTAGATTGAGTGGTCAGGGAAGGCGTCACTCAGGAGCTGACATTTACACTGAGACCTTCATGGCAAGGAAAACTGGCGATGGGCAGATCTGGGGGAAGAGCATTCCGGGGAAGGGAACAGGCAGTGTGCAGTGCAACGGCCCTGAGTCAGGGACAAGCTTAGTTAAGAGTCGCTGAGAAACGGAGACAGAGCAAGTGTGGCCCTCATATGGTGACCAAGGGGAGGGTTGTGCAAGGTGAGTGGGACAGTTAGGGCCTCTTAGTTCAGAGTAAGGAGTTTGGGTTTTGGTACAGTTTTCAGCAGAGGACTAACATTCTCCAATTTCCTATTTTGAAGAATCACTTTGCTACACTATGGAGAGTGGGTTGTGGGTGAAGGCTGAGGTGGGAACAGAGACCTTCAGGAGTCCAGACAAGAGATGATGGGTGAAGTTGCGGAGAGGGTGGAGGTGGAGCAGAAGTGGACCAATTTCAGGTAGGTTTGGGAGGGAAAATGAAAGGTTTGAATGTGAAGGGCTGAGAGGAAGAGAGGAATCAGGGATGAGGCCCCGGTTTCTGGTGGGAACAATTGTGTGGATGATGGCACTGTTTACTAAGAGGGGAAGACTATGGGAAGAGTGACACAAAGCCTTGCTTGCCGTCATCTTCCCCTCTTAGTAAATTGCAGGTTAGGTGTTTGCAAGCTCCAAGTTGCAGGGTAGGTGTTTATTGTTGATGTTGTACCTTACAGGGGGCTAAAGAAATGTGACCGAATTTTGGGGGGAGGATTATATAATTTAAATTTAATATCTAATTTTATTAAAAATAATGTATTACATGCATATTGTTATCCATTAAGAAAAACAACAAAAAAATTATACCCACAGCATAAATGACAGAAAGTAAATCTGGACAAAGTGCTTTTGGCTGGTAGCTGTGATTTTCAAGGTAGGGGTGGAGGCACAATGCTCCTAAGGGGAGTGCCACACCCTGGAATCTCTGGTGTGGGAGGTGGGATGGGGGTGTGTAAAAAGAAGGGGATGGATGTTGAGATTTTTCCAATTGTGTGTGTGTGTGTATTAATGTGTTTGTATTCTTTTTTTTTTTCTCACTCTGTCACCCAAACTGGTGAGTGCAGTGGTGAGATCTCAGCTCACTGCAGCCTCAGCCTCAGCAGGCTCAAGTGATCCTCCTGCCTCAGCCTCCCGAGTAGCTGGTACCAAAGGCATGTGCCACCATACTCAGCTAATTTTTGTATTTTTTTGGAGAGACGGGGTTTCACCATGTTGCCCAGGCTGGTCTCGAACTCCTGGACTCAAGCAATCCTCCCGTCTTGGCCTCTCAAAGTGCTGAGACTTTAGGTGTGAACCACTGTGCCTGGTCTGTGTTTGCATTTGTATTTTATGGTTGCTGTTCTGACCCATGACTTTTTCGGGGAGCAGGGAGGATGAAAAATGAAAATAAAAGCATTTAGAAAGATGATTAAAAAATTAAAAAACAAAAAAGTAGGGGGAAGGTGCACTCCCACACGCCGGCCAATCAGCTGCAACCGCACCATCAGCAGACCGGGGAGGCGCCTGGAGCCTGCAGTAACTCAAGATGGCCGACTGATCGCCAGAGAGTATTTGAGGACATGGTTACAGTTACGTTCCCAGGGGAACAACCTTTGGCCTCTTAAGACATCTACTTGCTTTCAGTTTTGAAAGAACTCAGGCAGCCATGGGGTATTTTTCAGAATTCCCGGCGGTGAAGGGTCAGAGCCATGGGCATTAGGGAGAAAGCTGAAGGCACAGCGGGTGTGAGTGTGGGGTCGCTGCCTGCAACACTTGGAAGAAATACGGGGAAGGGCGGGGGAGGGATCAAAACTGGCTTGTGTGGCCAAGGATCAAGTTGTTATTAAGCACTTTTATGTGCCTGACAGAGTGCCAAAGTCTCCCGTGATGTATCCTGTGTCCACATCCCAACAACCCCATCGGCAGGACTCTTTCCTGGTTTGCCCACAAGGAGGAAAGTGAGGAAAGTGAGGCGTCAGAGAGATGAAGCAACTTGTTTGAAGGCGGCCACACAGCTGGTAAGTGTGGGGACAGGATTTGAACGAGGGTATTTTGCATGGGAAGTCTGGCCTTCTGGCTACCACCCCACCTCTTCATCCCAAGACACTCTCCCAAGTCTGGCCCCACATGGCTCCCTAAAACCATGCTGTCCTCATATGGGAGGGTTTTAAGCAGCTCTAGGGCAGCCACCAGAGCCCAATACAAAGTCCCTTGCACTGACAGTCATACTCTAACCCTGTGCCCAGTTCTCAATGCTGCCTCCTGCTATGATCTCTGTATCTTTCATCGGCCTGATCTCTCCTTCCCCAGAGCTTAGTGCTTGAACCCCAACCAAAGATTGAAACCCTGCTGCCCACAGTCTGACCTGGCTCTGACCTCTGACCTGCCTGGACACTAGGAGATGCCCATTCCCGTGTCCCACGGCAGCTCCAACTGCCTGATGGACACCTGCTGCCTCCCCCACATCCCTGGGGAGTGTGCCCCAGAATCACCATGCCCTCCCAACTCCCGTGATCCTTCACCTGACTCGGCCCTCTTCTAGCTGGATCTGTGTCCCCAATTCCAGCCCTGCCCCAGGGGAGAGGCCTGGGGCTCCATCCAGACCACTAGTCTCATGACAGCCCAACAGCGTGAGGCCCATGGCAGCTGGCTGCTGTTGAGACTTGTGTTTGGTCTTTTAGCTTGCAGCTCTTGAGAGCTTCCTATGTGCCAGGCATTGAATTAGTCCTGTAAAGTGGATTCCCTCGTTTAACCTCAAACAGCCTTGTGAGTAGTGAATAGATGCTGCAGTTATTGCTATTAACGTGCTGCTCTATTCCCACACCAGAGGCTCTACTGATGTGCCCAGGAGCCCTGAGACCCCAAGACCAGCAGCTTCTGCCCTGGCCAGAAGCCCCATCCCACTTCCCATTTCCCAAACCTGGGGCTCACTGCCCCTTCTGAGTAGGGGCCAGACACATGCTGCTGAGGCATCATGGCTAGAAAATTGTGTTTCCTCCTCCCCTCCCCCAGGGCTGTAGGGCCTGGCCCTTCCCCAAACCCTGGCTCTGCACTGACACAGTGCCCTTGGATTTCCTCTGTGTTTGTCTGCTCTGGGCCTGGCAGTAATGGTCTCAGCCAGCCAAGACTGGGGCAGCTCAGCAGACTACCACAGCCACTGATACTGGAGCATGACCAGCTCAGTTCTTCTGGGACTGAAGACATTCCAAGAGCTCCATGTAGGAATGGCTGACAGCCCCCTGAACCAGGGAAGGTGCAGACAGACCTAGAGATGATTTCCATTGTTCCCCAAGGGCTGGGCTGCCTGAGGGACCAGGTACCAGGGAGGTGCCAGGGATCCCATAGCACCAAGACCCAGCCCCTCCCTGCAGCCCTGGCTTCTGAGTGGTATTTTGCTGTCCAGTCAGAAAGCAGAAACTACTCTATGCATTAGAACAGAAGGAATTTGGGCTGAGCGCGGTGGCTCACACCTGTAATCTTTGCACTTTGGGAGGCCTAGGTGGTCAGGAATTCCTGAGGTCAGGAATTCGAGACCAACCCGGCCAACATGGTGAAACCCTGTCTCTACTAAAAATACAAAAATTAGCCAGGAATGGCGGCGGGCACCTGTAATCCCAGCTACTCAGGAGCCCGAGGCAGGAGAATTGCTTGAACCTGAAGGAGCTGAAGGTTGCAGTAAGCAGAGATCATGCCACTGCACTCCAGCCTGGGTGACAGAGCGAGACTCCATCTAAAAATTTTTAAAAAGAACAGAAGGAATTCATTCTGGGGAGTAGGTTACACAGGTGAAAGATCTGAGAAGCACCCCAGAGATGAACAATAGCAAAAAGACATTACAACCCCTCCACTGGAGGGATGCGGGGAAGATCCTAGTGTCTAGGATCTGGTGTCACCAGACAGAAACTGGAAGCACAGCCAGGCCTGTTTGATGGGACGTGGGACCACAAGGGAGGGGCTGTCCAGTGGGAGCTGGGACCACAGAGGAGACCGGCCACTGTCAGAGATGCTACCTGAAGCAGAGAGGGGGGAAACTGAGGCATTTCTCCCACCTGCCAGTGCCTCCCATTGGCCAAACCTACCAGGCAACCAGAGGGGAGGGGAGCCGGGGAGATGGAGTTCCCTGCAGCACAGAGCAGAGCAAGGCAGGGAACAAACATGATGGCAAGGAAGCAAACAGCCCACCTCTGGAGATAGGAGCTGCTCAAGATGGGAGGGCGCCAGTCCTGGGTTTCCCCCGGGCCAGCCTGCCTGAGGGTCAGGGCTGTCCCAAACCGGCAGCCGCTGCTTACAACTCAGTTTCCACTCACAGGCCCTGAGGATATCCAGACCCTAGAGGACCAATGACAGGCAGACAGGCCCAAGATGGGAAACCCAGAAGCACTCTGAGATGTCCTAGACGCTGAGATGTCCTGCCTGAGACCTCCAGGATTAACTGAAGGCCAGCAGCTAGTGCTCCTGAGCCCAGTCATAAGTGACAGTCTATGAGGGCAAACTGATCCCCACTTCTTTTCACTCCTTAAGCTTCTACTGAAGCCTCCAGCAGACTCTTGGGCCCCAAAGCTGCTGCGTCCCCTAGAAACACCTAAAAGGATGCTCCTGGCTGCAAAGCGCCCTGAGCCTATAACCACAGGAACTGCTCCATCAGTATCCAGTGTGCCTGCTTATTGCCTGGTTACCTGCCCGGCTTGTCCTTGTGCAGATGCAGTGGATGCCAGAACACCCTACAGCTGGAGAGAGGCGGGGAAACCCTCAGGTGCTTGTGCCTACGAGCACTGCCCCAGCCTGGCAGCACCAGGGATGGGAGAGGAAGGAAAGCCCCAGGAATGCCTGTGGGGTGTGACAGCAGCCCCTGAGTGAAGAGCTGTGCCCAACCCCAGCTAAGCCCTCAGGACCCAGGACAAGGGGCCTTCTTCTACATAGGAGAGTGGCCTCATCAGCATCCCACATAGAGGGAGGCAGACAGGCCCTGCAAACCTTCCTCTAAACTTCACGCATCTCCTCGGAAGTCCCTATAATAATGACAAGTAGGTTTATTGAGCACTAATGGGCTGGGTGCTTGGCTAAGTGGTTTATGTCAGCATCTCATTTAATTCTCCGAAGAACCTTGTATGCTAGTATTATGGGGAGCCTGTCTAGTGGGTCAGAAAATATGACCGACAATAAAAATTTGAAGACAATAACAACAATAATAACATTAACAAAGGAAACAATGCTTCCCAGAGATCTAAGGAAGGGAAATTAATGTCTGATGAAGGGATGATTAAAGTGACGATGGAGAAAGGGATTTCACAGGAAATACGAAGATACGAAAGTAATTCTTCAGAGAAGATCTCCACCAAGAACACTCAACCCACATTCAGGCAGAATATGCAAGGAGGCAAACTGTTGTGGACTACGCGATCTCCACATGGAAGATGTCACATCAAAAAATAAAAATAGGCCGGGCGCGGTGGCTCACGCCTGTATTTCCAGCACTTTATGAAGCCGAGGCGAGTGGATCACCTGAGGTCAGGAGTTTGAGACCAGCCTGGCTAACATGGTGAAACCCCATCTCTGTTAAAAACACAAAATTAGCCAGGTGTGGTGGCACATGTCTGCAATCCCAGCTACTCGGGAGGCTGAGACAGGAGAATTGCTTGAACCCAGGAGGCAGAGGCTGCAGTAAGCCGAGATCGTGCCACTGCACTCCAGCCTGGGTAAGACAGAGCGAGACTCTGTCAATAATAATAATAATAATAATAATAATAATAATAAATAAACAAACAAAAACTCTGGTTCCTGGCGGCTTCTCTTGAAATATCAGAATGGTACCACGGCACCCTCCTTCTGATGTGGGAACAGTTGGTTGGAGCCAAGAAGCTACAGCTTTTTAGACTGAGTGTGCATGCTCTGGTCAACACAGTCCCCACCACCCCCTAATGCCTTTCACTTGGCCCTTCCTCTCATCTCCACTAACTGCCTGGCACCATGGGCGTTTCGCATTGATCCCAAAGGCGCTTCCCAGCCGTCCCTTAGCTGATCCCCTGCTGCCACCTGGTGGTCACAGTTCTTCTGTGCCATCAATGCATATCAGTGATATTCCTGGTACATCTACCACCAGGCACACTGATTGTCCCTTATTTAATCCTTTTACCAACCCTGGGAGAACAGGAATTATTGTATCCATTTTACAGATGAGAAAACAGAAAAGGTAAGTTGGGTAATTATAGATAAGAAAAAAAAATGAGCAAGGTTAAGTGAATAAATCATTCAGGATCCCAGATTCCATGATGTTGCCAGAGTGGAATCCAGCTCTTTCCTTTGCCCCAGCCCAGGGTATTTTAGGCTCTGTCCTGCCACACCCTTGAGATGGCCAGAACTCTGCAGTGAGTACTTTTGAGTCTGAGTGGGAGGACAGAGCAGCCTGGGGGCCATCAGCAGATGTCTTCATACATAGAAACCACGGTCCATCCATAGTCAAGACATTTGCTGCTTGCCTATGGCCAAGTAGGTCTTGGACTCAGATTTTTTTTCTTTTTCTTTTTTAAAAAAATAAAAATAAATAAATAAATAAATAAATAAAAACAGGGTCTCCGTCTGTCACCCAGACTGGAGTGTAGCGGCGCAATCACAGCTCACTGCAGCCTCGACCTCCTGGGCTCAAGAAATCCTCCTGGGTAGCTGGGACTACAGGCATGAGGTACTGGGGCCTGGTGTGGACTTAGATTTTCTGAGGCCAAGTGCTGGGCCTTTTCATGCCACCACACTGCCTCCCAGGCCTGAGAAGGCCTCCATCCTGTAGATGACAGAGTAATCCCATAGGATTGCTTTATTTTTATTTTTTTGAGGCAAGAGTCTTGCTTCGTCACCCAGGCTGGTGTTCAATGGCATGGTGATCTCGGCTCACTACAACCTCTGCCTCCCAGTTTCAAGCAATTCTCCTACCTGAGCCTCCCGAGTAGCTGGGATTACAGGCGCACGCCACCATGCCCAGCTAATTTTTTGTATTTTTAGCAGAGACAGGATTTCACCATGTTGGCCAGGATGGTCTTGAACTCCTGACCTCAAGTGATCCATCTGCCTTGCCCTCCAAAGTGCTGGGATTACAGGTGTGAGCCACCACACCCAGCCGGATTACTCTCTCCAATCTTATGTATCCCACAAGGCCCAGCACCTGCACCACCTTCCTCAGGAAACTGCCCCTGGCCACCTCAGCCTTCCCAAATCTCTCCCTTGTCTGAGCACCTATATGCCTGGTCCATAGCACCCCTCTGGGGCTGAGGGCATCTTTTCCTGTAGGGCCAGATAACTGCTTGATGTCTGACTCTCCAGTCGGCCAGGAGAGTCCTTGAAGGCAAGGCTTTGGTGTTCCTATCCTCTCTGGGATGCTTACTAAGCAATATGTATTGAACATCTAGTACTTGAGGCACATGACAAAGGCTTAGGGAGATTCTGGGATGAATCAGAAGTTCTCAGCCTCAAGGAGCATGCAGTTGCCTGTGGGCGCAACAGGCACACAGTCAGAGCCTAGTGATCTTCCCAAAGTACAACCCTGAGCACATCACTCCTCTGTTTCAAACCCTTTCATGCCTCCCCCACTGCCCTCAGAATAAAATCCAAGGCTCCTTTCCATGTTTGCTGCACTTCTGGGCCTCCAAATGTTCTCTCTCTGCCATCTTCACCTAACCACCCACTGGGCCTCAGCTTGGATATCACCTCTTCCAGGAAGCCTTCCTTGGCCGCCAAGTCTGAGACAGAGGTAGGCCTCTTCCCTGGCTTGCGTGGCACCTGCCATTACTTCATCCTGACACTTACACGGCACGTAATTGATGGGTGCCTCATCTGCCTGCCTTAGAGACTGGGATCTGGAAGACCGGGCCTCATCTGTCTGATTTCTTTCTGTATCCCCCAGCAGCTCAGGCCAGCTCCCTGAGGCGTGAAGGGTGTCCATTAAATGGACACCTGAGCAAACAAGATATTATTTTTATATACAGCAAGTGTCTAGCAAACAAATGGCACAGCGGGGCATCTGGCTACCCAATGTTTAGAGTCACACAAATTCCAGAGACTTTCCATCTTTGAAGTCCTTTATTCCCAGCAGTTCACATCAGTTACTCATTGAGCTGGGGTTCGTCATATTAACCAAGAATTCATTCATCTTTCTTTTGATATTGTAATCTTGTCCTCATCTCCACAACTGAGTTGGGGCCTGAGGGGTTTAAGAGTTCTCACTCCATCACAGGAGGCAAGGGGTACCCTTGTGAACCAGACTTCAACTCCTGGAAGTCTTGTTCAGTTCATAGGCAAATATCTTTGCAAGTTTAGTATGAGACAGCCCAACGGTTAAATAAATAAGACACAGTGCCATGGTTCTAGGCATTTGGAGAGGGAAAAGGCACATTACACAGATTCCCCTGGAGAAAATACAGGCCATTCTCATCTTCTCAACATGCATTTTCCCACTCTTCAGTGACTTTTAATCTTATCCCCTGGTCTATGAGAAACCATAACCCACGTGCTACTGAATACATTTTTATTTTCCCTTCATGACATAGACTTGGTTCCAAGTATATTTTATTTTCCTCCCTTATGCCTACAAGACATCCAATTTTGTTCAGGTCCCTTTTAATGGCACTTAATAAATATACATTCTGAGACCTGGCAGAACAGGCTGTCCCCTTTCACACTGCCTTTAAAGCGCCTGTTTGAACTAGCTAGTGCAGAGCTCAGGTGGGGCACGTCCTAGCTTACAGCTCATGGCCATCTCTGGCACCAGGTCTATCTGTCCAATACTTTGTGTCTAGGGTAGAGGTCCCTAACCCTGGCTGCACATTGGAAGCACCTGGGAAGCTTTCTGAATTCCTGAGGCCCGAGCCACACCCTAAACCAATTTCATCAGAATCTCTGGGTGGGACGGAGCCTGGATTCTGCCAGTTGAAACCTGCCATGGTAACTTCAGTGAGCAGCTACACTGAGAACTCCTGAGCTACAATTCTAGCACACAGTAGGCCTTCGGTAGGTATCTGTGGAACCCACGAGTGGGTTTCCTATTTCATTATCTGTTCCCCTATGCTCTCTATTTTTATCAGAAATCTGAGCAGGAAAGAGCAGAGAGAATGAGTCAAGAGCATCCTCTCAAGTGAATTCGCTGCTGAGAAAGGAACCGTAGGGCTTGCATTTCTCTTGTGTCATGCAGTCTTCATGCTTTAACAGGCCCAGAGGAGGCAAGTTATAGACTGACACAGACATGTATATATTTCTTAAAAGCCCTTCAAAAACCAGAGCTCACTGCTTAGGCACTATGGTTATAACACAGACATGTTCTTGGAAGCATATCTAAACTACCTCCTGTTTGACACACATTCTAACTTGGGTTGGTTACAAACTTTGTCAGTTGTTAAGATCACACTTGGTCACATTTTCCCATTTCTGTGAATCTTGCAACTTATCTTTGCCCAGAGCAACAGCCTAGACATGACCACCCCAAGCAGGGACTGCACTGCACCCAACATTGCCCCAGCAGGTCAGTCCTCCTTGAACAGGAACTGTTTTTGAGGGGCTCCAATTTCCAGGTTCTAGAATGGGGTGGCTCACTTACCAAGTTAAAGAGGCTGGCTACATAGAATGCAGTATTGAGAAGCCCCCCAAGGTAGATCCTGGGTTACAGGAAAGAAAGCTATACTGATGAACAAGGTTTGCTGCCACAGGCATGGGCGTGGGGGAGGGCAGCATGCCGGGGGCCACCCCGAGATCACTGCTGTCATTTACATTTGTATCACACTTCACAGTTTACAGGGAGCTCTGCATGCTTAGCCCCACGTCATTCTCAGCACAACCCTGTGAGTGAGGTCTTTCTGGATGGGAACACTGAAGTTGTGTCCTACATCTAAGGTCCCACAGCCAATTGCATCACATCCACGGCTGCCTCCAGGACCTCAGGGGCCACCTGAAACCACTGGGGGTTCCCCCTGGCTCCCCTTCTAACCAGAAACAGGAAAGCAAGCCATTCCCTAACCTCCCCACCCACCAGGCCTTATCACCGCCTTCCCAGAGTTTCCTCTATGATTTGCATACCCCTTTGTTCCCTAGTCCTGAGAACACAGCAGTAGCTGTTCACCTGCTGCCAACAGCCTCACACACCCCACCTAACACAGTATCAAAATCCCCTCTTCCCTGGAACAGCCTCTGAATTTGCCTACACACATTCCAGAACTATGACTTGGTCACACCCACTCCCAGGACCAGTCAAGAGTCTTGGGAACCTCTCTGCTACACCGATAAATCCATGGCTTCCCCACTTGAGAGGGCTCCCAGTGGGTCACTGCCCAAGATAAACTCAGCTTCCAGCATAGAGAAATAAAAGCTGACTCATTGGTTATGATGTCTCCTGATACCATGTGTAGGAAGTGAACTGTCTGACCAGGCAGTTCTGGACTCCTCCAGAACCCGCTTCCTGCAACCACACAGCACGCAGGTAACATTATCCCGTGTGACCCACGCCCACAGGCAGGCCCGGATGCAGGCACAGCTAAGACTGGCCATAACCTATGGAGAGTCCTGGCCAATCAGCTGTGACCTGCTGTCCAAGTGCATTGTGACCCCAGGTCGGAATGAGTTCTTTATGCAGACATAATGAGCAGTCCTGGCTGGAGCCTCCTGTGCCCCCACCACACCAAGCACTCTGCGAGGCCCGCCCATGTCTTCTGGCTGCCTCCTGAGTGTGCTTCACCCACCCTGGCCTGGTCTTCCCTTCCACCTCCACCTTTCCTTTGCTTCTTTTCCCCCCAGGGTCAGAGCCTCTAAGCCTCCCCCATCATTTGGCAATGTAGGCTCCAAAGAGGGTACCCTAAGAGGGCAGACTCCAGCCCCACAGAACTGGGCTCCGAGCCCTGGCCAAGAAGCCAGAAGGCACATAACCCCTCTGTCCATTCACTTCCACCAGGCTCCACTCAGGGTTCCCCTTCTTGTCCTGGGCCTCCAGGATGGTCACAGGCTGGCCTGCCTGCAGGCTCACTTCATGGCTGCTTCTGGCCACAAAAGGGTACGCGGCTATGACCTGAAACACATGGGGAGTGACACAGAAATGGTCAGGGTGAGAAGGTAGACAGACTGGATCCAGAGAGGCTGTTTATCCTGTTCCCATCCACCTGGCTCTCGTCCCCATTGCTGGATGCTCGTCACCTCCCAAGTACATCTTTTGTACTAAAGGCAATGACTGCATCTGCTAGTACCACAGCCCATACTATGTGACTGGCACTGTCCTAGCACTCTACTGGGTTTGGGTTCTCACAATAATTCTATCATTCTATTTGCTGCATTTTTCAGATAAGAAAAATGAGGATCAGAGAAGTCAAGGAACTTACTCAAAATTGCACAGCAGTGAATCTAGGCCTGTCTGACCTCCAAACAGATATTTTTGATCCACTACTGCCACATCACTGAGCAGACTCAGCACCCTCTCCCTCTCCAGATCTAATGGTTTGAGCTGCCCAGGCCAGTTTCCCAGCTGAAAGTAGAGACAAGGATTTGGGCAACTTGTTTACTTTTTACAGAAAAGTATAGAACTGGGCCAGGTGTGGTGGCTCACGCCTATAATCCCAGCACTTTGGGAGGTAGAGGAGGGCAGATCACCTGAGATCAGGAGTTCAAGACCAGCCTGGCCAACATGGTGAAACCCTGCCTCTACTAAAAATACAAAAATTAGCCGGGCATGGTGGCGCACACCTGTAATCCCAGCTACTCAGGAGGCTGAGGTGGGAGAATTAATTGAGCCTGGGAGGTAAGGCTGCAGTAAGCCGAGATCATGGCACTGCACTCCAGCCTGGGCCACAGAGCCAGACCCCGAAAAAAAAAAAAAGAAAAAAAGAAAGGAAGGAAGGAAGGAAGGAAAGAAGGAAGGAAGAAAGAAAGAAAGAAAGAAAAATAAATTGAACTAGAGAAAACAATTGGCAAGGAGGGCATGTATTAGGCTAATATTTAACCTCTCTGAGCCTGTTTTACCACCTGCAAAATGAAGGGAATGGTCCCATCCCCTTCAGGACATTGAGAGAATTTCATGAAGGAATACATGTGTAGGGTTTTACACAGTGCCTGATACATACATAGCAAGGGCTCAATAAATGCAGGCTGCTTAGGTTTTTTGTTTGTTTGTTTTACCATTACTGTCATTACTGATGGTCAAGCCTCAGGAACATTAAGCACCATGGAAGGGCTGGGATGATCCCGGGCAAGTCCTGCAGAGTCCCAGAGGAAGCAGCTGATATGCTTGGGCAGATAGACAGCTGAGCTCACCCAAATGAGCCCCTGGATGGGGAGTCCCTGAGACACCACCCCCATTGACTGGAGCTGGGCGGCGGGGGTAACCTCATTCCTGTCCCCAGAGGCACCGGGGCAGAGGCTGAGCTGGGTGGTCAGGCCCTCCCGTGGGGCTCTGGTGGGTGCTTTGTAGCCCCTGGTGCTTTAATTCTGGCTACTGCTGAAGGATGCTGGCCTGACAGCCTTCCCGGTGGGTGTGGCACAAGCACTAGAGCAGAGGGTTCCCAGACACCTATGCAGCACTCACAGCCTGCGGCAGGCTCCTCCAGCCACCCTGGCCCGAGGCATCCGATTCTGTCCAGATCCTTTCTGTTGCTCCTGCTTCCCCTGTGGTACACCCCCTGCCACCCTCAACTGCTGATCATTGTGAGGGCTGCCTCCATTGAGGGAGGTTCACAATACATGCAGCCCAGCTTTACTGTCTCATCCCATCCTTCCAACATCCCACTGAACTTCTTCCCCGCTCATGGACTCCATCCCTGCAAAGCCAAATCCCTTAGTGGCTTCCAAACACTTTACTTTTCAGATATAATTCACATTCTATAATACTCACCCTTTTAAAGTGTACAATTCAGAGGTTTTTAGTATATTTGCAGACACATGCAACTATCCCCACTATCTAATTCCAGAACATTTTCATCACCCCCAAAAAGAAACTTCACACCAGTTAGCAGTCCCCATTCCCCACCTCCCACCCCCAGCCCCTGCCATTCATCCACCTTCTATCTCTACGGATTTGCCCATTCTGGACATCCACATAATGGAATCCTATGTGGCCTTTTGCATCTGACTTTGTTCACTTAGCAGCATGTGTTCAAGGCTTGTCCATGCTGCAGCATGTACCGGTGTTTCATTCGTCTCTATGGCTGAATAATATTCCATTGTACAAAGAGCTCGCGTTGTGTTTATCCATTCATATTGATGGGCCTGTGGGTTGTTTCTACTTTTTGGCTGCAATGAATAATGCCGCCATGAACACGCATACACATGCTGCCCATTGCTCTTCAGAGAAAGACTGAGACTGACACCCTTGTCAAGGCCACAAGGCCCTGCTGGCCTGTCCCTGCCCACCTCTCCAGCAGCACGACACTCCAGTCTGTCCCCTTTCTTCTCCGGCCACACTGGCTTCATTCGGTTCCTCATATACCTCCTGCCCTCTCCTGTCACTGGGCCTTTTCTGCAGAGCTCTTTCCATCTGCACCCCAGTACACCCTCTTTATCCAATTAATTCCCTCTCTCCCTTCCTGTTTGAGAAAAAGCACCACTCTTCTCAGCAAAACCTTTCCTGGACCTCTCCACACCTAGGGCTCTGGTACTTACCTCTGCTATTAACTTTAACTTCAGTTAGTCATGAAATTATTTTCTTAATCACTGTTTTCCCTACTCTCAGATTAGAAGTTTGAGGAAAGCAAAGACCATGATTTAGTTTTGCTCATCATTGTATCTCTCATCTAGTACAGTGCCTGGCAAATATTGAATGAATGAATGAATGAATGAATGAATGAATCTCACTTGCCCTGCTGATGAGGAACAAGGGGTTAGTTCTTTGTGGTTGCTGTGGTAGGGGTGGGAGGCCCCCTTCTTCAGGTCCCACTCCTGGCTGGGACACTGGCATGGCCATTGATCAAGGCCTTGGTCTCACAGAGTGGCAGCCCCACCAGACAGGAGGGGCATAGACTTTGAGAGAGAAGGAAAATCCAAGCCACAGTCCGGATGGCCGATGGGAGGCAAGCCCCCAGCCCTCTCCTATACTCACCTGGTTCATGGTGGGAATAGAGGGCACTAGAGCTGGGCTGGGCTCCGGTGTTAGACATCGGGGGTCTTTGTTCAGCCCCGCCTGCCTTCTGAGCTCCTCTGCACTGGGGACCACATGGTACAGCTGTAGTTTCCCAGCCGGCACATACCCACGATGTCCTAGGGAGCATGCAGAAGGTTAGCA
Source organism: Homo sapiens (assembly GCF_000001405.40). Classification (NCBI taxonomy): domain Eukaryota; kingdom Metazoa; phylum Chordata; class Mammalia; order Primates; family Hominidae; genus Homo; species Homo sapiens. Next base: position 149,628,783 of record NC_000005.10, on the reverse strand, counting down.
GGCTGCGGGCCACCTTCCCGTCCCTTTTAATGAGGGAGAAAATCCATGGATATAAATGTTTCCAACACAGCTTCTCAACACCCAAGAGAACCAAAAGGTCATCTAGGAACCCTGAACCCCCCTGCCCCACACTCACCGTTTCTGGCTTCTGCTCACACACCCCAGTGATGGGGGGCTCATTCCCTACCGGACAGACGACTCCCTTTGATCAGCTATGATAGAGACTAAAAGTTTGTCCCTGGACTGGCATGAAAACTGCTTATCTGATGGAGCCGCCAGCTCCCATGCCCCTCTGGTGTCTGCCCAGAGCAAGAGCTGCTTCCTCTCCCCAGGACTGCCTTTCCTAGGAGGCGGAGACTGCCTTTCTCCTCTCCATGTGAGCCCAGTTCCTTTATGTGTAGCAACTAGTCCAGTGCTGTTCTGATTGCTGTCATTATGAATGGCTATCACTTCCTGAGGGTGTGCCAAACTACAGAGCAAGCATTTCATTACATAGTCTTCACATCACCTCTTGAGGGCAGCCAGTGATATTATCCTCTCCATTTTACGTTCAACCAGCCGAGCTCAGACTGGCTCCATGACTTCCCTGAGATCACACAGTCAGCAAAGTGGTGGAGCTGGAATCCAAATCCAGTCCTCTTGGCCTCGGGGGCCTTGCTTAATACCCGTTCTGTGGTTCCCACCTTAAGTCATGGAAGTGCTGTTTCATGATTTCTGTCTGATTTGTACCGCTTTCTTAATTTTTTAATTGACTCACTTTTTAAAACTTCATCTTGTACTATATACAATAATATGATTATAATCATGGAATTATGGACTACTTATATTTTTTCTAATACACATTAAAATGCTTAAGTAACAATTATAATACACTGTCTGAAGGGGGAAAAACTGTCTGTGGATCCCCTGACAATAATCTCAGGCACCCCTCATATTGTGGGTCACACACCCCTCTTCGGAAGATGCTCTCCTGGGCCATATCACCTGGATTCATGGTGCCACTTCCCTTCAGCCCAGTTACACTGGGGCACCCAGACCTCAGCAGCACTTCCCAAGGCCATGACCAGTATGGAGTGGGCAGGATGATCGCTCCCCTCATTCTGCACATCAGACTTCTGGCGGTGTAGCCAGGGTCCAGGCATTCTATCTCCGTGCCCATCTCCATCTTTCAGGGTGGTCCTGGAGTTCTCTCCATATAGCCCTGTTGACCTCAGTGGTCTGCAAGGCCCTCCAGGCAGGGGCCTTGTCTTATATGCTCAGCGCCCAGCACACCATAGGTGCTTCATGGTAGACCCTGCAACGAATGCCTCAATTCCTCTTGTTGGCTTTTCATGTCCCACGGAGTCACTCTAAACTGACTGTGCCCTGAGCCCTGTGTGTGTCACCTGTGCCTACTCCCATCCTGGAATGCCCAGCCAGACTTTGACCCACAAGAGTGCCCGGGTCTCTGCACCGGCTTCTGTGGGGTGGTTTTCCCCGAAGGAGAAGAAGGGCTCCCAAAGGCTCACGTACCCCCGGTGTCCACCAGCCAGCGGCCGCTGTTGCCTTTGGTGTCCTTGTTTTGAAGGATGGCCACGATTTGGCCCCGAGGCAGAGTCAGGTCCAGAGTCCCAGTCCCACTGATGTTGCTTGTCACCTGGTACAGCTTCCCAGGGCCATACCTGCTCAGGAGAGCCTGCACCTGGCGTTCAGACCCTGGAAGGAGCGGCTGGGAGAGGAGGAGCACAGACAGACACAAGTGCTTGAATAAACCTGTCAAAGCTGGCACCAACATTTGCTCACATTTTGACAGCCAGGAGTACTGGGCCTGATCCTAACTCTGCCACTGAAGGGCCCACCCTGATCAGGGCAACAGGGCCCTCACTAGCAGATGGCTGGCTCTTAGCAGCCTACGGCGTTTTGGAAGAAACTTCTAATTTCTGGGATTCTCTAAAATTCCAATTCAAGTTCTGAAATCTCTCAGTTACTGAACTCCTAGGATTGGGCCCTAAATTCTGCCCATACCGTCAGGGTAAGTTATCCCACAGCAGAATGCCCTGGACAGGTCTTTCAATTCCATTAGAGTGTGAGTTTCATGTGGGCACCAGACCTTATTCATCTGGTTTCTTAAATAGCCAGCCAGGGCCAGCACATGGCGGATTTCACATATGCAGGAACGAGGGCATGTAACCTTTGATTCCATGAGTTTTCAGTCCACAGGCATTTATGGAGCACCTGCCATTTACAGGGCACTGTGGAAAACTTTGAGAATGGTGTAGTAGAAATACAGGAGAGAGTTTTACCTAGACGAAATTGCCATCTAGCTGGAAAGAATGATTCGGTGGCACTTTCAGCTTATCCAAAAATCTCCTGGCATTTCCTGTTTTTCCATTGCATGATACTGCTTCCAGAAGAGTATCAACAAGGAGAGACTCAGGGATGCTTGTCCTCTTTTTGCAAAATCAATAAGAAACTAAATATGTTAAATATATATTTACTCTATGTCTTGAGAGAGGCGTGTGTGTGTGTGTGTGTGTGTGTGTGTGTGTGTGTGTGTGTGTGTTCACCATGCTCTATGTGGTTACTCCTTGTGGGGAGGTGCTGGGTGTGGGGAGGCAGGCAGAGATGCCCTTCAGGAACATTTGGCCACAGACTCTGCCACATCCTTGCCCCAAAGGGGATGGCGTCTCAGGATTTAGAACCAGGAGATCCCAATGTTTCTAAACAGGTCCTTAAACAGGAATGTAGAGACGAGGTAGTTTTCTTTGAGAACAGTGGTGTTGTGGTCATTTCTTTTAGGACAGTGATATGCATGTGAGTATAAGAGCCAGTGGTGTCACAAATGCTGGCCTTCTTTCTCAAGGCTGACCGGCCCTCCCTATGCAGAGAACAGCGTCACCCCTGGGAGGGCCCCCAAGGAGGGCTTGTAAAGATCCCATGAGGGCTGCTTCTGTCCGGGGAGACCACCTCACTTGTGCTGGGTTCTATACCCTCAGCCAAATACATCAGGAATGTGCAGGAGGTTTGTGTGTGTGTGTGTGTGGAGAGGTGGGAGGGTGGGAAGGGGTGACACATTCAAGTGGCTGCTCTGCTGTTTATCCTCTGCACCCGTGCTCTCTCCCCGAGTCTCGGGGCCCACGGCACACCCCTAGTCGGTGAGGTCTCTGCTGGGCAAAACTCTCCATGTAGAGTAAGAGCGGGGACAGATGGGGCCAATGAGGAGTCAGCCTGCAGCCTTGTGGCGGATATCAGGCTGTGAAGGTCTCCCATGTTCGCGGCACTTGGGCCAGGTGTGGGCTACCTTTATCTGTCCTGTTCTGCTGGGCTCCTGTTCTTGTTTCTCTGTGTCCCTGGGGCCCCATTCTCCCTCTGGGGAATCTCAGGGCTGTCTTCTGACTCTTCAGTTCACATGTTGCATGTGAGGGGACAGTTTCAATTTCTCAGATCCAGGTCTTGCCACAGTCTGAGGAGACCCTTCTCCCTACAGCTGCTTCAGTTACTTTTAAAACACAGACTGCCTGGGTACACTTTACAAGTGACTAGAACAGATAACCTCTCCTTATATTTTAAAGGAAAATACATTTTTTAAAAAGCATTTGGGGCCAGGTGTGGTGGCTCACGCCTGTAATTCCAACACTTTGGGAGGCTGAGGCGGGTGGATCACTTGAGATCAGAGGGCAGGAGTTCGAGACCAGCCTGGCCAACATGGTGAAACCCCCTCTCTACTAAAAATACAAAATTAGCCAGGCGTAGTGGTGGGTGCCTGTAATCCCAGCTACTCGGGGGGCTGAGGCAGAAGAATTGCTTGAACCTGAGAGGTGGAGGTTGCAATAAGCCAAGACCACACCACTGCACTCCACCCTGGGCGACAGTGTGAAACTCCATCTCAAAAAAAAAAAAAAAACCCAAAAGCATTTGGTCAGCCAAAGCTTTGTAAACCATCATGCAGCTGAAATACTGTTCTTTGCAATAAAAAATACCACAGCGATAGGAAATTTAAATGACATAATCAAAATTTTTATTTATGTTGAATGCTCATGTTGAAGCTGGCATTAGAAGGCAGGGAAGGAAAAGGATACCTTTGCTTGGCTCACTGCAACCTCTGCCTTCCAGGCTAAAGCAATTCTTCTGCCTCAGCCTCCCAAGTAGCTGGGAGGTGCACACCACCACGCTCAGCTAATTTTTGTATTTTTAGTAGAGACAGGGTTTTGCCATGTTGGCCAGGCTGGTCTCGAACTCTTGGCCTCAAGTGATCCACCCACCTCGGCCTCCCAAAGTGCTGAGATTACAGGTGTGAGCTACTATGCCTGGCCAAGGATACCTTTTGATGACAATTTGAAGAAGTTCTAGGTTTTTGGATGTCAATGCCAGTTGCCCATCATTACGTCTAATTTCACTTAATATTAAAAGGTCTGAGTTTTCTTTTCCTTGACTCAGAAGTTCTGTGCTTTTCTTCTACTTCTTGGATGTAAAGAGTGTGTATGTATCTGGGTGTGTCCCCCCACCCCAGCTCAAATAGAAAGGAGAGAGAAGAGAACATATTTCCATGGATAACAGGAAACATTGGGGGACCAAAAAGGAAAGGAAAGAGGGGATGGATGGAGCCTCACCCTACTGGCCAGTGAAGAACTGGACAGTCTTTGGGGTGGAGGAAGGATGCTTACTTGTGTGGTGGGAGGTGGCTGCACTTTCTCAAAGGTCTCTTGAAAGGAGCGAAGCTGGTTACTCGTCCGGCCCAGTGCGTCCTCCACCAGCTTCCTGAAGGCAGGCTCTGGGACGTGGTGGTGGGGCAGCTAAGTGGGGACAGACACTGTCAACAGAGCTGGGCAAGAGGGGACAATGAGATCCCTGGCTTGCTTTGGGTTTATATTATTTTCAACCCAAGGAGTTCTGAGTGATACTCTGTCCTGAGACCTTGACCCTGTGCAGGATCTCTTGCATTTTCGTCAGACAACCTAGGAGTGAGTGAGATGCCACAGCTTGTCACCAGATTCACAGCTTGTCACCAAACTCATTGTTCTTAGTGCTGACCTAGAGCCTTCCTCCCACCAGGATTCAGGGAGATTGAGGTTTCTGCCTGCAGCCTTTTCCAGGCTCCACAGGGACAGGCCACATGCATGGACCACAGGACACAGATAAGGCAGGCTGGCAGCTGTCACCAGCAGACTCTGATGGACCAATCAGGAAGCGCCCTTACTTTCTGCTTTTATAAACGTGACCACCTCTCTACTGGCATCCCCAAACACTCCCTAGCTCTGCACATCCCAGATTTAATGCAAGGGGTTGGGGGCAGCCCAAGAGAGAAAACCTCTAGGCTACAGGAGAGGGAAAAGATAACCTCATCAGATTTACTCTTCTGCCCTCAAGGAAGAGACAGTTCTTTTACTGATGGTTCAGGCCTAATTCAATTTGCAGAGTGTCTGGGACAGAACTCTGTGAGGGCCAAAAAGAGAAAAAGCTTGCAGTCCCAGTCCCCATGCTTGAGGAGAAACACATTCATGGATTCCTGCAGCAGAAGGCAGGCTCTGAAAAGTACTAAGCACAGTTCCATCCACAGGGCTGCTGGAGTACAGAGGATAGGGAGATGACTTCTCCCCCTCAGGAGATGGGGAGCTCTGAGAGCTTCATGGAGAGACTCATTCATCTGCCACTTGTTTGGGGAGCTCCTACTCTATGCCAGACACTGAAAGTGCTCAGGGACAATGGAGAGGGGCATTCTAAGCTGAGGCAGGTGTCTGTGCAGAGTGGCCACATCCAGCAGCTGTGTGCTGGAGGGGAGGGCTGTGGGCTAGAAAGGTGATGGGGTGGGGAAGGCAAATCTTAGTAGAGTTTTCATGCAAAGAATTGGATGGGGAAAAGCTGAGCTGGAGACTGTGACACACAGGAAACAGTGTGTGATATTAGGAGTATTGAAATTGCTCCCAAGGTGGGACCCAACAGCAATTCAGCTCTCATGTTGACATCTGAGAGCAAGATCTGGAAGCAGTTGGGTGTTCTTTCTTGTATCAACTCCAGTCTTCCAAATTCTAAAATCAAAGTTTGCATTTGGAGGTTTATCCAAACCTCTGTGGAACCTATTTATGCTTTCAGCCGGTAGCTCCTTTTACAGGCTCTTGAGTGTTGTGGTTCAGAGTCCAGGCCCTGGAGCTGAACTGTCAGAGTTCAATGCTTGCTATTAGCCGTGTGGCCCTAGACAAGCTACTTTACCTCTCCGTGCCTTGGCTTCTTTATTTTTAAAATGAGTATAATTATACCTCCTCTGTAGGGTTGTTGTGAGGATTGAATGAGATCATGCATGGAGAGTGCTCCAAACAGGTACATCCTAAATACTCATGAGAAGATGGCTGCTGGAAGTAGTAATAGTAACACCGGCTTGAGACATTTACTCCTTACTGTGTAGAAACGACCTTCTGTCTCTGTCATCAACTTCTAGTACACTCCAGAGATCAGTCCCAAGATCTGCCATTGTATGAGCAAAGCTTCTTCTGCTTCTGAGTTGCAGGACTTGGGAATGGTCTGAAATCTCAGTCCTATCCTTGCTTTCATGGTCTGACTTCACTAACAGAGGGAGACTGGGCATGAGAGAGATCTGGAAGGTTCCCACTGCCTCTTCCTAAGGGCCTGATGACCTGTTTTCAGGCCCATCCTCCCTCCATCCTAGCCCCTACACACAGCTGGCTGATGGGGCTGCAGGGCCTTGCCTGGCTACTCCCCACAGGTGTCCAAGTCTCAGAGGCCTTACCTGGGCCATGCTTCCCTCTGCCCTCTGCAGCACTTGCTTTGCAAGGTCCCTCTGGAGGGTCACGAATGTGCACATGATCTGGCCCAGCCACTGCATGACCAGCTGGTTAAACTGTGGGAGCTCAGCCACTAGCAGCGAGTTGAGTGCCTGGTATGTGTGCCGGGCGGCCTCCTCCTGGTAGGTCACACTGCCCACCTCCAGCAGCTTCTCTTCCACCCGCTCAAAGTCCAGTAGCTTGTCCAGACGCTTCTTGATCAGGTTCTGAGGGCCAAGCAGGGCTTTGGCCAGGCTGCACAGTGGCTGCCACACCAGGCCTTCTAGCCGTTGCTTCTGTGGGGAGACATGAGCGTGGGAGTCGGGAAAGGAGGTGGCAAAGGGCAGGGGCTGTGAGAAGGGGCTTTGGAAGCATGCAGGCCTGGATTCCAGTCTAACTCCCACTGACTAGCTGGGACCTTTAGCATGTTATCTAACTTCTCTGGGCCTCAATCTGCCCATCTGAAAAATGGGGACGATGCATGTAATGAGCTTAACAGAGTGCTTAGCACAGAGTAGGCATTCAATCTTATATAGCACTTTGAATCATTATTATGCAAAGACCTTGAAAAAGTTTTTTGTTTTTTTTTTTGAGACAGGGTCTCACTCTGTCTCCCAGGCTGCAGTGCAGCAATGCAATCACAGCTCACCGCAGCCTACCTGTCAGGCTCAAGCGATCCTCCCACCTTAGCACATGCCACCACACCCAGCTAATTTTATTATTATTATTTTTTGTAGAGACAGGGTCTATGTTGCCCACAGTGGTCTCTAACAACTGGGCTCAAGCAATCCTCCTGCCTTGGCCTCCCAAAGTGCTGGGATTACAGGCATAAGCCACCTTGCCCAGCCTTAGAAAAGATTTTGTATAGAGTGGTGGTCAAGAGTCTTTGGGGCTCAGATCCCAGCTTATCACTGACCATCTGTATAAATGACCCAGGAGGTGACCCCCTCTGAGCCTCAATCTCTCACCTGCAGAATGGGGTTATTCAAAGTAGCCACCCCCAAAACCATATGGTGAGGATTAAATGATGTAAGGAATATAAAGGGCTTAGCATAGAGCCTGGCAGATAGTGAGGCTCAATAAATGTTAGTGGGGGCTATTTTTATCAGGAAAGTGCACTAATAATAATCTCTATGCTGCTGACCACTCAGGAAGATTACAGATGTGGCAATTGTGTAAAGTGCCTGACTTCTTTTTTTGAGAAGGAGTCTCACTCTGTCTCCGGGCTGGAGTGCGGTGGCATGATCTCGGCTCACTGCAACCTCTGCCTCCTGGGTTCAAGCAATTCTCCTGCCTCAGCCTCCTGAGTAGCTGGGACTACAGGTGCACACTGCCATGCCCGGCTAATTTTCTGTATTTTTAGTAGAGACGGGGTTTCATCGTATTGCCCAGGCTGGTCTCAAACTCCTGAGCTCAGGCAATCTGCCTGCCTCGGCCTCCCAAAGTGCTGGGATTACAGGCGTGAGCCACCACGCCTGGCCAAAGTGCCTGACTTCTAAATATTATTCTTGTAAGCTCTACCACCTGCCTAACAAAGAAAGGAGAAAGGAAAGGTTCCACTCACAAATTTCAGGAAGGCCTCAAGGTGAAGGTCTCTTGCCAAATTGCAATACTGCACTGCAGGCCCCTCGGGGATGTCCAGATTGTATTCGTGCGGCCTGAAGTAGAGGAAAGCCTGGACCCAGTACCAAGGAGAAACATCCAATCATGCCTGTCATGGCCATCTTACGCTGGAATCCCCTTCCACCATACCTTGAAGAGGTTTTCCAGGCTCTCTACACACCCCCAATGAGAGGGACACACACAGCTGATTCTATTCTCACACAGCTTAAGTGATTAGAAAGTTCCGCCTTAGACTGAGTCAACATCTTTCTCCTCATTCCAGTGCTTCTTGAACTTCATACATTTACATGCCACCTTTGTGGGGTTTTTTTCTTTTTCTTTTTTTTTTTTTTTGAGACAGAGTCTCACTCTGTCACCCAGGCTGGTGTGCAGTGGCATGATCTTGGCTCATTGCAATCTCTGCCTCCCAGGTTCAAGCAATTCTCCTGCCTCAGCCTCCTGAGTAGCTGGGACTACAGGCGTGTGACACCTTGCCTGGCTAATGTTTTTCGTATTTTTAGTAGACACAAGGTTTCACCATGTTGACCAGGCTGGTCTTGAACTCCTGACCTCAAGTGATCTTCCCGCCTCGGCCTTCCAAAATTCTGGGATTACAGGCGTAAGCCACTGCACCCAGCAGTGCGTTTGTTTTTTCCCATGTCCATATTCCACATGTTCTATTAATACTTTTCTCTAACTTTTCCTATTTACATCAATGCATTAAAAAAATGCCCCATAGCATTTAAATCTTCATTTAATTAGTTGCTCACATTGACGCATCAGGAGATGTCATCAAAAATCTGAAAAATACCTGAATTTCCAGGTGTGTTTTTCTTAAAGTCAGAAGAACTGGGCCCATATTCTCACCCAGCAACAACCCCCCAGAGCTGAGGAATAGCTGCTCCTTTAGATTTGATTCATGTATTCATTCATTCAGCCCTTCAAATTCCAAATATTATTTTATATTTAAGTTCACTGAAAAGTCTCATAAACAGCCTGTTAGACACTAGGCTCCTATTGCATTGGATTGCCTGTTACCTGCACACTTCACTCAGTAGCATTACCTGCCTGGCCCCTTTAGGCACCTGTTTGTCTCCCCTGCTCTAGGTGCTGGTCTGGCAGAGTTGCTCTGCGGGGCTCTGCTTCCAGTGAATTTTGGCCCTATGTGGTAGGAACTCCAATGGGCTCGGAGCTGCCCCCAGTATAATGGCCTGGGGCTGAGGAGTGCTGGCCAGCATTCTCCAGAAGAGATGAGACAGGATGACCTCATCTGGTTGGTTTCTGAGGCTGGTGCCTTTCCCAGCTTGTAGGCTGGGCCCTGCAAGCCTCCTGCCAGGGGAACCCAGCCCAGACTCGCCCTTTATGAACCCTGCAGTGTCCTCACCTGCAGATTGTCCAGGTAAGCAGCCACGTTGTTCTTCAGCTCAGTCACACACAGAGACACCCACTGGAACCTCTCTTCTAAATCATCAAATTCCTTGTCTTCTGTCTGAAAGTAATGTGTGTGAGGGTTGAGAATATCCACATGGGGGCAGTGTACACCGGCTTCAGTGTTCCAGGTCCTCACTGGGACAACCTTTCCACAGACTCGCCCACCAGAGCTGGTTCTCGCAACCCCAAAGCTGAGAGGGTGGTGTAGCTCAGTGGTTTTACATTCAGAGCATGGAATCGGATACACAAGCATGAGCCCCAGTTCATTGGCTTCCTAGCCGTGTGACTCTGGACAAGGGTTTTACCCTCTCGGAGTTTCTGTTTTCTCATGGGGATAGTGGGAACACTTATTTCATTGTGTGAGCATGCTTGGTTTCAGAGCAGGCACTCCACCAACCTGTGCTGCTAGAAGTAGCTATTTAGGGCTGGTCCTTTGCCCAAACCCAGAGACCAGCTCTCCTATCTGTGTAAATAGGCCCCAAAGAGAGTGGCCCAAGACACTGGAGAAACCCCTCCACTGGCTCTTCAGAATCAAGTGGGGTGCCACCTCTGCCTCTTCCCAGCACCTCAATCTCTCAGCCTCCATTGCCTCAGTTCTGAAAGGAGCCTAAGTCCCCTGTCTACCCACTGTGCAGGGCCTGGCCTTGGGGGTGGCTGGATGTGACTCTTCCTCCCAGGCGCACGCTCACCCTGGGGATCAGCCCCGCCTCCTGCTTCAGCAGCTGGCTCAGCCGGGTGGTCTTCTTGGAGAGGGTGTGTGTGTTGATGCGGGCCAGCCGCTCCCGGAGGGTCAGCTGCTCTACCTTGGTGTACTTGGAGGCTGCAACGACAGAGAAGAGGGGAAGCACGGTGATCAAGCCAACTCAGGAAAGTGGATGTCACGGACATGCCCGGCTGGGCACCTGCTTGGGCCCTCTGCTCCATCAGGGTCACATTCATGAGGTTAGTGAGTCACACAGGAAAAGCATAGGGTCCTCTGTCTGAGGTGTGAGCCCTGGCTGAAGAGCTTCCTGCCTGCTTGACTTTGGGAAGTCACCACTCCTTGGGGCCTCAGTTTCCTCATCTGTAAAATGGGACCAGCCACCTCGCAGGATTGCTGGGAGAGTCACCTAAGACAGAGGGTCTGAATGAACTTCCTAAAGAAGAACCCATGGAGGAGAGATTTGCCTGGGGTCCCTCAGCCACTTTGAGCCAGGCCAGCTGGGAGCCACGCTTCCCGGTCCTGACTCAGTGCTTCCTACTGATCTGTCGTAGGATGGAGAAGCAGGTGGGGAGGAAATCCAAAGCTGCTAAATATAGTATAGCATGGTGGTGAAGACTCCAGGCCTGAGTTTGAAACCTGGCTCTGTCCCTTACCAGTTCTGCGACAGGAAGCAAGTGATGCATGCTCTCATTTTACCTGACTGTGAAATGGGGCTAACAGGGCCAACCTCAGAGGGTTAGTGCAAAGACCAAATATGACAATGAAGGAAAAAGCATGGCACAGCTAGCCCTTAGTAAACATTAGCTGAATTGCCATTTTTATGTTGTCTCAGTCATGTAATTGAGTTTCTCTTAACTTGAGACACTGTTTCGTTTTCCAAACCTTTCTGTTTTAATAACCTGAGAGGCAGGCTCCCCAGATATATGCACAGCTCTTTACCTCCCCACTATTGATTTCTCCTCCACAGTGTGGCAGTCATGTGGTTTGGATGAGATTGATCTCACTTTAGCTCAAGGGGTGGATTGCTGACTGATACAAGCCAATTTATATAATTCCAAACCCCTGGCAACAGTGATTAATTCAAAGAAGGGCACATAACCCAGACCTAAGCCAATCAGTTCATGATGCCCTAACTTTGGTGATTAGTTCAAGGTAAGCACATGACCCAGGTGGGTCCTATCAAAGAGAAACTTTGACTTAATTTTTGTGGCTAAGGGGGAAAAAACCCTGCCTTACCCGGGTAAGTGTGGTGTGCAGCTGTGAGTCTTGGAACAGCCACAACTTACTATTATGAGGCAAGCCAGCCTGAAGATGAAGCTGATACAGAGTAAAGAGCAGAGACAAGGGAGTTACAGGGAACTGGAGCCAGCACCCTGATCGAACCCTACCTAAAGCTTGCATTACCTCTGGATTTATAGTTACATAAGCCACTACATTCTCTTTACTGGTGAAGCAGATTTTAGATAAATTTTCTGTAACTGGAAGCATTCCTACTAATGTGTCCCCTTAAATGCCCAAGTCCTTACCCACTTCCTTGCGCATCTTGTACTCATTGATATTGGTGTTCACGTCCTGGAGGGCAGAGACAGCCCTCTGAAGGACAGGATAGGCACTGGCATCAGGGACTGTGTTCTCCAGGATTTTCTGCAGCAGCAGTGGGTACCTGGTGATCCTCTGCAGAGGAATTACCAGCAAGAAACTGAGGCCTGAAGATCCAGCTTGCGGCCTGAGGGAGAAGGCTGGTATTAGGCAGGTAAATCCCACCCTCTGGAGGACCAGGGGGCCTGGGCTGTAGTCCTCACTCTACCATTTAGCTCACTGTGTGATCTCAGGCAAGTCACCCCCTCTCTGCGATCCTCCAGTTCCTCATCTGTAACTTGTGAGTTCTAGATGTTAGGCAGGCAGTGACGGTTCTGGGCCTTGGTTTCCCATCTGTCCCAAATCCAATGTTCAAGCTCTCTGCCCTCAGCTTGCTCGGCCTCTCCACAGCAGACACGACTGACTACACCCTTGCTCTTGAAACACTTTCTTCTTTTGGCTCCAGAGACACCCTCTGTCCTGCTTCTCCTCATACTCTGCAAGCAGCTCTCTCAGCCTCCTCTGCTGGCCTCTCTCCAATGCCGGAGTGCCCTGGGTGTCCTCTCCTCCCTCTCTCTCCACTTTCTCTTAGTGACCTCATTTGGTCCTATGGCTTTAAACACATCCCAAGCCCAGATCTCCACTTCCAACTTCTGTTCCAGAGCTCCAGACTGACACATACAACTAGATCCTTGACATCTCTGCTCAGATATGTCCCGAGCGCAGCTCAACTCTGTGTTGTGTATCCACATGATATCTTATTTAATAGAATGGTCTGCTGCCTTAAAGAAATGTTCGTGTTTTTTTGTTTTGTTTTGTTTTTTGAGACAGAGTCTCACTCTGTCACCAGGCTGGAGTGCAGTGGTGCGATCTCGGCTCACTGCAACCTCTGCCTCCCAGGTTCAAGTGGTTCTCCTGCCTCAGCCTCCCGAGTAGCTGGGATTACAGGTGCACACCACCACGCCCAGCTGATTTTTTTTTATTTTTAGTAGAGACGGGGTTTCACCATGTTGGCCAGGATGGTCTCAATCTCTTGACCTTGTGATTTGCCCGCCTCGGCCTCCCAAAGTGCTGGAATTACAGGTGTGAGCCACCACACCCGACCAAAAAAAATGTTCTTAAAATCACGGGAACTTAATTTTTAGAGATTTATTTAAAGTATTTAGGGGTAAAAAGTCATAATATCTATAATTTCCTTCAAATTAGCATAAAAATAGATAAAGCAAACAGCAAAATGTTAACACTTGTTAATTTTAGGTGGTGGGTATGTATCTATCACATTATAGTATTTTTCTATAGTTTTGAAACTTTTTATGAAAAAAAGTTAAAAAAAATGATTGCTTGAGGCCAGGAGTTCAAGACCAGCCTGGGCAACATAGCATGACCTCTGCTTCAAAAAAAAAAAAAAATTAACTAGGCATGGTGGTGGCTACTCAGGAGGCTAAGGCAGGAGGATTGCTTAAGCCCAGGAGTACGAGGATACACTGAGCTATGATCATGCCACTGTACTCCAGCCTGGGCAACAAAGCAAGACCTCATCTTTTTAAAAAAAGTGAAAACAAAAAAAACTCTGGAACTAATGGTGCCAAGGTCCCTTCCAGATACACCACTGATGCATGGATGACTAGTTATAGTCTCCTTCTTAAGGATGTCTGGAATTTCATCCAGAGTCCCCAAGTCAATAGCATCCGGGAAGGGGCTCCACAGTCTTTTCTTGATTATGACCAGTAGCCCCTAGGCCCAGATTGGAGAAAGCCACAAAGGTTTCAAATCTCAGCCATCTAAGTGTGCCTTCTCCTTGAAGACTCAACCAATGCTGCTCAGGAACTTTCTCTGGGCCCTCCCTGATGATACTCGTGCCTCTGGCTCTCCTTCCTTAGGAAAATCTCCAGACCAAATGTCCAGGAAAGATCAGCCATGAAGCTAAGAATAGGCAGAGCAGGTGGGAGCCCCTCAGAAGCTGCAGGGGGCAGGATTACCCATCAGGAGACGCCTACGCTGGTCATCTGCTCTCACCAAGGGTGTCCTGGGGCTTGGCTGACTGTGGGCAGGGGAGGTGGAAACCACTGCCAGGTATTTGCAAGACTCCATCCTCTGGACTTCCTTTCCATGGGAAAGAGCCAAGTGTCTCCTGGGGACAACTATCGCCTCACAAATTAGAGAGCAAGGGGTCCTGGAAGAGATGACCGCGTACTTTCCTTACAATCATGAAGGAATTACCAAAGAATGAGGGCATCCGCTCACATTTACAGACTTTCTAAGGTAATTTGGACAATACTTTTTTATGCAGCTTTTCAGATAGGCAACAGAAATTGAAAGATGATACACAGAGCTGGGTGAGTGTGGAAAAACAGGTCTTTGTACATTCTCTTGGTGGGAGTATCAACTGGCAAGATCTTGGAGAGGCAGAGGAGTTTGGCAATTTGTAAAGGGTACAAACCCTTTCTTCCATCAATCCCATCCTAGAAATATACCCACAAAAATCCAAACCCAAGTGAGCAAAGATAAAGGTACAAGTTGTTCAGTGACTCTATTTGAGTTAGTAAATAATTGGAAACAACCCAAATATGCTTCAATAGAGGAATGGCCAATAAACCATAGTCTAAGAACAGTCCAGGAAAGAAACTCTGCAGCCATTAAAAAAAACACTGTGCTGGGCGCAGTGGCTCATGCTTGTAATCCTAGCCCTTTGGGAAGCCAAGGTGGGCAGATTTCTTGAGTCCAGGAGTTGGAGACCAGCCTGGGCAACATAGAGAAACCCTGTCTCTACAAAAATACAAAAAATGAGTCAGGTGTGGTGGCACACACCTGTAGTCCAAACTACTCAGGAGGCTGAGGTAGGAGGATCCCCTGAGCCTGGGAGGTCAAGGCTGCAGTGAGCTGAGATTACACCACTGTACTCCAGCCTGGGTGACAGAGTGAGACCTTGTCTCAAAAAAAAAAAAAAAAAGAAAACACTGTAGAAATATCAATATCCATGCTGTCCTGAAAAGATATTCATTACTATGGTTAAGCATAAATGTAAGTTCTAGAACAGCATGTATAGAAGCAGCCTCATAAAAATTCTATCAGACGGGCGCCGTGGCTCACGCCTGTAATCCCAGCACTTTGGGAGGTCAAGACTGGCAGATCACGAGGTCAAGAAATCAAGACGATCCTGGCCAACATGGTGAAACCCTGTCTGTACTAAAAATACAAAAATTAGCCGGGCGTGGTGGCGCACTCCTGTAGTCCCAGCTACTCGGGAGGCTGAGGAAGGAGAATCGCTTGAACCCCGGAGGCAGAGGTTGCAGTGAGCTGAGATTGCACCACTGCACTCCAGCCTGAGTGACAGAGCAAAACTCCGTCTCAAAAAAAAAAAAAAATTCTATCTATCTAACCATCTATCTGTCTGTCCATCTATGTGTCTCTCTATCTATAAATATACAGTAGAAAATTTGGATGGAAAACATTACTAGTGGAATGGATTTTTACTTTTTACTTTATATACTTGTGTTATTGGAACTTTCCTTTTGTTCAATAAGCATATGTTGCTTTTATATTTAAAACAAACACACCTAGCTGATAAAGGAAAACAAAGAAGGTTATCTGCCTTCTCCAAACTCTGCTGCCTCAGCCATCATTCTGGAATTGCAGTGCTTTGTGCTGGACGGGCCCACCTCTGCAAGGCCGCCTTTTCCACCCTGACAGCTCTACCATTAGGACAGTCCTACCTAGGGCAGAGCTTCCTGCCCACTGCAAAGGTGAGTTTTTTTATTCCCTTGGCTCTCAGATGGGAAGAGTTGCCTTAAAAGACAGAATGAACATCCTACCCAAATAAAGGGTGGGGTCAGCGTGCATTTTGGAATCCCAAGGAATCTAATAACCTGGTGCCATCTATCATAGCAGACTGAGAAAGAACTAGTTATGGCTGGCGTGGTGATTATTATTGGCCAGGCTCTGGAAAGTAATGCCGCAGGCATTTAACGGGCAGGGACAGGACCAGGTACACTGGATGTCTTGCAAGGACAGTCCTGAACTACAGAGAATTGTTCCATGTCTCATATGTCCCCCTGAACATTCAGAAACTGAACAAAGGCCTCGAAATGTGTTACACTTCTAAGAACCTAAATATGTTTGTCACACTTGGACTCTATCCAGTCATATATCATAATACTGGGAATTACTATGACACTATCTTTTATAAATCCCAATTTCAACGGTGTTATTTCCTTCTTTCTCTTATCATAAATAAGAAAGTCAGGTTTAGGCCAGGCGCCATGGCTCACGCCTGTAATCCCAGCACTCTGGGAGGCCGAGGTGGGCGGATCACGAGGTCAGGAGATGGAGACCATCCTGGCTAACACGGTGAAACCCCATCTCTACTAAAAATACAAAAAATTAGCCGGGCGTGGTGGCCGGCGCCTGTAGTCCCAGCTACTCGGGAGGCTGAGGCAGGAGAATGGCGTGAACCCGGGAGACGGAGGTTGCAGTGGGCCGAGATCGCGCCACTGCACTCCAGCCTGGGCGACAGAGCGAGACTCCATCTCAAAAAAAAGAGAAAGTCAGGTTTATTGTCACTGTCAGTTGCTATTCTAGGGTAAACACATTCTGTGCCCTTTCATTTTTCTGTACTTTTTGTACAGAACAGCTTCAGATATCTCTTTCTTTAAATCCAAACTTATTTATTACAAGTAGCTGCAAGCATCTGATGGCTTCCTTATATCTTTTAGTAGTGGTGTCCAAGCATATGCACACTAAACTATATAGCATTTTATTGGAAATTATTTTCCTTTTATTTCTCCTTTCTTAGTGAAGCCATTATACTGATTTTTTTCAGTTACATATATAGGTAGAAGAGATATATTTATTTATACATATATTTCAGGATATGTCTTAGGATAGTAAATGTATGTAATATTTGTTATAACAAGGGAGCATGGCACTGATAAAATTGAGAACTACAGTGTGGTCTCAGAGAAAATAGAATCCCTGCCTAGCCGAGATAACTATAATACGTGAGATTCATTGAGTGTCACTCGTGTGCAATGAATCAATGCCCCATGCGGGGCTGTTATTCCTCCCACCTTACACATAAGGAAACTAGATCCTGAGACATAAGATGGCTCTCTCATGGCCAGGGGCCAAGCCACATCCACCACCATGGAGCTCGGCTACAGAGCCCATGAGCAAAGCCCAGCTGGCCTGGCTAGGAAAGACCAAAGTGCAGAGGATGTAATAAACAGCAGCCTCTGAGCAAACTAGGGCTCCCACACACAGTGTTTATTAAATGTCTGAGCTAGATGCCAGCACTGAACTCTTGAGAGATGTTACATCTAAGTTTCTGGCGTCTCTTAAAAAAGCAGAGGCTCTGGCCACAACAGACCCTCATTTCTACATGGCAGCTGAGGCAGATGGTTTGCAAAAACATCACTGCTATTATTCCTCCCCCAATCTCTACAAGCCTTTGTCACTATGAAGCTCCTGCTACCAAGAAATGCAGTTTATTTCCCCACCCCTTGAGTATGGGCTGGCCTTAGGACTTCATTTGAATGACAATGTGCCAGTTCCCAGCTAAGACCTCTAGATGCCAAGCCCTCCCCACAGCCCTTAGAACCATGAGACCATGATGTGAATAAGCTAGCAGGCGGGAAGAGGAGAGACCATAGGACCACAGGTGAGGCAGCTCATGTGTCCCAGATACATGAAAAAACCCAGCCAGGATCAGCAAAGCTGACCTGCAGGTGACTGCAGATATTTGAGGGTGCTAATGATTCCAGGAGAACATTTACTGAGTACACCTAAATTGCTAATATGCAGAAGTATGAGCTAAATAAATGTTTGTTTCAAGCCACTACATTTTGGGGGTGATTTGTTATCTAGCAAAAGCCACTTGATAGCAGCAATTAGCTAAGGCTGTCCTGCAGCTGCACGCTACACAGGGTCTGTTGTCTCTAGTGTGCGCAGCCTCCACTTCTCCCTTTTATCTCATCTCTGGCACCTTGCTTCCCTTTATATCTGTAAACTGTAGAAATATATTTTGTGACTCTTGCAGAAGCCTGTTTGTAAGACCCATGAAGGATGAATAAAAAGGGAAAATGAATACAGTTTTTTTGGGAGCAGAGAGGGGCTAGGACACGGGTTCTTGAAAAGGAGACTTTAGGCCTGGCATGGTGGCTCACGCCTGTTGTCCCAGCACTGTAGATATTTTTTACTGTAAAAAATACAGCCAGCCAGATATTTTTTACTGTAAAAATTTTGATGTTTTAAAGTTTTTTAATCTTATAATCACGTTACCCATTCGAAAATTTAAATTCGAATACATATTCTCTACATTTTTCTACCTGAGGCTTCTACCCATTGGTGCTAATTCTAAGCTATGAGTCCACCACGGACTGGTGATACTCTCCCTTTTCCATGTGGCAGGACTTCAGCCACCGGTAGAGAGGGAGCCTCAGGTGATACACACCTGCTTCTTATCACTATGGGAACACATGGGTCCCACCATCTCACTGCCCTTTCCTGTGCTTCTCATGAGCACTGTTCCCAAACGTTTCCGCTTCTCCAACCCTGGACATGTGGTAGGATGGCATGCCCTGCCTCCTGGCTGTTGAATGAAGCTATGATTAGTCCTGGCCAATGAATTACGAGAAGTGATTAATATTATTTCTGGCCCACAGCATTCAATTGCCAGCATTAGACTCTCCAGAGCTCTTTTTACTTAAGCCACAGTTACTGGCAATATTCCAGACAGTGGCTGCTGTGAGTTTGGGTGCCGAAGTGAGGATGACAAAGAGCAGAACCCCAAGTCAGCCTTCAGTGGAGCATAAGGAAGACATAAACCTTTGTTGTTTGAAACCACTGAGATGTGGGAGCTGTTTGTCTCTGTGGCACAGCCTGCCCTATCCTGACTAACACAGGCTCTGACAGAGCAACACTCGTGAAGCAGCACGAATGGCATGAAAAAGGGGTGAGACCATAGCTGCTCCTGAACCGGGTCAGTGGGGTAGGAGCGAGTGCTCACTGGCCGTTCTACTCACACCACCGCCTCAACGATGCCCTGGATGTGCCGCTGCAGCTCCGGCTCCTTCCGGTACGTGTCCACCAGTAGCAAGGCCTGGTCGTAGCTGGCACAGTAGACCTTATAGACTTGCTCCAACTCCTCTTGGAATTCCAGAAATATGTTACCTGAGAGTGAAGACGCAACAAGG
The DNA here is from genome assembly GCF_000001405.40 of Homo sapiens. Lineage (NCBI taxonomy): Eukaryota > Metazoa > Chordata > Mammalia > Primates > Hominidae > Homo > Homo sapiens. The sequence goes on along the minus strand of NC_000005.10, from coordinate 149,609,524 downwards.
GGTCGTCAAGGGCATGTCTGTGTGTCCCCTAGCTTGGAACAGGGAGGCAGTAAGTAAACCCCTCCAGCTCTCCAGTGAGATTGCTGGGTTTACCAGCATGTCACCATGGGCAAATGACCTCATCTTCCTGACTTTCTGTTTTTTTCATCTTTTCACAAGGTTGTTCTGAGGATTGAGTGACAGAATGATATACATCTTAGGCTAGGAAACTGTGAGCACTTACTAAATGGTAGCTATAGTCATACCAGGAATATTAATAATGCTCACATTTGGACAGTGCTTTATAGTACACAAAATACACTCAACCATTAGCTTGTTTTTTTGTTTTTTTGTTTCTTTTGAGATAGAGTCTTGCTCTTGTCCCCCAGGCTGGAGTGTGGTGGCGCAATCTCTACTCACTGCAACCTCTGCCTCCCAGGTTCATGCCATTCTCTGCCTCAGCCTCCTGAGTAGCTGGGATTACAGGCTCATGCTACCATGCCTGGCTAATTTTTGTATGTTTAGTGGAGATGGGGTTTCACCATGTTGGCCAGGCTGGTCTTGAATTCCTGACCTCAGGTGACCCACCCACCTCGGCCTCCCAAAGTGCTGGGATTACAGCTGTGAGCCACCACTCCTGGCCACTCATTTTATCTTTATAATTAAAGATAAAATGTGTGGCAAGCACAACAAATCCCCAATTTACAAAGACATGCTACAGCATAACACAACTGGTTACAGTGTGAGCTTGGATTCCAGGGAACTAGGGACAGATCTCCAGCAACCCTTCCCCAGTTGTGTAACCTGAGGCAAGTGTTTCACTCCTCTAGCTCTCTATTTTCTCATCTATGGAATGCAAATAGAAACAGTACTTACTGCCGGGTGTGGTGGGTCACGCCTATAATCCCAGCACTTTGCAGGCCAAGACGGGTGGATCACGAGGTCAGGAGTTCCAGACCAGCCTGGCTAACATGGTAAAACCCTGCCTTTACTAAAAATACAAAAATTAGCCGGGTGTGATGGTGTGCCCTTGTAGTCCCAGCTACTCTTGGGAGGCTGAGGGAGGAGAATTGCTTGAACCTGGGAGGCGGAGGTTGCAGTGAGCTGAGATCGCGCCACTGCACTCCAGCCTGCACAACAGAGCAAGACACCATCTCAAAAAAAAAAAAATTTGTTTGCATATTTGTTATTTTTAATCGCCATCCTCATATGTCATATTACATATGTAATATATTTATTATATATGTCATATTACATATGTAATATATTTATTATATATGTCAGGCCTCTGAGCACAAGCTAAGCCATCATATCCCCAGTGACCTGCACGTATACATCCAGATGGCCTGAAGCAACTGAAGATCCACAGAAGTGAAAATAGCTTAACTGATGACATTCCACCATTGTGATTTGTTTCTGCCCCACCCTAACTGATCAATGTTTTTTATAATCTCCCCCATCCTTAAGAGGTTTCTTTAGGCCGGGCCCGGTGGCTCATGCCTGTAATCCCAGCACTGTGGGAGGCCCAGATGGGTGGATCACAAGATCAGGAGATTGAGACCATCCTGGCTAACACAATGAAATCCCGTCTCTACTAAAAATACAAAAAAAATTTGCCAGGCATGGTGGCGGGCACCTGTAGTCCCAGCTACTCGGGAGGCTGAGGCAGGAGAATGGCGTGAACCCAGGAGGCGGAGCTTGCAGTAAGCTGAGATCGTGCCACTGCACTCACTCCAGCCTGGGTGACAGAGCAAGACTCCATCTCAAAAAAAAAAAAAAAAAAAAAAAAAGAAGTTTCTTTATAATTCTCCCCACCGTTGAGAATGTACTTTGTGAGATCCACCCCCTGCCCCCAAAACATTGCTCTTAACTCCACCGCCTATCCCAAAACCTGTAAGAACCAATGATAATCCCACCACCCTTTGCTGACTCCTTTTTCGGACTCAGCCCGCCTGCACCCAGGTGAAATAAAGAGCCTTGTTGCTCACACAAATCCTGTTTGGTGGTCTCTTCACATGGATGCGTGAGACAATACACATATGATAAGTGCCATGAATTAAAACGGAGCCAAATAAAGAGTTAGAAAATGGTGGGGGATGTACTTGGGGAAGGCCTTTCGCAAGATGTGAATGTCTACCAGAGAGGCAGAGGTAACTAGTCCTGGGAACAAGCAAGGGAAGAGCAGCACCAAGTATTAGGGAAGGACACCTGCAGAGGCCCTGAGGCAGGACAGTGCTGGCCACAAGGGCAACAGCAAGAAGGCAAGTGTGGCTGGAGTAGGTGAACAAGGGCATAAAGTAGAGGAAATAAATCTCCAGGTGGATGGTGTCAAAAAATAAAACAGGTTGGGTGCTATGGCTCATGCCTGAAATCCCAGCATTCTGGGAGGCCAAGGCGGGTGGATCACTTGAGGCCAGGAGTTTGAGACCAGCCTGGCCAACATAGCGAAACCCCGTCTCTACTAAAAAAATACAAAAATTAGCCAGGAGTGGTGGCAGGTGCCTCAGGAGGCTGAGGCAGGAGAACTGCTTGAACCCTGGAGGCAGAGGTAGCAGTGAGCTGAGATTGCACCACTGCACTCCAGCCTGGGCGACAGAGCAAGACTGTCTCAAAAAATCAATTAATTAAAAAATAAAAATAAAGTAGAGGAAATAAGCAGGAAACAGAAGCCAGATCATGTAGGGTCTTAAAGTAAGTGGAGTGCAGTAAGGGATTCAGGTTTTATTCTGATGGTTGCAGGAAGCAACTGGAGGCCTTTGAGCAACGGTGACATGATCTGATTTCTGCTTAAAAGGATCACACTGGTGCTCAATTTTAGCATCATATACGCTAAAGTTGGAACAATATAGAGATTAGCATGGCGCCTCTGCAAAAATGACATGCAAATTTGCGAAGCGTTCCATACTTTCAAATCAGAAACTAATGAGATTAGTTACCTACAGAGGGTGGACGGACTTGAGAGGAAGTGGTGAGGGTGAAGAAAAATATATTAACCACAAGAAGGCAGGTGGGGAACCAGGGACCACAGGAAGCCCAGCTGACCCTACTGCCTGCCAAAGCCATGGGCTAGACCTGTGACCCAGACAAGGTCTGTGTTGGGACACATCAGCTGGTGGCCAGAGGTGCATGGTCCAGTTCTCAGCAAAGATCCCCATGGGGAGATCGCAGTCCCAGGGCCTACCCTTTCCCGGTGTTGGTTCAGCTGATGCCTAGCAAGAACTCCCAGGAGAAGCCCCTAGAGCCAGACAGAACATGACCACCCGAAACTGCAGCCAGGAAGAAGCTGTGTGAGAGAGAGATCAGCCAACTGCAGAGACGGCCTGGCTAAGAGATAGCTTGGGTGTGGCCGTGAAACCTAGGCCGGTTCCCACAGTCTCCTCAACATGGGTGTGTCCTCAGAAATGAGACAGACATGCCAAGGAAACTGTGTCATACCAGTGTGGCCAGAGGCAAGGGTGTTTCAGTAACTAAAGGATGGAGGAAAGTGAACTCCCACAGAACAGAGTGGTCCAAAGAGGCAAGAATGGCAATTACACCAAAGGAAAGGCTTGTTTCCTCCCTGCTTGTCCTTCTCCAGTCACAGATTAGCAAACAATTTATTCCTAGCATAAAAGGGGATACTCATCTCTAGCTGGGATTAGTTGGAAAGGAGAGAAAGGGAGGCAGCATGGTCAAGACCTAGGGCTCTAGAAGAGCTGGGTTCAAATACTAACTCTGCCTGGTCAAGCTGTGTGACCTTGGGAATGTTACTTAGCCTCTCTGAGCCTCAGAGACGTTTTTGGTAAAATGGAGGTTATTAATAATAATCAACAAGTAACGATGTTATGAGAACTCAAAGAGCTCCTTCAGGTTAAGTACTTGGCATCATTGTTGGCACAGAGATGGATACTATTTTCATGATCATTTTAAGGTGGCAGTAACTGGGACTCAGAAAGGAAAGAGCTTGTGGGTGGCAGGGACTTGTTAGTCAGATTCCAAAGCTCCTGCGGTAACCTAGACCTTCAATGCTCAAATACAGTAGTCACCAGCCACACGTGGCTATTGGGCACTTGAAATATGATGAACCCCAAATGCGATGTGCTGTCAGTGTAAAAGATACTGGATTTCAAAGACTTCATACAAAACAAAAGTAATGAATGATGAATGTTTATACTGATTACATGTTAAAATATTATTTTGGATCTATTGAGTTAAATAAAAGATATCATTAAAATTAATTCCAGTTGCTTCTTTAATTTTCTTAATGTAGCTACTTGAAAATTTAAAAAATTTGCAGCTAACGTTATATTTCTTTTTTTCTTTTCTTTTTTTTTTTTTTTGAGATGCAGTCTTGCTCTGTTGCCCAGGCTGCAGTGCAGTGGCACAATCTCGGCTCACTGCCACCTCCACCTCCTGGGTTCAAGCAATTCTCCTGCCACAGCCTCCCAAGTAGCTGAGATTACAGGCACCCACCAACACGCCCGACTAATTTTTGTATTTTTAGTAGAGGTGGGGTTTCACTATGTTGGCCAAGCTGGTCTCGAACTCCTGACCTCAGGTGATCTATCTGCCTCAGCCTCCCAAAGTGCTGGGATTACAGGCGTGAGCCACCATGCCCAGTCTCCCAAAAATCTTTCAAAATGCTGTTGCTGGGCCAAGAGTTTGCAACCAGCCTGGCCAACATGGCGAAACCCAGTCTCTACTAAAAATACAAAAATTAGCCGGGCGTGGTGGCGCACGCCTGTAATCCCAGCTACCTGGCAGGCTGAGACATGAGAATCGCTTGAACCCAGGAGGCAGAGGTTGCAGTGAGCTAAGATTGCACCACTGTACTCCAGCCTGGGCGACAGAGAGAGATTCTGTCTCAAAAAAAAAAAAAAAAAAAAAAAATGGTGTTGCTGCCTTACTGGGAAAAGGGCTCTCCTTGCATAGCAAGGCCTAGGGGCTAGAAGGGGAATAGAGAGACAGCAGGCAAGAGCCAGAGCAGCCTGGCCTGGCACACAGTTGCACTGAGGAGAAGAAAAGCCATGTGGGTTATTTGGGCCTCTTTTTGGCAACCACAAGAGACAAGGGATGAGGAGGATATTTTCTGCAGACTCTGTAAAGGCCAGGGAACAGGACTGCCAAAGTTGCAGGGGAGAGAGGAATACAGGATGCTCTGTTAAATTTGAATTTTAGATAAACAATGAATAATTTTTTAGCGTAAGTAAGTCCCATGCAACATTTGGGATATACTTATACTAAAAAATTATTCATTGTTTATCTGAAATACAAATTTAACTGATCATCCCATATTTTAACTGGAAACCCTACAGTGAAGCAGTGAGGGCAGTCCATGGACCTATCACCAGGTGTGATCAGGAGACGAAGTAACATTTTGGCTCTGTGGCTCCAGCACAAAGGCAGACTGAGAAATGAAGACCTTTACAAGGAACCTCACCAAACCTCAAACATGTAGCTATAGAAGAGCCCGAGCTCAAAGTCCTTAGACCCTTAGAATGTTTTCAGCCTGAGGCTATATCAATTTCCATTCAAATAAGTGTTAATTATTAACCAAAATAATGATCAAATGATAAAAGAGAAGTACCTGTGAGAACATCTATAGGTACTTTTTAAATTTTTTTTATTTTTGAGACAGAGTCTCACTCTGTCACCCAGGCTGGAGTACACTGGCACGATCTCAGCTCCCTGCAACCTCCGCCTCCCGGGTTCAAGCGATTCTCGTGCCTCAGACTCCTGCATAGCTGGGATTACAAGTGTGTGCCACCACATCTGGCTAATTTTTGTATTTTTAGTAGAGACGGGGTTTCACCATGTTGGCCTGGGTGATCTCGAACTCTTGACCTCAGGTGATTTGCCCACCTTAGCTTCCCAAAGTGCTGGGATTATAGGGATGAGTCACCATGGCTGGCCTACAGGTGCTTTTTAAAATCTTGTTCTTTAATTTTGCATTCCTTTATCATTTGTAGGGAATAGTAACTCACATTGCTATTTTACTAAAGAACTATATTTTCAGAGGAATGATAAACACACAGTATACAGGCTTTAAGTCTCACCTTCTACCATGCAGAAGCAATTCAGTGTAGCAGTTAAGAGCTCTGACTCTCAGGGCCAACTACCTGCATTCAAATCCTGGCTCTGCCCCTAGCTGCGTGACTAAGCAGGTTATTGCCTCTCTCTGTGCCAAAGATTCCTCAACTGTAAAATGAGATAATGGTATCTACATTTCAGGGTTATTTTGAGATGAAGTGAATTAATATATGTACATAAGAACAGTGCTTAGCGTTTTGTAAACACTCAGAAAGTAGGTTTTTAAGATTTGTTTGCGTATTTAGGCCAGGCACGGTGGCTCACACCTGTAATCCCAGCACTTTGGGAGGCTGAGGTGGGCGGATCACCTGAGGTCAGGAGCTCGAGACCAGCCTGGCCAACATGGTGAAACCCTATCTCTACTAAAAATACAAAAATTAACCGGGTGTGGTGGCGGGCGCCTGTAATCCCAGCTACTCAGGAGGTTGAGGCAGGAGAATCGCTTGAACCTAGGAGGCAGAGGTTGCAGTGAGCCGAGATCATGCCATCGCACTCCAGCCTGGGTGACAGAGCGAGACTCCATCTCAAAAAAAAATAAAACTTTTTTTTGCATATTTGTTGTTTTTAATCTGCATCCTCATCATTCGTGTTCAGGAAAGGTTAGAAGATTGGTGGTGTAAAAGGGGACTTGGGTGGCCACAGTACTGGGTACCTTCATCTCCTCCTCCTTTCTGCCACTGTAGTGAATCTGACACCCACCCATTCACCTATATCTCCTGACTCCACTAGGAAATCCCTCACCATGGGAATCCTGGCAGCAGATGGGATGAGACAGAAGGAGACAGGTATGAGGTTTGGACCCACTCCTCCTTTCTTTCTGCTGTGCTCATCCTAACCATTTCAGAATAAGAAGACTATCCTCCTCAGGAGGCTGAGGCAGGAGGGTCCTTGAGGCTGGAAGGTAGAGGCTGCAGTGAGCCATGATTGCTCCATTGCACTCTAGACTGGGCAACAGAGTGAGATCCCGTCTCAAAAAAAAAAAAATTAAACCAAAGGAGACTATCCTCATTTCTCATCTGGGCCACAGTAAAGCCCCCAACTGATCTCGCTGCTTCCACTCTCACCACCCCCTCATAATCCATTGTCCACAGCAGCTGAAGAGATCTTTGAAAAACATAAATCAGCTGGGCACAGTGGCTCACGCCTGTAATCCCAGCACCTTGGGAGGCCAAGGCAGGTGGATCAAGAGGTCATGAGTTCAAGACAAGTCTGACCAATACGGTGAAACCCTGTCTCTACTAAAAATACAAAAAGTAACCAGGCATGGTGGCGCACGCTTGTAGTCTCAGCTACTCGGGAGGCTGAGGCAGGAGAATTGCTTGAACCCAGGAGGCGGAGGTTGCAGTGAGCCGAGATCATGCCGCTGCACTCGAGCCTGGGCGACAGAGTGAGACTCCGTCTCAAAAAAAAAAAAAAAGAAAGAAAAGAAAAACATAAATCAAACCGTGTCACTTCCCCACTCAAAACTGTCCAGTGGCTCCCCATCACAGTTAGAATAAACTCCAAACTCCTTGCCATGACCTATAAAGCTGTGCATGATCTGGTCCTTGCGTGCCTCTTCTATTTTATCCCCAACAGTCTCCCCTCACTAATTTCCCTGGAGCCACATCAACCTTCCGTCTGTCCTTTAAACATTCTGGACTCATCCTTGCCTCAGGGCCTTTGCACAACTATGCTCTCTACTCTCCCTTCAGATATTCTCAAGGCTAGCTCCTTCCTGACACTCAGATCTCAGCTCACATGTTCCCTCCTCCAGAGGCCTTCCCTCACACCCAGAAGTTACCATGACTATTTATTTCCTTTAAATTACAAATTATTACCTACAATTCTGTTGTTTGTCTATCTTCTGTCTCTGTCACTAACTTGTCAACCCCATGAGAATAGAAGCTCAGACTCTCTCGTTGATGCTGTGCCTGCACACTGCAGGTGCTCATTAAATAACCGTTGGATGAATGAATGTGAAAGAGACACAGACTAAAGATTTAGCTGCATCACTAACAATTCCGTGACTGTAAGCATGTTCCTCTCTGTCTCTGGGGCTCGGTCTCTGTAAAGCAATGGGACTGGACTAGTTGTTATTTGAGGGCCCTGCTGGCTCTGATATGTTGTGTTTTGGAGATCCCCAAAACAGACTGCCGTTGAGCTGCATTTCTCTGGAACTCTGGAGACAGTTAAGCAGTGACCACTCGCTGAGAACAGTTCCATGAGAATCTAAGGCTGACAACTCCTTAGGTTTTTTGCTTACCAACTAGCTGCACTTGTTCCTCTTCCTTGGAGGCTGTCTCCTGCAGATCATGGAGGAATCTGCTGTTCACTTTGATGATATCATCAATGTTTGAGAACAGGACATCCAGATCTCCCTGCGGCAACTGGAAGGAACAAAGAAGCCATGAGAGGTGGTTGGGAGTTCCATAGAATGTATTTGCAGGCTTTTGAGAGTAGGACAGAACACTCACACCATTCCCATCACTCCTGAGAAGATTGGCTGCCCCAGTGGAATTTTGCAAGGATTTTGAAACGTTATAAATTAGGTATTTTCAGGCCAGGCGCAGTGGCTCACGCCTGTAATCCCAGCACGTTGGGGAGATGAGGCGGGTGGATCATGAGGTCAGGAGTTCAAGACCAGCCTGGCCAAGATGGTGAAACCCATCTCTACTAAAAATACAAAAATTAGCTCGGCATGGTGGTGGGTGCTTGTAATCCCAGCTACTCGGGAGGCTGAGGTAGACAATTGCTTGAACCTGGGAGGTGGAGGTTGCAGTGAGCCGAGATCGTGCCACTGCACTCCAGCCTGGGCGACAGAGCGAGACTCCATCTCAAAAAAAAAAAAAATTAGGTATTTTCATTACTCTACAAGAAGAGAGGAACAGACGGAGTACTCAGTGGGGAAGAAAAGCTGAACCGGGGTTTTAGCCTAGGTCTGCTGCCAGCTAGCTTCTCTCAGTTTCCCCATCTGTCATTGAAGGGTGAGAAGTTAGACTTCTTTCCACCTCTGACATACTTGGCACCTACCACCATGACCTCAAGATGCATTCTCTGGCCCCTATTAACCAGGCTATACCACTGTTTAAAAAGATGCAGGACATCTATATAAATGCACAAGCATGGAAGGATGTGCTGGACACACATTCAAGTGGGAAAGCTAACTGAAGAACAATATCTAGAGTCTGCTCTTGTTTCTGTTAAAATAAATAACAACATATACAGTCACGCACTGCATAATAACATTTTAATCAATGATAAACTGCATATACCAGGGTGATCTCATAGGATTATAATATCATATTTTTACTGTACCTTTTCTGTGTTTAGATACATAAATACTATTGTGCTGCATTTGCCTGTAGTATTCAGGACAGTGACATGCTGAACACACTTATAGCCTAGGAGCAATAGGCCATACCATCCAGTCTAGGTGTGTAGTAGGCTATATCATCTAGGTTTGTATTAGTGCACTCTATGATGTTCACACATGATGAAATTGCCTCACTATGCATTCCTCAAAACATATCCCTGGTGTTAAGTGACATAAGACTGTATTTGCTTGTTTAATGCCTATAGAGAAAAATCCCAATTTCTGGAGGGTAAAATAAAAGAAGTACTTCACTTTCTACATTATCTACATTGGTATTTCATTCAATGAAGAAAGACTAATTTTAAGTCTGTTATTTATGTGTCAAGACTGGGATATAATCAACTTAACAAAATATTTGCCCTTATGGAGTTCAAATGCTAGGGGATGCTTGAAACGTAGCAAGCAAGAGCCTGCATTATTTCTGAAACCCAAAAAAGAAAATGTAAAAAATAAGCACTGTAATAGTAACTCTCACAGTGCTAATTTCTCCATGTCACCACCCTGCAAATGAGACAGTTAGAATGTAGGTCATGGCTCGGTGTGGTGGCATGTGCTTGTAATCCTAGCTAATCAGGAGGCTGACTTCGGAGGGTGAGATGGGAGGATCACTTGAGCCTGGGAGTTTGAGACCAGTCTGGGCAATGTAGTGAGACCCTGTCTCCTGTAAATAAATAAATAAATAAATAAGTTTGCCTTGGGCTTTCCTGGGTGAGCCGAGCCTTGCCCTGGCCTTTTGGGTTCCCCTGCCTGAGGGCCTGCAGGGGCTGTGGTTGGAGACCTGAGGAGGGGACAGAGCCCAGCCCCTCTCCTGTGGCTGAGCAGGCCTCTGTGTCCATGACACCTGTCTTCGGGGGCCTGGGGGCTGTGGGCGTATGTCCTCCCTGCTGGCTCCCCCAGCCCCTGCTGCTTGATGCTCTTGGAACTCTTCCCTAAGGAGTCAGTCCCCTAGAGGCCTATCAGGGAATCCTTTTGTATCTGCACTTTGGGTTTTAGTTTCAAAGCTCCATCAGGTACAGCTCACGTTTCAGGATGTGTGGAAAGCTTGAGTGAGGGCTCCCCTGGTTTGTCCTAGTTCCACCTTCCTTAGAGGGAGAAGGCTGTTGCAGACCCCCATCCATGCCACACCAGCTCAGCACTGCACATCTCAAGGTGATTCCCAAGACAGCTGGTGCCTCCTGGCCTTCCTGCACCAGGCCAAGGGGCACCTCAGAGGATGCTGGATCCTTTGCCTCTTCTTGATTGAGGGATCTCTCTATATATGAATGTGTGTATATAAATATAAATATACATATATATATACACACACACACACATATATATATCTATATATCTATATCTATATATCTATATCTATATCTATATCTATATATAGATATATATATATGAGATTTATTTTTTCTGGAATTCTGTTAGAAAAGTAAAGAAAAAGCAAATGCTATTGATTTATCTCAGGGTACCCAAAGAGGTTGTAGTCAATTTTTGGTACTAGGAAAGGCAGCAAATGCATTTCCTGACTTTTAAGCATTTCCTTGTTGGAAGCCATAGAGGGCCAGGCCAAGTCGCTGACAGTGACTTTGTGATCGAATAAAGAGACCCTTGAAGGGGAAGCAGGAAAAAAAGAAGAAGAGGAGGAAGAAGAAGAAGAGGAAAAAGAAAGAAGAGGAAGAAGAAAGAAGAGGAAGGAGAAGAAGGAGAAGGAGAAGAAGGAGAAGAGGAAGAGGAAGGAGAGGAAGAGGAAGAAGAGGAAGAGGAAGAAGAGGAAGAGGAAGAAGAAGAGGAAGAGGAAGAGGAAGAAAGAAGAAGAAGAAGAAGAAGAAGAAGAAGAAGAAGAAGAAGAAGAAGAAGAAGAAGAAGAAGAGTCAGTTTAAGCAATCTGTTCCAAACTTGAAAAGGGCTTGTTCATTAGCTCACATAGGTCTCCCAGTGATTATTCCGCTCACCAGTTAGCCAAGGAATACACTAAGACTCTAAGCCATGGAAGACCTTGATGGAGGTTGCACGGCCAAGGAAAAGAAGTACTGGGGCTTACATCCAGGTCTGTCAGACTTCACATCTACCACGCTTCCTTTCTGTCAAGCTTGCCCCAGGAATGGATGAGAAATCTCAGAAGCTGGGACCCACATTTGCCCCTATAAAGACAGGTTGTGTGTGACCCCACCCAAGTACCTGCTGGAGGCGGCTCCTGATGTCAGAGGCACAGAGCTGGAGCATGTGCAAGTAGGAGACCTCAGTGTCGATGAGCTCCCGGACAGCCAGCCTCTGATGAAGCAGCGATCTGTCCTCAGAGGCCCTACCTTCCCTGTCCGGACTCCCTGACCTGGAGGATGGCTCGTCGGCTCCATGCTTGGCCATGTCAGCAGGTTCTGGGAAAAGCAAAAGCATCCCCACTCACTTCCAGGAAGAACTATTGGGACATGCTGTCTCTAATTCAATGACAATTACTCATCAAGAGGCCTAAAAACATCTTAAGCTGCAAACAGAGTCAAGATGAACTGTTTATTAGCATTTGTAGGCAGTACCTGAACAATATTGAAAGGCAGGTAACAGCTCTGATAACTCTTGACATTTTAGGTGGTGGCTCATGCCTGTAATCCCAGCACTTTGGGAGGCCAAGGTGGGCAGATCACCTGATGTCAGGAGTTCGAGACCAGCCTGGCCAACATGATGAAACCCCGTCTCTACTAAAAATACAAAAATTAGCCAGGCATGGTGGCGGGCTCCTGTAGTCCCAGCTACTCAGATACGCTGAGGCAGAAGAATCACTTGAACCCGGGAGGCAGAGGTTGCAGTGAGCCAAGATCACACCACTGCACTCCAGCCTGGGCAACAGAGCAAGATTCTTACAAAAAAAATTTTTTTTTAATAGATAATTCTTGACATTTTGAATTCATTTCCCAGGACCCAGACAACATGCTTGCCTGGCTTTTCTTCTATTTCCAATCCAGCTCTTGACCTAGATTTCTTTATCTGGTACAGCTGAATCTCTTTCACCCTCTCCCAGTGGTCCCCCTACACCCCATCCCACCAGCTACCCCATTTAGGCCTTACTACCCATCGCCTGGGCTATTTCCACAGCCCTCAGAGTCATCCTTCCTAATCCACACTGCTCTCCTGCCACCACCACACCCATTCTTTCTGGACACATTTCCAGTTTAAACTCCCTGAAACAAAGCTTGTGAACATGGTGTGCCCTGCTGTAAGACTTTAGTAGCTTCCTGCTGCTCAGTGATCTGATTCCAACCTCATTTCCCCTTCACAGACTGCACTCCAGGCTCTAACTTCATTTCCTCTTCACAGGTTGTACTGCAGTGGAAAGAGAGTTGAGCGCTCTTCTCCATACTTGCATTGGCATTTCCTGCTTTTGCACTTGCCATGCCCCCTCCTGTGTTCCTATCCCCCAGCATTCACTTCTCTAAGGCTACTCTTGATCCTCCCCTCATTTCTCACTCCCACCAGCTGCACTTTTCTTCTCTGAAACTCCTGCAATCCTTTATCTCTAACTTATAAAGTATCAAGGGCCCGGGTGCGGTGGCTCACGCCTGTAATCCCAGCACTTTGGGAGGCTGAGGTGGGCAAACCACCTGAGGTCAGGAGTTCGAGACCAGCCTGGCCAACATGGTAAAACCGCATTTCTACTCAAAATACAAAAATTAGCCGGGTGTGGTGGTGCACACCTGTAATCCCAGCTACTCGGGAGGCTGAGGTAAGAGAATCACTTGAACCCAGGAGGTGGAGGTTGCAGTGAGCCGAGATTGTGCCACTGCCCTCCAGCCTGGGTGACAGAGCAAGACTCCATCTCAAAATAATAATAAAGCGTAAAGGGCAATACCATGGACAAGATGATCTGAAAAACTTTCCTACTACAAAACACTTAGGAATGCTAGATCAGTTATAATAAACTTTTTAACTGCATGACAGATCTTGTAAGGGAGGAAAAGAAATCACTAGGGCCCTCAAACAGGGAATTGAAAACTACGGTGGGGAGCAGCTGAGCTGATGCAGCTGTGGCCCAAAGTAGAGGGGTGGGTAAGGAAGACAGTATTTGAAACTCAGTGAACCAGAGACTTGGGCATTAGTGCCCAGGTAGGAATAGGAGACAAGCTCCTTCACAGAACTGGGACCCCCCCAGCCACAAGGACTTCTGTGAAATGGTGGATCAGGAAAAAAAAAAAAAAATGCAGCTATCCACACAGAAGATGACAAAGACAGTTCATCCTGGCTTGGGTTCTGGGTGAGGAAAAAAGGTCTCCTTCATAACATAAATTCGTAACAACACACCTGCCTTCACTGGGTTTAGGTCCAAATCAATGCTACACATGTGGTCCAGGTGGCCCAAAGCTGATAAATTTATACAAAAAGAAATCCTGAATTCTGAGTGGCCACAACAAAATAAAATGTTTCCAGAAGGACACGTCTTTAACCTAGGCCACAGATAACCATGTCCTGAAGATGAGTTTAGAATAAAAAATATAAGAATGCCCCTGTGAGTGAGTACCAGCAGAAACAACAAGAGCAGGAGTAGACCCCAAGAGTGTCAGATAACCAACCAGTCAGATACAGGCCAAAACAGAAACAGGGAAAGAGGAAAGACACTAGGACAAAAAATACAGACCTGTATAATGTTTTACAAGTACCAAATAGGGCTGGGCACAGTGGCTCATGTATGTAATCCCAGAACTTTGGGAGGCTAAGGCAAGAGGCTTGCTTGAGCCCAGGAGTTCAAGACCAGCCTGGGCAACATAGTGAGATTTCGTCTCTACAGAAAAAATTTTTTTGTAATTAGTCAGGCATGATGGTACATGCCTGTGGTCCCAGCTACTCAGGAGGCCAAGGTAGGAGGATTGCTTGAGCCCAGGAGGTAGAAGTTGCAGTAAGCCAAGATTGCACCACTGCACTCTAGCTTGGGTGACAGAGCGAGACCCTGTCTCAACAACAAACAAACAAACGAACAAACAAAAACAACAACAAAAGAAACATGAACACAGTAAGATACACAATTGTTACACAACATCCCTCATGTTGCCTTTTCACCTAATTCGCTCCAGTCCCCATCCTATCCTAATCCTTGGCAACCACAAACCTGTTCTCCATTTCTATAATTGTGTCCTTTCCCGAAATTCATGTAAATGGAATCACACAGTATGTAATCTTTTAGGATTGGCTTTATTCAATCAGCATAATTCCCTGGAGATTCATGTATATTGTGGGTATCAATAGTTATAGTTCCTTCCTTTTTATTGCTGAGTAGCTGAGATACTTTGTTTAAAAAAGTACAAAGGATACATGGCAAAAATGTTAAAATTAAACAAAGCTAGGAGGTAAGTACGTGGGTATTTGTTGTTTTGTGCTTTGTTATTTTCTGGATGGTTAAAATACTTCATAATATTTAAAATGGCACAGATCCCATGTAACCTTGTGCTCAGCGTGCTCATTTTCCTGGCTAGACACTAAGCTCTTGGAGGCAAGATGAGCACCTATTCATCTTGTATCCTCCTCTGTGCCTCACCATGCCCATGATTAATACTATTTGCTACATAAATGGTTCTTATGGATGTATTAGTATTTGTTGAAGTTTCTGTCTTAGGCCGAAGCCATTGTTCCATAGATCGGAGAGTACATAAATGGATGTTTGGGGAGGGCAGGGATGTACAGAGGGCAAAGGCCCAGAAAGATCCTGAAACAAATCTGTCTGATGCATAGCTGTATTCTGGCTCCCAAACACACCCCGTGATCTGCTGATTTGTCCCTGGCCTGAATGGCAACATTCACTACCTGTGCACAGCTTCTCTAGAAAGATCCCCATAGAATTTCAGGAAAGCTATTCAGGTTCCACAACTCAAAACTGTTGCTAAATAAATAAAATCATGAGAAATACTTTACAGAGAACTACTAAAGACTTACAACAGCATTAATTTGCACTTAGGTTAATTGCAATCTAGACCTCCTAGCAGGAAAAACCTCTCTGTAGCAGCATGTGTTATCCCTTAGATTATAGCCTGTGTAATGGAAAAACCTCATTGTTATTTCTTTAAAAACATCATGCCCTTATTTGATCATTACACATTGTATACAGGTATCAAAATATCACATATACTCCCCAACTATTATATATCCATTTAAAATAGCATGAAAAATAAACTAATAATTGTTTAAAGGAAAAATATCTATACTATTCAGCAATAAAAGAAATGAAGTACAATTGACCCTTGAACAGCATGGGTTTGACTGCATGGGTCCACTTATACACAGAATTTCTTCTGCCTCTGCCACCCCTGAGACAGCAAGGGCAACCCCTCCTCCTCCTCAGCCTACTCAACACAAAGACCACAAGGATGAAGACCTTTATGATGATCCACTTCCACTTAGCGAATAGTAAACATTTTTTCTCTTCTCCATGATTTTTTAAATAACGTTTTCTTTTCTCTAGCTTACTTTAAGAATACAGTATATAATACATATAACATACAAAATATGTGTTAATCAACTGTTTATGTTATCAGTAAGGCTTCCAGTGAACAGTGGACCATCAGTAGTTAAGTTTTTGGTGAGTCAGAAGTTATAAGTGGATTTTCCCTGGCACATGTTGGTACCCCAACCCCTATGTTGTTCAAGGATCAACTGTATTCATATGTTCTACAACATGAATGAATCTTAAAAACATTATGCTTAGTGAAAAAAGGCAATCACAAAGGGTCACATATTTTATTATTGCATTTATATGAAATGACCAGAATAAGCTAATCTATAGAAACAGATAGAAACAGAAAGATTGGCAATTGCCTAAGGCTGAGGGGATGGAGAATTGGAGTTTGGAGCTGAAGGATGCAACGTTTTCTGGGGAAATGATGAAAATGTTCTAAACTGTGGTGATGGTTGCACAAGTCTGTGAATATACTAGAAACTATTGATTTGTACACTTTAAATGGGCAAACCATATGATATGAATTATAGCTCAGTAAAGCTGCTACCAAAAAAATATTATAGAATATCAAATGCTGGCAGGAATGTGGAGAAACTGGATCTCTCATACACTGCTGGTGAAAATGTAAAATGCCTGGGTACAGCGGCTTACACCTGTAATCTCAGCACTTTGGAAGGCTGAGGTGGGTGGATCACCTGTGGTCAGGAGTTCAAGACCAGCCTGACCAACATGGCAAAACCCCGTCTCTACTAAAAATATAAAAATTAGCTGGGTGTGGTGGTGGGCACCTGTAATCCCAGCTACTCAGGAGGCTGAGACAGGAGAATTGCTTGAACCCAGGAGACGGAGGTTGTGATGAGCCAAGATCGTGCCACTGCACTCCAGCCTGGATGACAGAGCGAGACTCCATCTCAAACAAAAACAAAAACAAAAACAAACAAACCAAAAAAAACAAGAAAACGTAAAATGGTACAGCCACTCTGGAAAACAGTTTGTCAGTTTCTTCAAAAATAAAACATACACTTTCTGTGTAACTCAGCAATTCCATGTCTGGACATCCCGCAGTAAGAGAACTTATGTACAAAAACCTGTACATAAGTGTTCACAGAAGCTTTATTTGTAATATTCAAAAACTGGAAACAACCAAAATTTCCTTTAATAGATGATGGTTAAACAAACAGTGGTACATCCATGCCACTGAATACTCAGAAATGAAAAGGAACGAACTGCTGATACAGCAACAGCTTGGATGGCTCTCGAGGGCATGATGCTATGTGAAAAAAAGCCAATCTTTAAAGGTCACATACTGTGTGATTCCATTTAATAACAAAGAAAATTGTAGAGATAGAGAACAGATTTGTGGCTGCCTGGTTAGAGATGGGGATGGACAGCAGGTAGGTGTGAGTATAAAAGAATAGTAACAGAGAGAACTTTGTGGTGACAGTGTTATTGTCTACAACAGAATATTCTGTAATTTAATTGAGGTGGTGACTACACAAATCTACACATGATAAAATGGAATAGAACAATCAAACACAAACACGTATATTATACCAATGCCCATTTCCTGGTTTTGATGTTGTGCTATATTTAAATAAGATGTAACCATTGGGGAAACATGGGTGAACAGTACAGAGGGCCTCCCTTTGCTATTGTTGCAACCTCACCTTGATGTATAATTATTTCAAAATAAAAATGTAAAAGCAAAATATTATACAGATGCTCTTCGACTTACAATGAGGTTATGTCCTGATAAACCCATTATAAGTTGAAAAATGTATAAGTAAAAAATGTATGAAATATACCTGACACCTAGTGAACATCATAGCTTAGCCTAGATTACTTCAAACATGCTTAGAACACTTAGATTAGCCTACAGTTGCCCAAAATCATCTAATACAAAAATCTGTTTTATAACAAAGTGTTCAATATCTAGAGTAATTAATTGAATACAGTATTGAAAGTGAAAAATAGAATAGTTGTATGGGTACTCAAAGTACGGTTTCTACTGAATGTGTATCATTTTTGCACCATCTTACAGTCAAAAATTCATAAAGTCGAATCATCATAAGTCGGCGACTGTCTATATAGCTTAAGTTATTCACTATCTTTGCAATACTCTCAGGACAAAGCAGCTTAAAAGCCTGGGAGAAGCCAGGCAAATGGTCTCACACCTATCATCCCAGCTACTCAGGAAGCTGAGGAGGGAGGATCACTTGAGTCCAGGAGTTCAAGGCTGCAGTGAGCTATGAGGGCACTACTGCACTCCAGCCTGGGCAATAGAGAGAGACCTCATCTCTTAAAAAAAGACAAAGGCTGGCCGAGCACGGTGGCTCACGCCTGTAATCCTCAAACTTTGGGAGGCCGAGGTGGGTGGATTGACTGAGCTCAGGAGTCTGACACCAGCCTGGGCAGAAGCAATAGCTTGCTGCAGAAGTATTAACTCTGGAACATTCAACTTTTTTTTTTTTTTTGAGATGGAACACAAAAGTCCTAGCTCCTCAGGAGGCTGAGGCAGGAGGACTGTTTTGAGCCCAGGAGGTTGAGACCACAGAGAGCCATGCAAGGCATGGCCATGATTGTGCCACTGCAGCCTGGGCATCAGAGAGAGACTCTGTCTCAAAAAAGAAAAAAAGACCTAAAAGAGGTCCTCTGTACTATTCACTCATGTTTCCCCAGTGGTTACATCTTATTTAAATATAGCACAACATCAAAACCAGGAAATGGGCATTGGTATAATACATGTTTGTGTTTGATTGTTCTATTGTATTTTATTAAGTGTAGATTGGTGTAGCCACCACCTCAATTAAATTACAGAACACACCTATAATCCCAGAACTTTGGGAGGACGAGGCGGGAGGATCACTTTAGCTCAGGAGTTTGAGACCACAGTGGGCAACGTGGTGAAACCCCATCTCTATAAAAAATACAAAAAAATTAGCCGGGTGTGGTGGTGCACATCTGGAGTCCCAGCTACTCTGGAGTCTGAGGTGGCAGCCATTCTCTGCCTGGGAGGCAGAGGTTGCAGTAAGCCAAGAGCCAAGATCACACCACTGCACTCCAGCCTGGGCAAGAAGAGTGAAATTCTGCCTCAAAAAAAAAAAAAAGAATAAAATAGCCAGGCCAGACGCGGTGGCTCACACCTGTAATCCCAACACTTTGGGAGGCCAAGGTGGGCCAATCACGAGGTCAGGAGTTCGAGACCAGCCTGACCAACATGGTGAACCCTCGTCTCTACTAAAAATACAAAAATTAGCCAGGCATGTTGGTGTGCACCTGTAATCCCAGCTACTCAGGAGGCTGAGGTAGGTGAATTACTTGAACCCGGGAGGCAGAGGTTGCTGTGAGCCAAGATTGTGCCACTGCACTCCAGCCTGGGCAACAGAGTGAGACTCCATCTCAAAAAAAAAAAAAAAAAGTTGAATGATCTGCAGTTAATACTTCTGCAGCAAGCTACTGCTTCTGATTCTAGAACAGAATAAAACTGAGTTAATTCTTTTCTCTCTCTTCTCTTCTGTTCACACTGGCACAGAGGGATTTGGGCATTCCCACATTCATTCAACAAGTATTTGGAGCAACTACTACATGCCAAGCATTTTGCAGGATTCCAGAAATACAAAGATCAGGAAAAAGTGGGTCTACAATTAGGATAAGGTATTTAAAATATCTGGTTATTTGTTCCAGGTTTCACTCCACTAAAAGCAGAGGAACTATTTAAATTAAAACATGATGTAGGTTGGGCACAGTGGATCATGCCTGTAATCCCAACACTTTGTGATGCTAAGGTGGGAGGATTGCTTGAGCTCAGGAGGTGGAGACCAGCCTGGGAAACACAGTGAGACCCCATCTCTATTAAAAAAAAAAAATTTAAATTAGCCAGGCGGCCGGGCATGGTGGCTCACACCTGTAATCCCAGCACTTTGGGAGGCCAAGACGGGAGGATCACCTTAGGTCGGGAGGATCACCTGAGGTCAGGAGTTCAAGACCAGCCTGGCAAACATGGTGAAACCCTGTCTCTACTAAAAATACAAAAATTAGTCAGGCGTGATGGCGGGTACCTGTAATCCCAGCTACTCGGGGGGCTGAAGCAGGAGAATCACTTGAACCTGGGAGGCAGAGGTTGCAGCGAGCTGAGATCTCGCCACTGCATTCCAGCTTGGGCAACAAGAGGGAAACTGTGTTTCAAAAACAAAACAAAACAAAAAATTAGCCAGGCATGGTGGTGCATGCCTGTAGTCCCAGCTACTTGGAATGCTGAGGTGGGAAGATCGCTTGAACTCTGGAAGTTGAGGCTACAGTGAACAGTGATCATGCCACTGCACTCCAGCCTGGACAACAGAGTGAGATCCTGTCTTATAAATTAATTAATTAATTAATAAAACATTATGTGTCAATTAAAAACATAATAAAACTTTTAAAAAATGATATGGGCATCCTGATTATTTAATCCCTTTCAAGAGAGAAAAGTAACAAGAGGAAACAATATTCAAAACTTTTTTTTTTTTTAAGAGACAGGATCTCACTCTGTCACCCAGGGCTGGAGCACAGTGATGCAATCCTGGGCTCAAGCAATCCTCCCACATAGCTGGGACTACAGACATGTGCCACCATACCCAGCTAATTTTCTAACTTTTTGTAGAGACAGGGTCTCACTTGTTTCCGAGGCTGGTCTCTAACTCCTGGCCTCAAGTGATCCTCTCATCTTGGCCTCCTAGTGCACTGGGATAACAGGCATGAGCCACTGAGCCTGGCCTAGTTTTGACCAATTGGAGGAACTGAATGGAAAAATGGAACTAAGCTGATCCCTGGGGAAAGTGAAATTATCATTTGAAAGTTCTTTCAGAAGATAAAATGTCTGGGCAGGGAAAGTTGAGGATCCATCAGCTAGCTGCCCAAGGCTTTAAAGGGGAGCCATTTTATTTATTTATTTTTAATTTTTTTTCTTTCCCTTTCTTACTCCCAGGAGGAGCCCATTTAAACATTTAAGGAAGGGGGGAAAAAGGAAAACAATCTGGTCTCAGACTCCAGGAATGGTTCATAGAAAGCTGTCAAAGGTGAAGCTCAGACATCATGAGAGCAAAGGACCCTGTTGAAGAATAAAGGGGCCGGGCATGGTGGCTCATGCCCATAATCCCAGCACTTTGGAAGGTCAGGCGGGCAGATCACATGAGGCCAGGAGTTCGAGACCAGCCTGGCCAACATGGCAAAACCCCATCTCTGCTAAAAAATATGAAAACTTAGCCAGGCGTGGTAGCACACGCCTGTAATCTCAGCTACTTGGGTGGCTGAGACACAAAAATTGCTTGAACCTTGGAGGCAGAGGTTGCTGTGAGCTGAGATCATGCCACTGCACTCCAGCCTGGCATGGAGTGCAGGCACTCTATTAAATATTTTACTTGGATTATCTTAAGAAATCTTATAACAACCCTGTAAGAAAGAAAATCTGACAGAGCAAGATTCTGTCTCAAAGCAAACAAACAAACAAACAAACAAACAAACAAAAAGGCCGGGCACCGTGGCTCACGCCTGTAATCCCAGCACTTTGGGAGGCCAAGGCGGGCAGATCACGGGGTCAGGAGTTCAGGACCAGCCTGACCAACATGGTGAAACCCTGTCTCTACTAACAATACAAAAAAATTAACCAGGAGTGGTGGCACACGCCTGTAATCCCAGCTACTCAGGAGGCTGAGGCAGGAGAATCGCTTGAACCCAGGAGGCGGAGGTTGCACTGAGCTGAGATCATGCCACTGCACTCCAGCCTGGGCGACAGAGTGAGACTTTGTCTCCAAAAAAAAAAAAAAAAAAAGACTAAAGGGAGGGAAGACCTACAGAAACAAGAATGTGCACATAGGGACCCTGGCTACCAAGCCTGGTTTATAAAGATAGACACCATAGTCAGAAGGGAGGATCCTGTACAAAGAGCTTCCAGAACTCTAAAACCCCCAAAAGAGCTGGAATCAACAAAATTATAAGGATAACTTCCAAAGTCCCATCCCTACTATCACTACCAAGCATATTTTAAGACTGATGTTCAGAAAAAGTAAGAGAGAGGCACACTATTTGGTGGCAGTGCTTTCCTCTTCTTAGTCCTAAAGATTGATTGTGAGAGGTGTGGTGAAGGTTAGGAGCCCAGGCCCTGGAGCCAGAAAAATGTCATTTCAAATGCTGATTCTGCAATCCATTAGCTGGCTTTCCTAGGATATTTATATAACCTTTCTTACAGGGTTGTTATAAGATTTCCTAAGATAATCCAAGTAAAATATTTAATAGAGTGCCTGGTACATGGTAAACTCTCAATTATAGTAGCTGTGGTTTTTTGCTTCTATTATTGTTAAGATGGAAAGGGTAGCATTACCATTGATCAGATGTATGAAGTTGTCTAAAGACACATGGCCGATCTAGATGCATAATATTTAAGCAGGTGCCATAAACAGCTAATCATAGTAATAAGAAGAACTATATATCAGAGCCTTACTGAGAATAAGACTAATACCATAGAAACAGAGCTGAGAGACTGAGAGAGAGACTGAAATGATGGCATGACTCATTTCAGCCATGATAGAGACTGATTGCCTTTTTCATATGAGTGAATACATTTTTATTCCTCATCCCCCTTTTCCCTAAGCCACTCTGAGCTGGATTTCTGCCACTTGATTACAACAAATAGTTCATTAGCCCTTAGAAAGGGAAACAGAGATCATCTGGAGTCAGCATAGGCTAATTTAATAAAAACTGGTCATGCCAGAGTTTCCTCATTCTCTTACTGACAGTCAACTAGATCAGTAGATCAAAGGAATGCTGTAGTCCAGTGTATCTGGACCAGGAAGGTGTTGTCAGTCTCTTGTGACATACTTACATGTATGGAATAAGAGGCAGTGGTGGAGGCTGGTGTAGAGGGCAGAGACAGGACAGTAATAAGGACTAAAAAGTGATAAAACTACTAAATTCAAAGAGTGTTGATCAGTGTCCACCTCTGGGCTCTGTTTTGTTTTATTAAAGATATCTACTAATTTGTGCTTTCCAACTCTGAGACCATCTGGGTCTAAACCTCCACCACCTTTCTCCTGGACTGGTACAACAGCTTCCTGACTGGATACACAGCATCAGAGTGGAGTGGTCTTTCAAAAACATAAAATTGGGCTGGGCATGGTGGATCACACCTGTAATCCCGGCACTTCGGGAGGCCGAGGCAGGTGGATCACCTGAGGTCAGGAGTTCGAGACCAGCCTGGCCAACATGGTGAAAACCCATCTCTACTGAAAATTAAAAGAAAAATTAGCCAGGCATGGTGGTGCATGCCTGTAGTCCCAGCTCGGGAGGCTGAGGCAGGAGAATCACTTGAAACTGGGAGGCAGAAGTTGCAGTGAGCTGAGATTGTGCCACTGCACAACCTGAGCAACAGAGCAAGACTCCATCTCAAAAACAAAAACAAAAAACAGAAAAACATAAAATTTGTCACTTTACTTCTCTGCTTGAAACCCAGACAAGTCTATCACTGATTTCCATCACACTTCAAAAGAACCACTCCTTTCCCATGATAATTATTTTGTTTATTCTATTTGTTGTATGACTCAGAGTTTCATTCAAAATAATGGAAACTCCATGAGGGCAGGGATCATGTGTCTATTATTCATCAGTGCATTACCTAGTGTTTACTCTAGATCTAGCATTTAGTTGGTGCTCAATTAATTGAATTAATGAATGAAAGACATGGGCAAACACTGGCAGAATAAATATCAAATTGTCAATGACATTGTTGCAACTGGAGTTAGACTGATATGGTCATACACAACTCTTGGTTCTTCTTGGAAGCCACCAAAAAGTTTGAGTTCAGGTATGGAATAGCAACTCCCTTTGAATTTTATGTAAAATGAAAAATACAGGCCAGGCACAGTGGCTCACACTTGTAATCCGAGCACTTTGGAAGGCCAAGGCAGGCGGATCACTTGAGGTCAGGAGTTCGAGACCAGCCTGGCCAACATGATGAAATCCTGTCTCTACTAAAAATACAAAAAATTAGCTGGGCGTGGTGGCAGACACCTGTAATCCCAGCTACTTGGGAGGCTGAGGCAGGAGACTCGCTAGAACCCAGGAGGCGGAGGTTGCAGTGAGCCAAGATCACGCCACTGCACTCCAGCCTGGGCAACAGAGCAAGAATCCGTCTCTAAATAAATAAATAAATAATACAGTATGCACTATGTAGTGTTTTTTGCCTGGGGCTTTCTTTCAGAAAAATTATTTTGAGATCCATTCGTATGGAAGCATGTATCAATACATCGTTACTTTCCATTGCTTAGCAGAATTCTGTTATATGGATATACCACAATTTGTCTCTTCACACACTGAATAAACAACTGTTTGTTTCCCGTTTCACTATTACAATAAAGCTGGACCTAGGAGTGAAGTTTCCGGATAACATGATAAGTGTATATTTAACTTTATAAGTTAAGTGTGTATTTAACTAAGATCTTTTTGAAAGTAGTTGTACCATTTTACATTGCAACCAATGGTATATAAGAGATCCAGTTCCTCTACCTTCTGGTCAACATCTGGTAGAGCCAATCTTTTCATTTTAGCCATCCTAATAGTTATGAAGTGATATTTCACTGTGGTTTTAATGTGCATTTCCCTAATGAGTAATGATCTTGAGTATCTTTTCAAGTGGTTATTTGCCACCCATATATATTCTTTGGACAACATTTAGAAAAATTGTTTAAATAATGAAAGAGGCTCTTGCTCATTATATAACTAAATAAACAATATAGAAACATATAAAGAAGGCCGGGCATGGTGGCTCATGCCTGTAATCCTAGCACTTTGGGAGGCCAAGGCAGGCAGATCATCTGAGCTCAGGAGTTCAAGACCAGCCTGGCCAACATGGTGAAACCCTGTCTCTACTAAAAATACAAAAATTAGCCAGAAGTGGTGGCACATGCCTGTAATCCCAGCTACAATCCCAGCTACTCAGGAGGCTGAGGCAGGAGAATCACTTGAACCCAGGAGGTGGAGGTTATTGTAAGCAGAGATCATGCCATTGCACTCCAGCCTGGGCGACAGAGCGAGACTCCATCTCAAGAGAAAAAAAAAAGAAAAAGAAAAGAAACATATAAAGAACAGTTTATAGTCAAAATTAGAAAAAACATCCCAATATTTTAGAAACTACTGTGAAACAAAATAGAGCCACAGAGCCAAAAAGGGAAGGAATTTTCCAAGTCACTGTGCTTACAGAAAAGGACTTCTCTGTGTTGATAAATAAATGATTGGAAGTGAGGCGGAAAGACAGCAACAGACATCCCCTCTCCCATACGCAGACAGACATACACATTCTCTCTCTCTTTCCTGGAGGAAAAACTCCCCTTTATAAATACATGGAAAGGACAGGTGGTATGTGTCTTAACCCAAATCAAACAGCAGCTGTTTGTCCTTAGCCATATTTCCCCAGTTCTATTTGGAAGGCCTAAAAAGGTCTTCCAAAAGAGGAAGGAGACAACACAGTTTTTTTTTAAAGCAGTTATTTTTATAGATAAGTGAGTCTGCCCAGGCTCTGTCATCACAAGTTTGGATCCATAGATTTAAAGTTCTTGAGCCTTCCAGTATTAGGGAATTAAGAAAATAATAACAATTATTAGAATTATAAAATTCTCTGGGCACAGTGGCTCATGCCTGTAATCCCAGCACTTTGGGAGGCTGAGGTGGGAGGATCACTGGCATCCAGGAGTTCATGACCAGCGTGGGCAATATAGCAAGACCCCGTGTCTACAAAAAGTAAAAAATTAGCCAGGTGTGGTGGCATATGCCTGTAGTCCCAGCTACTCAGAAGGCTGAGGCAGGAGGATTGCTTGAACCTGGGCGGTTGAGGCTGCAGTGAGTTGTGACTGCATCACTGCACTCAGCCTGGGTGACAGAGGAGACCCTGTCTCTAAATAAACAAACAAATAAACAAATTCTTCAGCCTATTAATAAACAAGCAATAGGCTTTGGACAGTCAAGCTCTACAAATGCCATTTTGCTTCTGTTACAGCACATGAAAACACATTCCCTACCTCATTAGTTAAATAAAAAGCCATTTATTTGATCTAGGGCAGAATCAGCCAAGGCACTGTTTACCACAGTAATCTGCTGATCCAAGAGGGATGTGAGCCAACTGCCAGCAACTCCTATTCCCTGGCAGAAATTCAGCTGAGGCTCTATTGCTGAATAAGGGTGGGTGCTGCTCAGGTCCCAGTTTATGTCCTCTTTCCTCTCATTTAAAAACAAACTCTATAGGCCAGGCACAGTGGCTCACGCCTGTAATCCCAGCACTTTGGGAGGCCGAGGTAGGCAATTGCCTGAGCTCAGGAGTTTGCAATCAGCCTGGGCAACACGGTGAAACCCCATCTCTACTAAAATACAAAAAATTAACCGGGCATAGTGGCGTGTGCCTGTAGTCCCAGCTACTTGGGAGGCTGAGGCAGGAGAATTGCTTGAACCCGGGAGGCGGAGGTTGCAGTGAACCAAGATTGTGCCATTGCACTCCAGCCTGGGAGACAGCGAGACTTCGTCTAAAACAAACAAACAAAGAAAAAACAACAACAAAAAAACGGGGTGTTGACCCCATTTGAAAGAGGCAAGTGAAGCCCAGTAAACACTCCTTGTTACAGTATCTGGTAGTTTCTACTTTCAGCTTTTGACTTGGAGTCAAATATTGAGGGTAGTACCTTGCTGCACCCTTATTTAGGATACCATCACGAAGGTATGTGGTGTGGTCTGTAAGTCATAATAGGGCTGACTTTATTTTTTCATGTTTATAATTTTTTAAATTGTATTTTATTTCAGATACAGCCCAATTTCTTCCAGGTCATCACCCTTTCCTAATTCCCACAGCTTTGATGATTTTGTGTGTCATCACTTTTTTTTTTAATTAATTAAATTAAATTTTAAACTGTGTACATAATAGATGTACATAGTTTCAGGGTACCTGTGATACTTTAATATATTTATAAAGATCAAATCAGTGTACTTGGGATATCCATCACTTTAAATATTTGTCTTTATGCTAGAACCATTCAAATTATTCTCTTCTAGCTATTTTGAAATATACAATAGATTATTGTAAACTATAGTCACCCTATAATCGTCAGCACTTTTATTGAGCATATATTATGTCAAGCACTAGCCTTTATGTTCATTCTTAAGTCTGACAATAACCTGGAGGATGAAGCAGACACTCTCATCCCCCGTCTACACATAAAACTAGGCCTTGAAAAGGTTAAACTATGCTTCCTGGATCACACAGCTGGCTGTCTGGACGCACAGCAGGTACTCCTCCACCAGCTGCCTCCCTTCAAAGGAGCAAAGAAAGTGCTCTGAAACCACCCTGCCTGAGTAGCAGCCTGCAGGCATTCCTTACAGCAGGAATTCATGTCAAATCTCAAACTGTGCACAAGGCTTTGTGTGAACCCTTCTGCTGGGAGTGGACACAGATCTCTAAGGGGTCAGGGACCCCCAGAAGGTTAAGAACCAGTGCCTGGGCAGGCTGTCTGCTTCCCCACTGTAAGTTTCTGGCGTTCAGAAGCCGGACGTTCTGACTTCTAGTCCCAGCTTTGGCACGACTTTTCTGAGGGACCTTAGCCAAGTCACCTCACCTATGGATCACGGATTTCTGTTCTCTTTTTTCCTGGCCTTGACTGTCTATTCATAATTATATTTTGCTTGGCAAGGATTCTTTACCATTGTTTGTATTTTTCCGTTGTTATAATGTATGCATTCTTTCTAAAAGCTGTCTGAAATCCTGCACGGAAGAAGGCAGAGAGAAACAGGAACAAAGAATAATAATGTTTTTCCAGGCCGGCTAACCTCCCTGGGCCTCAGTTTCCCACCTGTAAAACGACTAGGGTAGGCCATATGGACCAGGTGGCTTACATTCTCATAAGGCTCAAGACACAAAGCTAGCTACCAAGCAAGTTGGGACCCGGGAGGTCGTCGCATCCTGCCTTTCTGTCCCACCTCCCTTTTCTGATCCTCCCAGCAGCTGTTTCCTGCACCCCTCTCCAGCCCCATCCTGCTTGACCAGGCCCCAAACGCCCAGCGGACTCACCCGCGCGCGCAAGGTGCCTGCCGGCGCTCACGCACGGAGGTCGGCCGCCCGGGCAACAGCGCAGCCGGGGCAGGAGGGGCGCGTCGCCCAGCTCCCGGCACCCGCGCCGCTCCGGGTGGCTGTGCCCACCGAGGGCGCTGGCGGGCGCGGCTATGCCCACGCAGCTGCCTGCGTGCGTGCGCCGCGAGGGGGTGGCTGGTCTCCAGCCTTTGTTAATTGTCTTTCTGGAGCCAGGTTGTTTTCTGTTCGCTGCTCCCGGAGTCAGCCCCGGCCGGCTCGGAACCGTGCCCTGGCTGGCAGCCAACCCGAAGGATTGCAGGCGGAGTTTAGCGACGTGCCGGCACCCACCCTCCCGCGGCCTCTCATTAAGCCACCTTCTCCGCGGGCTCGTCATCCAGAAAACAGGAGCCGGCATTTAGGCCACCCGGTGGGAATGCTGACCCCGGTATTACTGGATACCTTTGCTCCTGCCCGAATCACCAAACTGTAGGGCTGGGCCTCAATTTAATTCTTAGTGTTGGCTGCCGAGGAGCCCTTGGTTCTTGCCCCAGCTCTCCTGGGAGCCCTGCACAACCTTAGCCAAGTCGGCCAGTCGCTTCCATGACATGACGGTGTTGGTCCATTCTTTCACTCTACTGGGAGCAAGACACTGTTCTGGGCACAGAGAACACAACAGTTAACACGATAGACAAGGTCCTGGCCTTATTGGGCTCCTGTGCAAGACACTAAACCCACCATTGAAAGTGATAGTTGCTATGAAACGCATGTAAAGTTTCATATCGGGGCAACCAAACCTTGTTTGTAGCGTCAGGAATGGACTAGATTAGCTTTTCTCATTCTGCCACTTCTTTTATTCTTATTTTCATTTTTAGGGCTTAATTTAGGGCTTATTATTTATTATTACTGCTGGTAGTAGTCATATTGCTTACTAAGGGCCAGGCGCTATACTAAATGTTTTACTTGTACTGTCTCAATTATCTCATTCACAATTTCTCTAAGAGATAGGTATCATTATTATTATCCTCATTTTCAAGAGAGAGAAACTTAAGCTACAGAGGTGAAAATAACTTGCCCATGACACACAACTACTAAGTGACAGTGCCAGTATTCGAATTCAGACTATCTGAGGGTTCAGGCTGCTTAACCACCACTCTACACTCAGAAAAACATGAAAACCAGAAAAGTGTCTCCTCTTGAATGTGACAGATGAGGGCAACTGAAGGGGAGAGGGGTGGTATAGCTTGCAGAAGAGAAAAACCAAGGGTGCCGGGCGCGGTGGCTCACGGCTGTAATCCCAGGACTTTGGGAAGCTGAGGGGGGGGCAGATCACGAGGTCAAGAGATCGAGACCATCCTGGCCAACATAGTGAAATCCCATCTCTACCAAAAATAGAAAAATTAGCTGGGCGTGGTGGTGCACACCTGTAATCCCAGCTGCTTGGGAGGCTGAGGCAGGAGAATCACTTGAATCCTGGAGGCGGAGGTTGCAGTGAGCTGAGATCACGCCACTGAACTCCAGCCTGGTGACAGAGCGAGACTCCGTCTCGAAAAAGAAAAGAAAGAAAAAAGAAAAGCAAGGGAAGCTGAGGACTTTTCAAAAAAGTAGCCCTATGGATTAGACCTAACCTGTATGATCTTAGAGGCCACCAGGATGCAGAAAGCTGTAAGGAGATGCATTGCAATTTAAAATGTAAGGAAGAACTTTTCTAACAATTTGAGTATTTCAAAAATAACATCAGTTGGCGGGGCACGGTGGTTCACGCCTGTAATCCCTTTGGCACTTTGGGAGGCCAAGGAGGGTAGATCACTTGAGGTCAGGAGTTCGAGGCCAGCCTGGCCAACATGTTGAAACCCCGTCTCTACTAAAAATACAAAAATTAGCTGGGCATGGTGGTGGGCACCTGTAATCCCAGCTACTCAGGAGACTGAGACAGAAGAATTGCTTGAGCACTGGAGGCAGAGGTTGCAGTGAGCCAAGATTACACCACTGCACTCCAGCCTGGGCGACAGAGTGAGACTCTGTCCCAAAAATAATAATAATAATAATAATAACATCAGTTGCCTGGAGAGCATATCCTGTCACTAAAAGTAAACATTCAAGCAGAGAAGCTTATTAGGGATGCTTCAAAGAAAAGTCTGGTACAAGTTAAAAACTGATTGAGGTGATCTCTAAGGTTCTCTTCAATTTTGATATTTTGTCTATTCTAACCTACTGATAAAGAAACTAAGTGAGTCTTAGAGTGGCTAAGTGGCTTGTCCAAAGTCAGCCGGGAAGTGAAGAGCTGACCCCAAAGCTGAGACTGATTCCTAGATCAGACTTCCTGATTGTTTCCAGGTGAGGGTCTTGTGAGTGCTCAACGCCTCAGTTCACACTCCTGTAAAGTGTGTATGTGCCTGACCAGTTTTTCCTGAATGTGTGAAATCATCTGCTTTACATGTTTTACTTTGCGCTTTTTTTCAGAAGTACGTGATGGAATACTTTGCACTTGTAATGTGTGCCCATCTTCCTTGCTTGAGTATTCTGTGGTTTTAGACGTAAGTGTCAACACTCCCCGGGGCAGCTGCTGTATTATAGGATCCCAAGTATTTACTTGGCAATTTAAGGAGACCAAAATAAGCTGGATAATATTTTTCATTTGAAACTGATGTTTCTCTGATTCTATTTTAGGACTCAGTTATTTTGAGTGGCATTTCTAATGCACTGCCACTAATTCCACCATCTTTCACCCTAGTCACACAGATTTTGAAGAGCGGCAATCTACTTGTTGACTTTAGAAGGGGCATTATTTTCTCAGTCTTCTGGAGAGATGTTTGCTTTTGACTGGAAACCTCTAACAAAGGAATCCATTTGATTTCTAGAACATTTACAAAGAAATGGACATCACCTTGCCCTCGGTGACACTAATCCAAAGAAAAAAGGGTTCGCTTTCACTTCTACCTTTGACAGAGTGATCCATTTTTAAATTTTATGTATTTTGAAAAGAAAATACATGTGCCAGTTCAAAATTCAAAAGTATACTGTCAGGGTTAGCTTATTGATCTTTAGATTCCTCTTATTGCCTGCCATAATGCCTTGTGCATAGTAGGTGCTGAATAAGTGTTTGTTGAATGGGTGGATAAGTGAGTGTGAAGACATTGTAGGAGGCAAAGAGGTGGATTAGGGTGGGGCAGCAGACATTTGAGAGTCAAGAGACAACAGCCCCTTTCCTTGGTATTTCTTCTTTTGCCTGAGGTGTATGGGCCTTAAAGGGAGCCCTGACAGAACTCCTAGACCAGTTGCAAATTTGACCATGACTTTATTAAGGGATTTTTACTAAAGTAAGCAGCACTGGAGTCTTTTGGGTTGCACATTACCTAAAGACTAGTTACTAGCCAGAGTCCATGGTTGCAAGCGACAAAAGCTGATTCTGGTTAACCAAAGCAGAAAAGGAATTTCTTGGAAGAGTATTTGGGAGCTCAAAGAATCAGTAGAAAGGCTAGAGAACTGGATTAGTAATATAGACAGGCGCTGTGGGAGGCCAGGTGGCCAGATCCACAGAGGAGACCATGCCAGAGGAAAGATGTTTCTGCTGGACACTGGCAATGCCACTGGCCCTGCCATTCAGGCTCTGGTCCTGGGGACTGGATGCCATAGATCACCTAGCTGCCATTACTGTTACCGGCTACTGAATGTCACCACCACTGAAATTCACTAAAATTTACTGAATAAACTTTACACATTGCCTGCTTCTCTTCATTCTTCTTTCCAGAATCATAATCAGAGAAAACTGATACCAAGGCCTTTTGGCTTCCATGAATGAGATCCAGGGCCCTGCTTTACACAATGTCCTGTTTCCCAAATGTATAATGGTAACATGAAGGCTGGGCAGCCAGGAAAATGACAAATGTCCACATGGAAGTCATCTTCTAATAATTGGTAGGCCCCAAACTAAAAGAATTGAAGAACATAATCTGCATAATGTACTTAATACAGCAACTGAGCTGAATGCTCCAAACCTGGAGAAGTGGGTGTTATGTTTGTTTCTCAACCTTTTATAAGTTTAGCTAATCAGAGAACTTCTTTATAGCACTAATACTTTCTTCCCATACCATTTTTTTTAATCATTAGAATCACTTGCTGTTCCAGAGGTAAGCAAAAGAAGGTTGAGAAGAAAGAGGTAAGTTGTGCCAAATGTGTACTTAGCACCACAATACGCGCAATGCTATGAGTCAAGTAAATACATTTTTCTGATAAATTTTTTAAAAGCTGTCTACCTCTTTTAGAGTCTCAGTCTTGGGATCATATCTAATTTTTTATTCTACTTTGTGAAATCTACCACTCTTTCCATAGTAATAATGAAAACAGGTGCTACTTATTGAGTGCCTAATACATGTCAGTAATGTTTCATAGATTGTTTCTAATCCTGACAATCATCCTATGATAGATATTATTTGCATCTTACAGATGATGAAATTGAGGCTCAGAAAGATTAAGTAAGTTGTCCAAGATTATATAGCTCATAGGTGACTGGGATTTGAAGCCAAGTCTACTACTATACCACAGTGTTTCTCGTGTGGTTGCTTTCTGCAAAGATCTCTATAACCGTGTAAAAAGTGTATTCTACTAAGTCTAGAACGTAAGTTTTGAGAATTATTTCTTCTGTCTCCTGAGATATCAATTTTTTTTTTCAGACAGAGTCTCTCACTCTGTTGCCCAGTCTGGAGTGCAGTGGCACGATCTCGGCTCACTGCAACCTCTGCCTCCCAGGTTCAAGAGATTCTCCTGCCTTGGCCTCCCTAGTAGCTGGGATTATAGTTGTACACCACCAGGCCTGGCTAATTTTTGTATTTTTAGTAGAGATGGGTTTTCACCATGTTGGCCAGGCTGGTCTTAAACTCCTGACCTCAGGTGATCCACCTGCCTTGCCTCCCAAAGTGCTGGGATTACAGGTGTGAGCCACCATGCACGGCCCTGAGATATCAATCTGTAAGAAAGACAAGTCAAGAAATTATTGGTTGGCCGGGCGTGGTGGCTCACACATTTATCACATAACAGACAAATTTATGTTATGGTGGCTAAACGTTTATCACATAACAGACAAATTTAGTAGCCTCATTACTAATGTATAATAATTTTTATAACAAGACTGTCTGCTTTATTGAGCCTATAAGCCAGGCATTCTGCTAGATGATACTAAAAGATAAGTGTTACCATCTTCTTTCTACAAATGAGAAAACTGACATTTTGAGAGATTCAGAAGCTCACACAGGCCTCACTACCAGGAAATGACAGAACTGGGACTGAAACCTCAGAAGTATGACTTCAAAGCCTGCATTTCTTCCAGCATCTCATACCCTCTCTGGGCCTATTTTACAATTTCTTTGTTTATTTGTTTGCTTTTGAGACGGAGTCTCGCTTTGTCACTCAGGGTGGAGTGCAATGGCATGATGTTGGCTCACTGCAACTTCCGCTTCCCAGGCTCAGGAGATTCTCATGCCTAGGCATCCAGAGCAGCTGGGATTACAGGCATGTGCCACCAGGCCCAGCTAATTTTGTATTTTCAGTAGAGATGGGGTTTCACCACTTTGGCCAGGCTGGTCTGGAACTCCTGACTTCAGGTGATCTGCCCACCTCGGCCTCCCAAAGTGCTGGGATTACAGGCATGAGCCACTGTGCCTGGCCCTGTTTTACATTTTGTATTGAAAACCACCACTTAGCCAGGTGCCAACACGCCCAGCTAATTTTTTGTATTTTTTGAGGGGGGGGACGGCAGGGGGTTCACCTTGTTGCCCAGGCTAGTCTCAAACTCCCTGAGCTCAAGCAATCTGCCCAGCTACTTAGGATGCTGAGGCAGGAGAACTGCTTGAACCCGGGAGGCAGAGGTTGCAGTGAGCTGAGATTGCGTCACTGCACTCCAGCCTGGGCGACAGAGTGAGACCCTGTCTCCAAAAAAAAAAAAAAAAAAAAAAAAAAATAGTCATTTGGTTGCAGTGACAGAAATCCAACTTATCCAAAAACTACAATGTCCAACAGAAGAAAGGGCCATCTCTACTTTGTGTCTTTTCAAGAGAGGAAGCCCCTTGAAGAAGCTCTCTAGCAGACCCTTCCTCATGTCTCATTGCTTAGAATAGTATCCCACGTGCATAGCTAAACCAATCACTGGCCTAGAGGGATGAAGACCCATCACTGGGTCAGTCCCCTGAGCATAGAGCCATGTAGCCTTAACAAAACTGGGATCTTATTGGGTAAGAGGAAAGAAAAAGAGGAATGCTCTTAGGTAGGCAGCCAACGGTGTCTGCTACAACAGGGAGTTGGCAATTCTATAGGGAAATTAGGGAGCCAAAGATAAGGTGACCTTTCCTACCGAGTCTGTAAAGAAACATTTCTTACCAGGAAAATGAAAAGTTATACCAGACAGAAAGTACAGACAAGGCATAACAATATGAAACTAGCTTGTGTTTTCAGAAACTGCAGGAACTTCATTATAAGTGGATTGAATGATCTGCATGGATTGTTCAGTGACAGACAAGACTGGAGACATAAGCAGGCACCAGATCATGAGGGCATGGGTGCCATACTCAAGAATTTAAATGTAATCTGTAGGTAATGGGGGAGCCATTGAAGAATGAGAACAGCATAATATTATTTAATTCTAGAAAGATCATCTGTCTAGAGAGTGGAAAATGGATCCCAGAAGACATAAGGCTGAGGTGAGAAATCATTTAGGAAGTTGTAGTATTCGGCCAAGGGAGAGACAAAGACTCAGATTAAGGTGCAGTGATAGTGAGGTAGAAGAGGAGAAAGTAAGAGTAAAACTTTGATGGAGTATCTGTAGAATTTGGTGACCTATGGGATGTAAGGAGATGACTACCTGGGCTGACTCTGGGATTTCTGTCTTGGATAGTCAGGTGGACGATGGATGAGACAAATTTTGGGCTAGCTGATACCTGTGCTATGCAAGTGAAGGTGTCAACAGGAAGATGGATGTAAGGTTCTGAGAGAGGGAAGTTTGGACTGGCAATATAGACTAGGAGGTCACTGGCATATCCGTTGTACATGAAGCCATAAGATGAATGAGATCACTCTAGGAAAGCAGTAAATGCACGAAAAGAAGAGGGCTAAGGCCAAAAAACTGGTGAACACAACCAAGGGGCAGGCAAAGAAAGGGGAGCCGGCAAAGAATAGATGGAGCAGTCAGATAGACCTGTGAGGAGACCCAGCCTTTTAGTAAACTTCCTGATAGACAATATCCTCCAGCTTCTGTGTTTCAGTCTGGTCCCATACCACCAGATAAAATTATAGTTGAAATTCTGGATCAGTACCCTTCCAAGTATTGTCTGAATGATTGTAATATTTGATTTTTATTTATTGGTTTCTAGATGAAAGTTTCCTCTGTTAGTGCACCTCTGCTAGAAACTGCATGAGAAAAATGTCTAGTGAAAGGGAAACTCCCTCTCCTGAAACATGCATTCAGTTCCTTGGAATACAGTCTCAAGGTCTTGTCACTACAGATTTAATAATCTGCCATTGTGTGGGCAAGGATAGAAATAATTTATAAGGGTGCAAGTTGATACAACCATTTTCACTCAGATATTTCATTTCTATTAATTTATCCTATCACACAAAGTATATAAAGATATTCGCATAAGGATGTTTATTGTGACTTAAAAAACATCCAAGTGAAAAGTTAAAAATAGCCCATATAACTATCAACAGGATACTGGTTAATAAATCCCAGTATCTCACACAATGGAATACTATGCAGCCAATAAGAACAAGGTTAATCTATGAGTATTGACATGTAAGGATATCCACGTTATAGATATGATATATTGTAAATTTTAAAAAGCAGGTTATAGGCCATATATTGATTATATATGTAAATATATATATGGTGCATATATAATCTACTGAATCATTCAACAGATATTATTGAAGCAGGCACTGTTCTGGGGATACATTAGTAAACAGGACAGAAAAAGTTCCTGTCTCATTGAGCTAATGTTCTAGTGAAGGAGGTAAAGTCAATAAAAGAGTAAACACACACACACAATTTTAGATACTAATACATGCCATGAAGGAAAATAAAGCAAGGTAAGAAGTTGAAGAGTAACTGGGCATTGAGTTAGTATGGGTAAGGGGATATTTTAAATAATTTGGTCAAGAAAAGTGCTCCTATGGAGAGAACATTTTAGCAGTGACGTGAATGAAGTAAGGAAATGTATTAGAGTTCTCCAGAGAAAAAGAACTAACAAAGTGTGTATACATACACACACAGAGAGGTTTATTTTGGGGAATTGGCTAATGTGATTATGAGACTTGGAATGCTATGGTTTGGATACAGTTTGTTTGTCCCTACCAAAACTCATGTTGAAATTTGTTCCCATGTGGTGGTGTTGGGAGGTGGGGCCTAATGAGAGGTGTGTGGGATATGGAGGCTTTACCCTCGTGGGTGTCTTGGTACCATCCTCAAGGTAGTGAGTAAATTCTTACTCTGGTGGGACTGGATTAGTTCTTGCAGGAATGGATTAGTTCCTGTGAGAGTAAGTTGTTATAAAGCCAGGATGCCCCTTGGGTTTTCTCTCTTTGCATGTGTCTACTTCCGCTTTGACCTTTTCTGCCAGATTATGACCCAGCGCAGAAGTCCTTGCCAGAAGCCAGGGCCACGCCTTTGAACTACCAAGCCTGCAGAATTGTGAGCTAAATAAATTTTTTTTTAAAATAAATTACCTAGTCTTAGGTATTCTTTCATAGCAACACAAGATGGACTAAGACACTTGGTAAGTCCAAAATCTGCAGTGTAGGCCAGCAGGCTGGAGATTCAGGAAAGAGTTGTAGTTTCAGTCCAAACACAATCAGTTTGGCAGAATTCCTTCTTGCTTGGAAGAGGTCAGTCTTTGTTCTCCTAAGGCCTTTAACTGATTGGATAAGGCCTACCCACATTATGGAGGGTAATCTGCTTTACTCAAAGTCTACTGATGTAAAGGTTAATCTCATCCAAAAACACTTTCACAGAAACATCCAGAATAATGTTTGACCAACTATCAGGACACTGAGGCCCAGCCAAGTTGATACGTTAACCCTCACAAGTCCATCACTTGTCAGCTTGGTACCCATATGCATCTCCTTAAACCATGCTTCCAAATAAAGACAATAACAAGTTCATACTTCCACCTGATATTACACAGTATTCTGCATACAACTGAAAATGCATCAACCCTTTCCCCAGAAGAGAATGCAAAGTCCTTGGGTAATGTTTACTTGTCTCCTTGATAGCCTGTAACTTAAATACTACCATGTAAAGTTAACAATATTTACATACTATGATATTAAGTCAATACATCCCATGTTACATAAGAGGATAAGAGAAAGAAGAAACAAACTATATATTCTCTTCATATAGATTATCAGTTTTTCCAGCATCACTGGTTGAAAAGACTTTCTTTTCCTCCATTGAATTGCTTTGATACTTTGGTTGCAGATCAATTGACCATATAAAGGTGGTTCTATTTCTGGACTCTCTATTCAGTTCAAGGTATCAATTTATCTATTCCTATCCCAGTATTACACTTTCTTGATTATAGTAGCTTTATATAATAGAAAGTCTTGAAGCCAGGTATTGTAAGACCTCCAAGTTTGTTCTTATTTTCCAGGGTTGTTTTGGCTATGCTAGGTCTTTTGCACTTTCATATAATTTTAAAAATCAGCTTGTCAACTTCTTTTTTTTTTTTTTTTTTTTTGAGACAGGGTCTCACTCTGTCACCCAGACTGAGTGCAGTGGAGAGATCACAGCTCACTGCAGCCTCGATCTCTTGGGCTCAAGCAATCCTCCCACCTCAGTCTCCTAAGTAGCATGCACCACCATACCCAGCTAACTTTTTATTTTTTGTAAAGACAGGGTTTTGCTATGTTGCCCAAGCTGGTCTCAAACTCCTGGGCTCAAGTAGTGCTCCTGCTTCGGTCTCCCAGAGTGTTAGGTTTACAGGCATGCACCACTGTGCCTGGCCCACGTTGTCAATTTCTATTTTTAAATAGCCTACTGTGATTTTGATTAGGATTGAATTTAATCTGTGGATCAATTTGGTGATAAATGACACCTTAACACTTTTTTGAGTCTTCCAATCCATAAACGTGCACTGTATCCCCATTTACGTAGGTCTTCTTTAATTTCTCTCAGCAAAGTTTTATAGTTTTCAGTGTAGAGGTCATACTCAACTTTTGTTGATTCCCTAAAATTTTATTTTTGTATGTAATCCCAGCTACTCAGGGGGCTGAGGCACAAGAATTGCTTGAACCTAGGAGGCAGAGGTTGCAGTGAGCCGAGGTCGTGCCACTGCATGCCAGCCTGGGTGACAGAGAGAGACTCTGTCTCAAAACGAAGCAAAACAAAACAAAACAAAACTTGGCCGGACGCGGTGGCTCATGCCTGTAATCCCAGCCCTTTGGGATGCTGAGGTGGGTGGATCACCTGAGATCAGGAGTTCCAGACCAGCCTGACCAACATGGTGAAACCCCATCTCTACTAAATACAAAAAATTAGCTGGGCGTGGTGGCGCATGCCTGCAATCCCAGCTACTTGGGAGGCTGAGGCAGGAGAATCACTTGAACCTGGGAGGCAGAGGTTGCAGTGAGGCAAGATTGTGCTACTGCACTCCAGCCTGGGCAACAAGAGTGAAACTCCATCTCAAAAAAATCAAAAACAAAACAAAATCTAGCCAATTAAACATCTTTATTTTTGTGTACAATGTAAGTTAAACTTTTTTTTTTTTTGAGATGGAGTCTTGCTCTGTCACCCAGGCTGGAGTGCACTGGTGTGATCTGGGCTCACTGCAACCTCCGCCTCCCGGGTTCAAGCGATTCTTCTGCCTCAGCCTCCCAAGTAGCTGGGACTACAGGTGCACACCACCACGCCCAGCTAATTTTTGTAATTTTAGTAGAGACGGGGTTTCACCATATTGGCCAGGGTGGTCTTGAACTCCTGACCTCGTGATCCGCCCACCTCTGCCTCCCAAAGTATTGGGATTACAGGTGTGAGCCACCGCGCCTGGCCAAACTTTTTTTTTTTTTTTGAGGCGGAGTTTCGCACTTGTTGTCCAGGCTTGAGTGCAATGGCAGGATCTCGGCTCACTGCAACCTCCGCCTCCTGGGTTCAAGCGATTCTCCTGCCTCAACCTCCTGAGTAGCTGTGATTACAGGTGCCCACCACCATGCCCATCTAATTTTGTATTTTTTTTAGTAGAGATGGGGTTTCACCATGTTGGTCAGCCTGGTCTCAAACTCCTGACCTCAGGTGATCCACCCACCTCGGCCTCCCAAAGTGCTGGGATTACAGGTGTGAGCCACTGCACCCGGTAATATAAGTTAAACTTTAATTTTAATTTTCCAATTGTTTGTTGCTAGTATAGAGACATATAACTAATTTAGATATATTGACCTTGTACCTGGAAACCTTGCTAAATTCATTTATTAGCTTTAGTAGGTGTTTTAAAAATTCATGATTTCCTATGTACAAAATCATATCATCCGTGACTAGAGAAAATTTCACTTCATTCTGTCTAATTTTTATGCTTTGTGTATCTTTTCTTGCATTATTGTACTGGCTGGGAATTACTACTGCATACACATTAGAATGAATAAACATGAAAAATACTAAAAACATCCAATATAAAACAGTACTCCTACTTTGGAAAAAAAGTTTGGCAGTTTCTAATAAAGTTAAACATATGGTCAGGTGCAGTGGCTCACACCTGAAATCCCAGCACTTTGGGAGGTCGAGGCGGGCACATCATCTGAGGTCAGGAGTTGGAGACCAGCCTGGCAAACATAGTGAAACCCTCGCTCAACTAAAAATACAAAAATTAGCCGGGCGTGGTGGTGCGCACCTGTAATCCCAGCTGCTCAGGTAGGAGGCTGAGGCCAGAGAATCGCTTGAACCTGGGAGGCGGAGGTTGCAGTGAGCCAAGACCGAGCCACTGCACTCCAGCCCGGGTGACAGAGCAAGACTCCATCTCAAAATAAATAAATAAGGCCGGGTGTGGTGGCTCACACCTGTAATCCCAGCACTGTGGGAGGCCAAGGTGGGCAGATCACCTGAGGTCAGGAGTTCAAGACCATCTTGGCCAAAATAATGTAACCCTATCTCTACTAAAAATACAAATATTAGTCGGGCGTGGTGACAGGTGCCTGTAGTCCCAGCTACTGGGGAGGCTGAGGCAGGAGAATCGCTTGAACCTGGGAGGCAGAGGTTGCAGTGAGCAGAGATCGCACTGCTGCATTCCAGCCTGGGTCAACAGAGTAAGACCTCCATCTCAAAAATAAAAATAAATAAATAAATAAATAAATAAAAATAAACAGAAACTTCTCTTACTAGGACCCAGCAATTCAACTAGTTGGTATTTGACCAAAATAAATGAAAACATGTGCCCACAGAAAGTCACGTAGAAGAATGTATATATTTTCTTTATTTATAATAGCCAAAATTTTAAAACCTATATATCCACTTACAGTATAAAGGATAAACTGTGTCACATCCAAACAACAAAGTACTACTTTACAAAAAAAAGAAACAAACTACTAATGTATACAACAACATGAATGTATCTCACATATATTAGGCTGAGCAAAAGAAGCTGGACACAAAGAGCACATACTATATGATTTCATACACATAAATATACATACACATTTTTTAGAATAGGGAAAACAAATCTATGATAAAAAAAAATCAGAACAGTTGTTATCTCTGAATGGGGAAGTGACTGACTAGGAAAAGACTTATAGGAACTTTCTGGAGTGATGGTAATGTACTGTATCTTTTTTTTTTTTTTTTTTTTTGAGATGGAGTCTTGCTCTGTTGCCCAGAGTGGAGTGTAATGGCACAATCTCAGGTCACTGCAACCTCTGCCTCCCAGGTGCCAGCGATTCTCCCTGCCTCAGCCTCCCAAGTAACTGAGATTATAGGCACATGCTGCCATGCCCAGCTAATTTTTGTATTTTTGGTAGAGACGGGGGTTTCACCATGTTGGCCAGGCTGGTCTTGAACTCCTGACCTCAGGCCTCTCAAAATGCTGGGATTACAGGCATCAGTCACCACGCGGCCAATGTATTGTATCTTGATAGGGGTGTGGGATACAAGGGTACATGCATTTGTTAAAGCTCAGAGAATTGCACACCTAACATTGTATGTTTCTCAGTATGTAAATTTTACCTCAAAACATTATAAATAAATATTGAATTTTAATTAGGTTTGCTTTTTCGGAGGTACAGGTTAGCAATTATGAATCTATCTTCTGTACATTTTAGGCTTAATCAAGTATATTGGCCAGGCACGGTGGCTCATGCCTATGATCACAGCACTTTGGGAGGCCAAGGCAGGAGTACTCTTTGAGCACAGGAGTTCAAGACCAACCTAGGCAATATGGCGAAACCCTGTCTCTACAAAATAAACAAATAAAAAAATTAGCCAGGCGTGGTGGTGCACACCTGTAGTCCCAGCTACTCAGGAGCCTGAGGTGGGAGGATAACTGGAACCATAGATAGATAGATAGAGGATAATAAGAATCAGGTTTCTGACTGTTAAGGAAAAAAAAAAGTACGTGTGCAAAAGAAGAACACTAGAATGCACCTTGTGAAGTTGGACTGGAATTAGATGTATATAAACTGATGAGAGAGAGAAAGAGAGGAAGAGATATCTGTTTGCTAAGAGGTCCTAGAAGTAATGACAAACCAATAGAGATAAACACATTTGGTACCCAGATCTTGGTTTCTAAAATACTACCACTCTCCACTAAAAGGAACCAGGGATCCTCAAAGAAATGGCTGATTCCATGGCTAAGGTAGAGAAAGTACAAGAAGGGCCTGAAACAATTTATGCCGAAAAGAAAGTGTCAAAGAATTAAGGGGACATGTTAAAAGAACATAGGAGCCCAAAGGACACAGGAGTCAGCTTGAAGGGACTGTCACTGACCAAATCTGGATAATTTAACCACGAAAATAAACGTTAACAGGTTATAATCCATTAAGTAAAATAATAATCCATAAGTTCATACTGATATAAATAACTGGATGTATAAAGAAAGAAATGAAGAAGAATGTAAAATTCAACTAATAAATATAGAAGGAGTGGTATATTTAGAAAAACCTTAACGGATGCCACAGTGAAAGTTTAGTGTGGAACAGTATATTTATGTAGTCTCAAAATACCTTGCCACACATTACTTATTAACAAACAAAGGGGAAATGGTAACTTTGAAGTGGAATAACTTTGTGGACACCACCTTAACCAAAAGATAAAAGCTAATGTTATCAATACTGAGATATGCTGGGTTGGCATAATGTAATTTTTGATATGATGCAAAGGAAAGGACACAATGTTATTTCAGAGGTATTCCTGCCAAAAAGTATAACCTGAATCTCATCACGTACAAACAAAATAAATGCAAATTAAAGGACGTTTTACAGAAAAACTGGTTTGTAGTTTTCAAAAATGTCAAGATGAAGAAACATAAAAGCTGAAAATTCCAGATTGAAGGAAATTAAGATGACAAGAAATAATACAATGTTTGATCCTGAATTGAATCCTGGACTGGTAAAAAATATAAATCATTATTGAGACAATCAATAAAATCTGAATATGGACTATGGATTAGACAATAGTATTGTATCAACATTAAATTCCTTGATTTTGATAAATTAATACAGTTATAAAGAAAACGTCTTGTTATTGGGAAATATACACTGAAGTATTTAATGAATAAGTGACATGATTATATATATAATTAGAAGAGATATATGTACACACATATATACATATAAAATTGAAAGTGGGGAGTAGAATGACATGTAGTTCTCAGTGAGATAACGGTTCTGTTGGATTGACAGAGAAAGCTATAACCATTAAC
The DNA here is from genome assembly GCF_000001405.40 of Homo sapiens. Taxonomy (NCBI): domain Eukaryota; kingdom Metazoa; phylum Chordata; class Mammalia; order Primates; family Hominidae; genus Homo; species Homo sapiens. Next base: position 149,566,745 of record NC_000005.10, on the reverse strand, counting down.
AAGTGAATAAACTGGTCCTTGTCACACACTGGAAGGACAGTGAACTTGAAATTTCATGTCCTGGCTCCTCCACTTACTATCTTTTGTAACTTTGGACAAGTTAACTAGCCTGTCTTAATACTTAGTTTCCTCATTTGTGTGAGCTGGGTATAAAAATCTGGGGTGATAACGATACCCCCAACATAAGGTTTTTTGTTGTTGTTGTTGTTGTTGTTTGGTTGGTTTTTTTGGGGGGGAGGATGGGGGGGTTGAGACAGTCTCGCTCTGTCACCCAGGCTGGAGTTCAGTGGCACAATCTTGGCTCACTGCAACTTCTGCCTCCCAGGCTCAAGTGAATTCTCCTGCCTCAGCCTCCCGAGTAGCTGGGATTACAGGTGCCTGCTACCATGACCAGCTAATTTTTGTATTTTTAGTAGAGACAGGGTTTCATCATGTTGGCCAGGCTGGTCTTGAACCCCTGACCTCAGGTGATCCACCCACCTCAGCCTCCCAAAGTGCTGGGATTACAGGTGTGAACCACCTCGCCTGTCCCACATAGGGTTTTTGAAGGTTCAATGAGTCTAAACTTCTTCCAAAGCCATAGATAAAATAGAGTTTCTGGGCCAGGCACGGTGGTGCAGGCCTGTAATCCCAGCACTTTGGGCGGCCAAGGCGGGTGGATCACCTGAGGTCAGGAGTTCGTGATGAGCCTAACTAACATGGTGAAACATTGTCTCTACTAAATATAAAAAAGCCAGGCGTGGTGGCACATGCCTGTAATCCAAGCTACTTGGCAGGCTGAGACAGGTGAATTGCTTGTACCTGGGAGGCGGAGGTTGCAGTGAGCAGAGATCGCACCATTGCACTCTAGCCTGGGCAACAAGAGGGAAACTCTGTCTCACAAAAAAAAAAAAAAAAAAAAAAAAAAAAAAAAAAATTAGAGTTTCTGACATTACAAAGCTAAGACCAGATTGTGGAATCACATGTCCTCACCAAGTCATGATGACCATGAAAGGCCCTGTCTGATCAGTAGTATAGTCTAGATCTAGGCTGTAAACCTCATAAGGGCTGGGGCTATCTTTTTTGTTCTTCATTGCAGTCCTGGCACTTAGTGCAGTGACTGGTCCAAAGTGGTATTCAATAAATAAGCCCAGTGCTTACAGCCTTAGAGACATGCCTCATGGCTATCATTGCTGGTGGCCACCTAAAAGGCTAGGTATATTTCAGTGTCTCTTGGTAGCCAGTATGCTTTTGCCCATTCATAAATATATGTTGTATAGTAGATAGTAGCACTGATCTGGAAATCTGGAAAACTGGCTCTGCCATTATTTTGACTTTGTCCCCTGCTGCCTATGCCTGTCACTCATTAAGCCACAAAATATTTACTAAATACTTATTACCCAGTGTGCTAATGCTGAGGACACAATGCAGATATAACTATAACAGGACTTATTCTCTGCTGTCATGGCTCATCGGTCCACTGGGAGAAACCAGTTTATAGCAATTATAATACAGTGAGATGGCACTATACTAGAAGGAAGAACAGGGTGCTTTGGGAGTAAATAAAAGGCCCCGTTTTTCTTATCCTGCATACATGAATTGATGTGCCCTAATTTGGTCCTTTTCATTTACCTTGTTCTGAAAGCACCACAGGTTTGCTCAATCTCCTAACACTTGCCTGGCTCCTCAAATGTTATTTTGGCCTCCTTGACTGTAGCTCCTTGCTGGGTATTTAACATCTGACTGTCCAGATTCAGCTTTCTGGCTGTGCCTGATGCTAGGCCACAGAAGGCTGGCTAGAATAACAATTACTGATCATATCCTCAAGATGGCAGCATTGTATAATCATTAAGATCACGATGTGCCATGGGTTCATTAACATACCTTGCTGTGCCATACCATGGGATCTACTAAGAGGATGTCTGGGAGTTGTTTTGTTTTTTTGAGAGAGTTTCACTCTTGTTGCCCAGGCTGGAGTGCAATGGCGCGATCTCGGTTCACGGCAACCTCCGCCTCCTGGGTTCAGGCGATTCTCCTGCTTCAGCCTCTTGAGTAGCTGGGATTACAGGCATGCACCACCACGCCCAGCTAACTTTGTATTTTTAGTAGAGACGGGGTTTCTCCATGTTGGTCAGGCTGGCCTCGAACTCCTGGCCTCAGGTGATCCACCTGCCTTGGCCTCCCAAAGTGCTGGAATTACAGGCGGGAGCCACCGCGCCCGGCCGAGGATGTCTGTTTTTATATCTTCCCTTAATCTTGAAAGAGATGAGCAGTTTCCTTCCCAGGGTGTTTTGTAGTCCTGAGATGCATAAACGGGAGAAATGAAAAAGCAGGTTCTTTGGAGTAAGAAAAATTTGAGTTCAAGTACAAGATGCAACCTTGAGTCATTTAGTGCACCTGGGCAAGTTAAGTAAGATATCTGGGCTTAAGTTGCCCTATCTAAAATTTAAAACAATGAAATTATTTTCCCAATGAAATTTTTTTATGATATAAGATAACATACGTAAGACTAATATTGTATAAAGCACTGTATAAATATTAAAGCACTTTGGGAGGCTGAGGCAGATGGATTGCTTGAGGACAGGAGTTCAAGACCAGCCTGGTCAACACAGCGAAACCCTGTCCATCTCTACTAAAAATATAAAAATTAGCCAGGCGTGTTGGTGCATGTTTACAATTTCAGCAACTCAGGAGGCTGAGGCATAAGAATTGCTTGAATCCAGGAGGCGAAGGCTGCAGTGAGCCAAGATCGCGCCACTGCACTCCAGGCTGGCCGACAGAGTGACTCTGTCTCAAAAAAAAAAAAAAAAAAAAAAAAAATTTAAACTAATTATTACCTATGCGTGGGAAAATCAATCAGTGTAGATGAAAACTCAAACTCAATATCTTCACGTTGATTAGAAGAAAGGTTCTAAAACCTTTAGAATAATCTAGAAATTTTTATCTGTTTCCTATGACACATCTGAAAGTCTACAGTGATGACCTTGTCAAAAGGAATCTTCTACACGAAGATACCAGAAGTGGTCGTGTCATAGTTGTTACACTTTCTTATTTTTGGCTTTGGACAATAATTGTAAAGTTTCTATTTCAGCTGAAAGCTTGTCTCCCTCCCCCAGGAAGGTTAGAGAAAGTCACCTTTGGCTTGAATTGCCTAATAATAACAGCAGCAGAGTATATTTCTAAGAGGTTTATGGCCTAAACAAAGTGCTCTCACATATCCTATATCAACTAGGGCAGAAGCTATGGCAATCAATGATACAGTGTAGGACACAAAAAAATACAGGCTAAGAAGAATGACAGAACTTGAAATCCTAAGCCACAAATCATCAAAACATGGCTTGCATATAGGTTAGAGGGGGCTAGAAGGTAAGTAGAAAGAGTCTTAAGTCTATCATTTGCCTGGCCTACAGAACACACACAAGGAAGCAAGATTTAGGAGCTCAGATCAGGTTCGGAGTCTGACAGGAAGCAAGAAGGGTGTAGAAAGGCTGGTGGGTAGCTAAGGTTTAAATAGGTCAATTGGCTTTAGAATCTGACAGGGAAGAGGCAGAAGAAATGAACACTGATGAAGCAGGAATAAGCAGCATTGTCTAGGAAGGATGGCTGGTGGGGACAGGAAGACAGAGGTGAGTAACCGGGATCAGACAGCTGGATCAAGGAACTGGACAGCACACCAGGAACTGCTGGGTTTGAGATTCAGACACGATGAAGATGGGTGCTGACTCTCAAAACTGTGGGAATTCAGGCACAACTGGAAGTCAGACCCTGATGGAACACCAAGCGGCAGAATTGAGATTTATTGAGCTGCAGATGAACTATGTAAATGAGCCAAGGGGGGAGGGGGATGATTTAAGTCAAATGTAAGCCTACTTAGGTAATCTCTGCTACTTTACTCCCCATTCAGATCTAGAACAGGCAGAAAGCTCTGGACAGGACATGTTCCCTGTAAAAGTAAACAGACATACATCATAGAACAGTGGTGTGGAATGTAAGGAATCCTTCTCAAAAAGCTGGTGTTCTTGGCCGGGCGCGGTGGCTCACGCCTGTAATCCCAGCGCTTTGGGAGGCCGAGGCGGGCGGATCACGAGGTCAGGAGATCAAGACCATCCTGGCTAACACGGTGAAACCCTGTCTCTACTAAAAATACAAAAAGTTAGCCGGGTGTGGTAGCCGGGTGGGCCCTGTAGTCTCAGCTACTCGGGAGGTTGAGGCAGGAGGATAGCGTGAACCCGGGAGCTTGCAGTGAGCCGAGATCGCGCCACTGCACTCCAGCCTGGGCGACAGAGCGAGACTCCGTCTCAAAAATAAATAAATAAATAAATAAAAATAATAAAAATAAAAGCTGGTGTTCTTGGGTAAGCTCTGGCTTCCTCACACCTACGATGGATACAATAGCTGCAGTTACCTAGCTCTTATACTGGCCAGGAAAAACACAAGTCAGTGAATCACAAAATACTCTATGAACTATACAGTGCCATATAAATACAAACTGACTTTTTATGCTTTGTGGATTAGGGCCCTAAAACCCAAAGTTCTTTTTTTGCCCAAAGTTCTTTTTTTCCCTACTCAGCGCCCTGGCTCTGTTCACTGCAGAAAGTCTTTTTGCAGTGGTGTTGGGCTTAGCCAGGCTGAAATGGAGCAGTTAGTTCATTTTCTGTGATAAGTATCAGTGCTTCCTGGCATCAGCATGGAGAGTTAAGAGTTAACAGGATGTGTTCTTAGGACCAGCTCTCCTCAGGAATGGCAACTCAAGCATCTTCCAAATTTAGTCTCACAAAGAAGAGTTAGATTACTATAGTGAGTAATAATGAGTCACGAGGAGCACAGTTTCATGCCCTTGCTAATGAACAATGCAGAGGAAGAGAACAGGGGCTGAGAAAAGAAAGGGACATAGAAATTGCAGAAACTCCAAAATACTATAAAATTCTTCCAAATAAAAATAGCTAACACAAATATTCCAAAATGCCACATATGACAGCACATTTCCAGGAATTAATGGTTGTTGTGATTAAAATAGAAAATTTAAAATACAATTTGATTATCTAAATATTGCCGGGACAGACTGATTAGAATAAGGTAATGGGAGTGGGATAGGAAACACAGGCGAAATGCAGCATTTAGTCTTTTTTTGTGCTTCTCAAGTCCTGGCCTTATCAGTAATGTTTTCAATGAGTAGATGGAACATTGATGACTTGAATTTCCTCCCTGTCAGGACATATCTCTGGCATTGCATATATTACACTGCAGAGTGTTCATTGCAGACAAACGAGTTAAAGCCTCCGGCATTATTTCACAGTAACTCTTTGCCAAGGATTAGACTACGTTGAAGAGTAAAAGTCATTTTGTGTTTTCCCTTTATGAAAATCTATGCAAGGACTTTTCAGACTAAAAGAGATTTACAGAGGTCACTTAAGTAATGCCCCTCCCCCACCCCCAGGGAAAGCTATACTGAAAAGTAAGGTATAATTATTGCCTTTTTTTTTTTTTTTTTTTTGAGACAGAGTCTTGCTCTGTTGCCCAGGCTGTAGTGTAGTGGCGTGATCTCGGCTCACTGCAACCTCTGCCTCCCAGGTTCAAGCAATTCTCCTGCCTCAGCCTCCCGAGTAGCTGGGACTACAGGTGCTTGCCACCACGCCCAGCAAATTTTTGTATTTTTAGTAGAGAAGGGGTTTCACCATGTTGGCCAGTCTGGTCTCGAACTCCTGACCTTGTGATCCACCTGCTTTGGCCTCCCAAAGTGCTGGGATTACAGGCGTGAGCCACTGCACCTGGCCAGTATCTTCTAATTTCTAACTACCTATCTATTGGTATGTTTTGCGGTTAGAGAATCTGATTTTCCTAACATTTAAGTATTAAAGAGCACAAGTCAAGATCTGCCTGTCAGAATTTTACATTTTATCTGAATTTTAAGAAGCTGTAAAAGACAAAGAGTATGTTAGTTTCTTCTTTCTACTTCAAAATATAGGAGTCATCATCAATAAATGGCACAATTTTTTTTTTTCTTTGAAAGTACAAACAGGGTTTTACCACATTGCCCAGGCTGGTCTCAAACTCCTAAGCTCAAGTCATCTGCCCCCTCGCCCTCCAAAGTGTTGGGATTACAGGCATGAGCCACCGCACCCAACCAATAGCACAATATTTTTAAAGCAATCTTAAAATCTGACATCTTTTAAAAGATTACAACATTGAAGTCCAGGAAAATATTTAAGGTAGAGTCACAATTAAAATCAGATTTCCTGACTAAGGTCAGGATAACATTTTCTGACATAATTTAACCTGTCCTTAAATACCCAACTAAAGGGATAATTTGGTTTCTCTTCTCCCACCCCAAAATAATTTTTAAGAATAATATAGGCCAGGTGTGGTGGCTCACGCCTGTAATTCCAGCACTTTGAGAGGCAGAGGTGGGCGGATCACCTGAGGTCGGGAGTTCGAGACCAGCCTGACCATCATGGAGAACCTCGTCTCTACTAAAAATACAAAATTAGTCGGGCGTGGTGGCGCATGCTTATAATCCCAACTACTTGGGAGGCTGAGGCAGGTGAATCACTTGAACCTGGGAAGCAGAAGCTGTGGTGAGCCGAGATCATGCCATTGCACTCCAGCCTGGGCAACAAGAGTGAAAATCTGTCTCAAAACAACAAACAAAAAAACAAACAAAAAAACATGAGATTACTTTTTCTCATACTTGGCTCACTGTAGTTTTGATTCCGAAGACATCTATTCTGTTTTCCAGGAAACTCATTCTCTTTACCCCACCCCCTGCTGCTTGCTTCCACCGAATCTAAGAATCTATAGAACTCAATTGCTTCACTAATGGGCAACAAATGTGTCTTGTTAGCTATGTCATAAAACAGACATTTTTAATAGCATGAGCACATCCTTGCAAACAACAGACTTGCAAAATTCTTGAGATTTTGAAATTGGGGGGAGAGAGAGAATAGGGGAATTGCACAATTAAATGTATTGAGTTTTAGAGCAATATGCTGGTCAGAAAAGAAAACCTAACAATCTCTTTTAAGTCTGTAAAGATAAATGAAAAGATTGAATAGTCCATGAATACGGGTTTAATCACCACAAACTATATCAAAACATAATTGGAAATTGTTGTTTATGATACAAGGAATTTTAAGAAGAGTAGCATTTCTAGAAATATATCCTAAACCACTTAATTTTAGATGCCAGCAAAGATTTAGCTACAGGAATATTCATTACAGCATAGTTTGTTTATATTAGCAAAAGTTTGGAAACAACCAGAATACTCAACGAGGATTGGTTAGATGTTGTTCCATCAATATGATTCATTATTAACATATGGACATTAAAAGTGATATTTCAGAAAATTAGTTATATGGAAACAGGTCTCCGACAAATCACTACATGAAAAACACAGATCTCAAAACAAAATGTATACCATGACTAGTTTTTGCACATTTGTTCCCCGCCAAGACGGAGTCTTGTTCTGTCGCCCAGGCTGGAGTGCAGTGGTGTGATCTTGGCTCACTACAACCTCTGCCTCCTGGGTTCAAGCAATTCTCCTGCCTCAGCCACCCGAGTAGCTGGGATTACAGGCATGTGCCACCATGTCTGGCTAATTTTTGTGTTCTTGGTAGAGATAGGGTTTTACCACGTTGGCCAGGCTGGTCTCGAACTCTTGACCTCATGATCTGCCCACCTCGGCCTCCCAAAGTGCTGGGATTACAGGCGTGAGCCACTGTGCCTGGCCAGTTTTTGCAAATTTTAAGAAATGAAAAATAAAATACGTACTTATATTTTTTGGGACAAGGTCTCGCTCTGTTGCCTGGGCTAGAATGCAGTAGTGTGATATGCAGATATACTGATACACATACACATATATACATATGCATAGAAAAATGCTGGAATTTTATACAGCAAAATGTTAACATTTGGTGATTACCTCTAAGAGATTTTTGTTTTTTTCCGATTTATCTGAATTTTAGAAATTTTTCAATGTCACATTTATAAGGAAAGGAACAGTAAATATTTTATACATATAAAAATATATATACACACACACACACACACACACACACACACACACACACACACACACATATATATATGGTTTTTTAAAGATCATTGGGTTGTCTGGTTGGGCACAGTGGCTCACGCCTGTAATCCCAGCACTTTAGGAGGCCGAGGAGGGAGGATCACTTGAGCCCAGGTATTCAAGACCAGTCAGAACAATATGGTGAGATCCCCTTCTCTAGTTCTTTCTTTCTTATTTTTTTGGTGAGAGGGGGACTGAGTCTCGCTCTGTCGCCCAGGCTGGAGTGCAGTGGCACAATCTCAGCTCACTGCAACCTTTGCCTCCTGGGTTCAAGCCATTTTCCTGCCTCAGCCTCCTGAGTAGCTGGGATTATAGGCGCAAGCCACCACGCCCAGCTAATTTTTGTATTTTTAGTAGAGACAGGATTTCACCATGTTGGTCAGGCTGGTCTCGAACTCCTGACCTCGTGATCCGCCCGCCTCAGCCTCCCAAAGTGCTGGGATTGCATGGCGTAAGCCATGGTGCCCGGTCAGTCCCTGTCTCTATTTCTAAGAACGTAAAAAAAGAAAGAAAGAAGAAAAAAGGGCCGAGCACAGTGGCTCATGCTTGTAATCCCAGCACTTTGGGAGGCCAAGTCAGGTGGATCACCTGAGGTCAGGAGTTTGAGACCAGCCTAACATGGCAAAACCCCGTCTCTGCCCATCTCTACTAAAAATATGATAATTAGCCAGTCGTGGTGGCAGGCACCTGTAATCCCAGCTACTTGGGAGGCAGAGGCAGGAGAATTGCTTGAACCCAGGAGACAGAGGTTGCAGTGGGCCAAGATCGTGCCATTGCACTCCAGCCTGGGCGACAGAGTGAGACTCTGTCTCAAAAAAAAAAAAAAAAAATTATTGGGTAAACATATAGAACTTACCAATCTTTAGAATCTAGAAGCTATATGAATCAAAAGAATAAATATATTCAAAAAATAACATTAATTGAAATAAATGTATGGTTAATTAGGCCATAAAAAGTAAGCAATACATGCAGTCTCAAATGGGTTTGAAGTTGCTAACTGTGGAAGCTAAAGCAACTCCTCCTGGATGGGAGGCTAAAGCAACTCCCTGTTAGGCCAGGTGCAGTGGCACATGCCTGTGGTCCCATTTACTTGGGAGGCTAAGGCAGAGGCTTGCTTGAGCCTAGGAGTTTAACGCTGCAGTGAGCCATGATCACACTACTGCACTCCAGCATGGGCAACAGAAGGAGACCCTGTCCCAAATAAATAAATAAATAAACAAACAAACAAACAAACAAAGCAACTCCATCTTGGAAACTAAGCCACCATTTTGGCTTAACTGCAGTTCCAGGAAGTCCTTGAAAATTCCCAGTTTATCTATGTTCCTTGTGTAACAGCAGATATTTACTGTAAATCCTACTCTTAGGTCAAACAACTTTGATGTTATCCACTTCAATTGTCCTACAGGTCATATCTGAACCATTCCTTTCCCTGTGGTATATAAGTCCTGGGTCTCGGGCGTAATGGCATGGGTATCCACCATCTTGGTTTCTGTTCCTTGAACTCAATGGCTTCTGTTCGAAGTCCCTATTAAATGTTTCTTTCTTAAATACTGTATTTGTCAGCTTCTTCCTTCAGCATCCCAACTTCCTCAGACTTTGGGGTACTTTTGCACAGACCTAGCCACCGCAAAACACTGTCATAGATGCAGCAATCCACTTTCACAAAACCCCATGGACAATGCAGAGGGGGAGAACAGGGACTGATTAAAGAAAGGGACAGAAATGGCATCACTATCCAAGACTGAAAAACAGGCTGAATGGATTATCACTCTGACCCAACTGCACATTTCTAATGTCTTCATGTTTTCAATTACTCCATGAATTCCCTTATCTGATGCTGATTATGCACAGGACTGTGTAAGAGTTAAACAACACCTGACACTGGTGACTCACACCTGTAATCCGAGCATTTTGGGAGGCTGAAGCAGGTGGATAATCTGAGGTCAGGAGTTTGAGACCAGCCTGGTCAACACGGAGAAACTCCATCTCTACTAAAAATACAAAATTACGGCCAGGTGCAGTGGCTCATACCTGTAATCCCAGCACTTTGGGAGGCCGAGGCAGGTGGATCACCTGAGATCAGAGGTTTGAAACCAGCCTGGTCAACATGGTGAAACCCCGTCTCTACTAAAAATACAAAATTAGCTGGGTGTGGTGGCACATGCCTGTAATCCCAGCTACTTGGGAGGCTGAGACAGGAGAATCGCTCGAACCTGGGAGGCGAAGGTTGCAGTGAGGCAAAATTGCACCATTGCACTCCAGGTTGGACAACAAGAGCGAGACTCCATCTCAAAATAAATAAATAAATAAATAAATAAATAAATAAATACAAAAACTAGCTGGGCATGGTGGCATGTGCCTGTAATCCCAGCCACTCAAGAGGCTGAGGCAGGAGAATCACTTGCACCCGGGAGGCGGAGGTTGCAGTGAGCTGAGATCGCGCCACTGTACTCCAGCCTGGGCGACAGAGTGAGACTCCATCTCAAAAATAAATAATAAATAAAATAAACAACACTTGGGACACTGACGTTTCTAAGGCATTCCATTTTTCTATTTACTTGCACCAAACAATTCTAGAGATTGGCAGGCTACCCTTCTGTTTTTAGCATCCATCTAGACTTCTTGTGCTTGTCTCTATCATTTCACTCAAAGCACATTCTGGATACCAGTGACCGTTGCTTGAGTAAACACTGTGGCTTAAAAAAATGGTTTTTGTTTTTATTATTTTAAAACATTTTTGTAGTGATGTGGTCTATGTTGCTCAGGCTGGTCTTGAACTCCTGGCCTCAAGCGATCCTCCTATCTCAGCCTCCCAAAGTGCAGGGATTATAGGCATGAGCCATCACACCCAGCCAAGAAAAAAAAAAGTTTTAAAATTCATCTTGAATTCCCTACGAACACAGAAGTAATCCCTGGGACATGATTGTCCTAATTTGTGTTCTACTCTTTCCTTTTTCTCTTTCTTTTGGTAGTAGTTGTGGCTCTAGTCCTGTCACTGCCACTAAGATCTCTATGATTTTGGGCAAGCCACTTTGTCTTACTGGGGCACAAATGATATGTGTGAAAGTACTCTAAATTGCAGGCTGGGTACAGTGGTTCTTGCCTGTCATCCTAGCGTTTTGGGAGGATGAGGCGTCAGGATCACTTGAGTCCAGGAGTTCAAGACCAGCCTGGGCAACAAGGCAAGACACTATTTCTACAAAAAGTTAAAAAAAAAAAAAAAATTAGCCAGGCATGGTGGTGCCTGCCTATAGTCCTAGCTACTGGGGAAGCTTGAGGCAGGGGGATTGCTTGAGCCCAGGAGGTCTAGACTATAGTGAGCTATGGTGGTGCCATTGTACTCCAGCCTGGGTGACAGAGTGAGACTTTGACTCATAAGTAAATTGCAAAGCATTAAAAAATACAATTATTATTATTGAACTAGGTGATCTCTGTATTTCCCTCAAGGTCTAAAATTTTTATTTTTATTCTACACTTTTGATATTTTTAGTGAATTCATCTGATCTAGAAGCCAGAAATTGCTCTTTGAAGACTCCTTTCTTTCTTTCTTTTTTTTTTTTTTTTTGAGACAGAGTCTCACTCTGTAGCCCAGGGTGGAGTGCAATGGCACGATCTCAGCTCACTGCAACTTCCGCCTCTCGGGTTCCAGCGATTCTCCTGCCTCAGCCTCCTGAGTAGCTGGGACTACAGGCGCCTGCCACCACGCCCGGCTAATTTTTGTACTTTTTAGTATAGACGGGGTTTCACCATATTGGCCAGCTGGTCTCGAACTCCTGACCTTGTGATCCGCCTGCCTTGGCCTCCCAAAGTGCTGGGATTACAGGCGTGAGCCACCGTGCCTGGCCTAAAAGACTCCTTTCATTACACCAAAGCTGCTGCTGATTCAATAAGTACAGAATGATTTGTGACTTTAACAGCAACACCAAAAACAGGTTATTCTTCAATCTTTTAGGCTAAAATTACTGCAAATGATACATGACTTTAAGAAGAAGGCTGAGTCATAGCCAACACCTGAGGACTTCATTTTCTATGTAAAAAAAAAAAAAAACAATTTTGCCATTCTTAAATCCAATAAATTTAAATCTTAAGAAACTAAAATCACATTTGAAAAGGCTAGACCCACTCACATCTCATTTTTGTGCATTTTGCTGGGCACTGTCAGTGTTGGAATGGTGACTATAGCAGGCAGGAAACAAAGGAGGACTCATACCTTATATACAAAATTATAGAATCTCAGGGTTAGAAGGGTTTCCAGAAGTCATTTAGACCAGTAGAATTTAATGGGCTTACACAAGTTCTAAAAAAAAGGCGAGGAGGATTAGACATACAAGTACCTATCATTCATTCATTCATTCATTCATTTATTGAGACAAGGTCTCACTCTGTTGCTCAGGCTGGAATGCTGTGGTTTGATCATAGCTCACAGCAGCCTGGAACTCCTGGAGTCAAATGATCCTCCTGCCTTGGCCTCCCAAAGTGTTGGGATTACATGCATGAGCCACCGTACGCAGCTTTCAACTTTTTTTTTGAGACAAAGTCTCACTCTCTTGCCCAGGCCGGAGTGCAGTGGCACAATCTCGGCTCACTGCAATCTCTACCTCCCCAGTTCAAGCGATTCTCATGCCTCAGCCTCCCAAGTAGCTGGGATTACAGGCATGCGCCACCACGCCCGGCTAATTTTTGTGTTTTTAGTAGAGACAGGGTTTCACCATGTTGGCCAGGATGGTCTCGAACTCCTGACCTCAGGTGATTGCCCTTCCTTGGCCTCCCAAAGTGCTAGGATTACAGGTGTGAGCCACTGCACCCGGGCTCAACTTTTAACCGAGCAAGAATATTTTAAAAACCAAAACCATCTACCATCGGCACCTTTTTATAAAAGAGCATTTTAATGACACATATGTGAAAAGACTAAATCTCAGAATGAAATATAATGTGAAATCAGATAAATAAATGAAAGATGTATTGCTTACTTTTCTCACATCCTCATGGCAAACTTTGTTAGCCACTTGCACCTGTCCATACACAGATCTTTGGGAATCACTAATTTAGACCACTTCATGCCCACCCTTACCCTGCCCCCGGCTTCATTGAGCATTTTTATCACAATACCAAAATATCCGTCTAAATGTATACCTCATCCCCTTATGGAGAACTCCTCAAGCTGAGGAATCCATTAAACTTTGGATGTGTGTGAGAAAATTAGCAGAAAAGGAGTGATCTCTGGAAAACTCAAGATGCTTAAACTTGGCTTTTTTTTTTTTAAGACCAGAATTGATTAATTAATTAATTTTTTAGATGGAGTGGAGTCTCGCTCTGTCTCCAGGCTGGAGTGCAGTGGCACGATCTCGGCTCACTGTAACCTCTGCCTCCCAGGTTCAAGCGATTCTCCTGCCTCAGCCTCCCTAGTAGCTGGAGCTACAAGGCACATGCTACCATGCCCAGCTAAGTTTTGTATTTTTAGTAGAGACAGGGTTTCACCACGTTGGCCAGAATGGTCTCGAACTCCCGACCTCAGGTGATCCAGCCGCCTCGGCCTCCCAAAGTGCTGGGATTACAGGTGTGAGCCCACCATGCCCGGCTGCATTTTATATCAGAATTTAACAGCAGATTTTAACTTAGTCAAAACATGCTTTAGAGTCACCAAAGGAGAATGATGTCTAACAGTGCTGATTTGGGAGTTGGGCACCCTGAGTGTTGGTTGGGCTTTAAAAACTTCATGCTAAACTTCAGGGGAAGTCTCCTCCCCTCTCTCTTCAGTTGTCTTCCGAGATGAACCCTATTACTAATTACTTGACCACCTTTCAAAGTTGCAGTTAAAATTCTTCACATTTTTCTCCCATTTCTATTTAATTAATTATTTTTTTTTTGAGACAGGGTCTCTCTGTTGCCCAGGCTGGAGTACAGTGGCGTGATCTAGTCTCACCGCAACCTCCGCCTCCCGGGTTCAAGCGATTCTCAGACTCCCGAATAGCTGGGGTTACAAGTGTGCGCCATCACACCCGGCTAATTTTTGTATTTTTAGTAGATACGGGGTTTCATCATGTTGGCCAGGCTGGTCTCGAACAACTGACCTCAAGTGATCTGCCCGCCCCGGCCTCCCGAAGTGCTGGGATTACAGGCGTGAGCCACTGCGCCCGCCCCCCATTTCTATTTTAATTAAATTTTATTTAGGATAGGCTTAGCTTAAATTTTTACGACTGAGGTCTGACTTAAGATGATAGCATCAACCATGGAGTTTTCTTTCGTGAACATTATTATTACTAAGCCCAATTTTCCCAGGTCAAATTTTGTAAAACAAAACGTGGTCAAAATTTGATTCTCTGATCGATTTTTTGTAAAAAAGAAAAAAATTACCGTGTAGTTTTAAATGTTGTCAATTAAATTTTGTAATAGTTACCTCTACTCTGTTCAGGTTAATACTGAGGTTTTCAACAAGACCAACATACGATTCTTTTTTTTTTTTTTTTTTTTTTTTTTGGTGGGGTTGAGGGGACATAACAGTTTTTTCACTCTTGTTAAATTAATTTTCTGTTGATTCCATCTATCCTTAATCTTCATTATGAGCAACATACCAGGTTTTCTTCTGAAGATCATATGTGGTAGTGAGGCAATAATGCAAAGACATAGGATGGCAGGGGGATTCCGGCTTCTTTCTTTCTTCCCCTCCTGTGGAAAGAGGGTCTATAACACTCCGTAGTAGATAGGACAATTCTAATTATGAAGGGTAATTAGCTAGGCTCTGCTACAACCGAGAGCCCTGAGAGATTCCTCGACGCTGGCTGCTTTTCTCTTCCTCTCCACCAGAGGCGACAGCCTCTTTCCAAACAGAAACTGGGTTGGAATAGGCCGGTCCGGGGGAACGGCCAGAAGAAAGATCAAAGGTTAAAAACCGCCTCAAAGAGCACAGGTCAATACCCAACTCCTAAGGAGGCCTTAAGCTTTCATCTGCCACGAAACATGAAGGTGACTCCTCCCAATATCAAGGCCGGGGGGCCACTCAGCCTTCCAGAGACCCGGCGGGTCCGAGGCGAGTAACAGGTAACACCTGCTGAGCCGCCGCCGACCGGAAGTGGAAGAGAGCCCGGGACGGGGGTGAGGACAGGCCGCGGCACGCCTGCGCAGTCAGCAGGAGTTGCAGCGCTCATGCGCAGCTGGGCGGTGACAGGGTGACGCTCGGAGCGTGGGCCGCGACTCTCACGGATCCGGTTCCGCCCTCTCGCTGCCGATCCTTCGGAGCGAGCGCCCGAGATCCCTTTCCCAGAGTGCTCTGCGCCGTGAAGAAGCGGCTCCCGGGGACTGGGGGCATTTTGTGTTGGCTGGAGCTGGAGTAACAAGATGGCGTCGTCCGCGGAGTGACAGGGGTCCCTCTGGGCCGGAGCCGGCGGCAGTGGTGGCAGCGGTATCGCCGCCCTAGCTCACCGCGCCCCTTTTCCAGCCCGCGACGTCGCCGCGCAAGCGAGGCAGCGGCGGCCGCCGAGAAACAAGTGGCCCAGCCTGGTAACCGCCGAGAAGCCCTTCACAAACTGCGGCCTGGCAAAAAGAAACCTGACTGAGCGGCGGTGATCAGGTTCCCCTCTGCTGATTCTGGGCCCCGAACCCCGGTAAAGGCCTCCGTGTTCCGTTTCCTGCCGCCCTCCTCCGTAGCCTTGCCTAGTGTAGGAGCCCCGAGGCCTCCGTCCTCTTCCCAGAGGTGTCGGGGCTTGGCCCCAGCCTCCATCTTCGTCTCTCAGGATGGCGAGTAGCAGCGGCTCCAAGGCTGAATTCATTGTCGGAGGGAAATATAAACTGGTACGGAAGATCGGGTCTGGCTCCTTCGGGGACATCTATTTGGCGATCAACATCACCAACGGCGAGGTAATCATCTGGGGTGGGGTTCACGATAACGCTGCGCTTTTACTCATTCCCCCCACCACCACCGTGCACCCCCAAAGTGCTCGGGCCTCTCCTCATCGCACGCACTCGCCAGGGAGTCCAGGGAGCTAGTTTTCCTGGCTTACGAACCTCGTCCGCTGTCTCCCTAAAAGGGTCAAGAACCCGATAGAAAGGTTGGGGGAACTAGTTTCCCACCTTGTTAAACACGTCCCATAAATGTCCCTTAGTCGAGCTTTTTTTTTTTTTAACCGTCTTTTAAGGTGGAAACGGCAAAATCCTCTTTCAGTGATTCCCATGTTTTTTTTTTTTTAATTCTTAATTCTACTGGGCCTCTTGTTCCAATTAGAACAGTTTCCGATCGCCTAGTTCCTTAAAAACCTCTCACTACGTTCAGAGGTTGCCTCTTTTTTCTGGATGAATCATTTTCCTGCACTTTAGAGGACGTACGGATTTCGTCACTACCCCCTGAAGAGGCCTTTGAGGCTGGTTGCCTCGTTTTATAATTACCGAGAGCTTTCTCTTTCCAGCTTTTCACTTCTTCTTGTAGTCGCGACTTGGAGTTTTGCTAATGTCTCCCTCCTTTCCTAAGTGACATTGAATCCGTAGGGATGTTGATGCCATCATCCCCTCTTTCCCCTGCAGGAAGTGGCAGTGAAGCTAGAATCTCAGAAGGCCAGGCATCCCCAGTTGCTGTACGAGAGCAAGCTCTATAAGATTCTTCAAGGTGGGGTTGGCATCCCCCACATACGGTAAGAACCCGGTGCATATAGGCGATCCGCTGAGGGAAGCACGGAATGGGGAAGTGGGTAGAGGCAGGTAATGAGACCAGCTGAATCCGGGTCTTGGTGTTTTAGTTACCTGGGTTCCCTATAGCTGGTGGTTTCCTGTAAGTCAGTCATCTCAATTACTGAGTAAATTTCAGTTTGCCAACTTATTTCATTGTATTACACTGCTCCATTTCGCTTCCGTCATTCTCACTCTTCCCGAGGCTTTCATTTGCAGTTATGCGTGCAGGTCATCTTTGATCCCTACGCGGAAGGGTTGGCTGCTGCCTTTTTTACGGCGGCACTTCTGATGTACTTAGGTTTGTCCAGTGAAGTGGATTTGAAGGTGCCGAAGCGACCCGGCAGTGTCAGTTCGAGTTGCTATTGGAGCTGGCTTGGGAAATGGCTGCTCTTTTGTTGTGTTTTTGTTCCAACATGTCTTCCTCCTCCGCTTAGAAAATGGCGGAACGACGTGACTCAACCCCATATTCCTGCCCTTTTCTCAGCTTGAGTTCACAAATTATGCTTCCTTGATTCCTCCTTTAGCAGCCCCGAGTGGATTAAACCTTTGAAAAGCCAAGAATAAAGCTGCAGGAGGCGGTGTGGAGGTTCGAGGAAGGAGATGGCATAGTGACAGTGTTTGTGATCTCTGCAGCAGATGTGACACGAAATTGTTGAATTACACTATGTAAAATCCTTCGTAGTTCTTTTAAAAGTGTTAATTACTCTTTCTTTTCGTGAATGGTCATATTTGGCACGTTTCAGTCGGGACTAAATTTGTATAGGTAGTGGCAAAGGCAGTTTGAGCAGCACCAACTATGTTAAAATTTACTCATATCAGTTGTATTTAAAAAAATCTTAATCACTTAGCCACACTTTGATAAGTAATTTTAACCTGTTGAGTTTGTCAGTAAATCTTCACATCAGAGAAATTGGGGCCTTTGTTGGTGTGGAATATTGGTGAGTGCAAATAGCAGTAACGAGGATAAAAGATGACGAGATAGACATTGTTCTGTCAAATGGTTAACTTTACTTTGGAGGGTTTTAATGTTTTAACTTTTGGGATTAAAGATCCTCTTCATGGAATGGAGACTAAAATATAGTTTAAAGCCCAGCTATTTTCCAGCAATAATCTAAAATAACATTTGCAAAATTATTCAGAATAGGTAAGAATGGTACTTACTGTTTACTGGAGCCTCTTCTTTAAGACGGAGTTTTCGCTCTTGTGGTCCAGGCTGGAGTGCAATGAATGGCACGATCTTGGCTCACTGCAACCTCTGCCTCCCGGGTTCAAGTGATTCTCGTGCCTCAGCCTCCTGAGTAGCTGGGATTACAGGCGCCCGCCACCACGCCTAGCTAATTTTTGTATTTTAGTTTCACCACGTTGGCCAGGCTGGGCTCGAACTCCTGACCTCAGGTGATCTGCCTGCCTCGGCCTCCCAAAGTGCTGGGATTACAGGCATGAGCCACTGTGCCCGGCTTTTTTTTCTTTTGAAACGGAGCCTTACTCTGTTGCCCAGGCTAGAGTGCAGTGGCGCAACCTTGGCTAACTGCAGCCTCCGCCTCCCAGGTTCAAGTGATCCTCCTGCCTCAGCCTCCCAAGTAGCTGGAATTGCAGAGCTGCACTACTACGCCTGGCTAATTTTTGTATTTTTAGTAGAGCTGAGGTTTTGCCGTGTTGGCCAGGCTGGTCTCCACCTCCTGACCTCAGGTGATCCACCTGCCTCAGCCTCCCAAAGTGCTGGGATTATAGGCGTGAGCCACCGGGCCCAGCCTGTTAGCCCCTTTTTCTATTCCAGTTTGTATTTTTCATGTCTTGAATTAAGGACTGGGTTGCATAGTCTTTACATGGAAACAACTCAAATAAAACTGTCCTTAAAAAGAGTTCCAGCCAGGCGTGGTGGCTCACGCCTGTAATCCAAGCACTTTGGGAGGCCAAGGCAGGCAGGTTACTTTAAGTCAGGAGTTCAACACCAGCCTGGCCAACGTGGTGAAACCTCGTCTCTACTAAAAATACAAAAATTAGCTGAGCATGGTGGCACGTGCCTGTAATCCCAGCTACTCGGGAGGCTGAAGCAGGAGAATAGCTTGAACCCGGGAGTCGGAGGTTGCAGTAAGCTGAGATGGCGCCACTGCACTCCAGCCTGGTGACAGAGCGAGACGCCATCTCAAAAAAACACAAAAAAACACAACAAAAAAAAAAACAAAGTTCCAATGCTGATTTACAGTTTTAATGGAGAATTGAGTGATAAAATGTGCTATTGGTTGTAAATGAGCAAGTAAATCATTTGGAAGAAAGTTGCAAATTTATCTTATGAGGTGAAGATTAAATCTGAGATGATATAGATTTGAAGTTTTTAAATCATTCTTGCCTTTAAAAAAAAAACCTACTATGTGGGAAAATAAGGCCCCTCACCCCTGATTTGCTTTCCATTACTATAGTTTTTCCTAGAATTTCATATAAATGGAATCATACGATATGAGGTCATTTGTGTCTGGCACTTTTCACTTAACATAATGTTTTTGAGATTCATCTATGTTGGGAGATTTTATAAATTTCACAAATCAGGTTAAATTTAATGTATTTGAAATCAGTTTCAAAAAGCATTAAGCATTGTCATTTTTCAGTGCTAAACCCAAGTACAGTACATGTCCTTTTATCTGGTAGCTTTTATTTAAGACCTGATACAGACCCATAAGGGCAATGAGTAATGTACTGAATAAGCACATGAATAAATTAACTTCTGAGCAGAATTATAGTAATAGGTGCCTATTATAAGGTGGTGAGTGCAGAGAGAGTTATGGTAGTTATAAGCTGTCTGTGGGTGAGGCTAAACAGATTAACCTGACTTTCAAGTTAAGGCTTCCTGAGAGATGGGATTTCAGGATCTGGCTCTAAGGAAGAAAGCTTGGTGAACTGGTTTGGTAAGGCATCCAAGAATAGAGTGTGGCTTCTGGGTGTAGTCTCTAAAGGAGAACACAGTAATTGGATGAGAGTGTGGAAAGGGTAAATTTGCTTTAGGAGTGGTAGGGTCAGGTACATGGAAACAAAAGTGGTTCATTGGTTTTAAAGTGAAATGTAAAAAAAAAACTGTTTCCACTGAAGCAAAAAGGATAAAGATTTATGTAAACATTCTTTATTTGGGTAGCAGCATCTTCCCATCCCCCTCAGTTTGTTCCCCACTATTTCTGTATCACCTATACATGGTACATACTTAATAAATATTTACTCGGAAAGTATTGAATTAAGTTGACTATTTAGTGTTAGCTAGATAAAAGTTATGTGTTATCTATTGTTTTAGAAGTATTGTCACTAATTTAAAAAATTTAGATTTTGCTGCCTTTATCCTTCATATACAAATTTGTTCAATCCCTTCCCTATGTTTTCTGTTACAAAATTCCCTATAGGATTTGCTTTTTTTTTTTTTGACATGGAGTCTCACTCTGTTACCAGGCTGGAGTGCAGTGGTACAGTCTTGGCTCACTGCAGCCTCCACCTCCTGGGTTCAAGCAATTCTCCTGCCTTAGCCTCCTGAGTAGCTGGGACTACAGGCACGTGCTGCCACGCCCAGCTAATTTTTGTATTTTTAATAGAGATGGGGCTTTACCATTTTGGCCAGGATGGTCTCCATCTCTTGACCTCGTGATCTGCTCGCCTCGGCCTCTCAAAGTGCTTGGATTACAGGCATGAGCCACCGCACCCAGCCAGGATTTTCTTTAAGATACTTTGGTATATCTTACAACAGAGACTGAAAATTACCTGGCCTGCGTAGATGACCTGCTGAATCAGGTCCTTCCTGTGTAATTTGAGAGACCTATTGTTAAGAAGCATAGCATCCTGAGTAAAGAGCAAGGATAAGCCGGGCGCCATGGCTCACGCCTGTAATCCCAGCACTTTGGGAGGCCGAGGTGGGCAGATTGCCTGAGCCCAGGAGTTGGAGACCAGCCTGGGTAGTAGAGACAGGTGAAACCCTGTCTCTACTAAAATACAAAAAAAAAAAAAATTAGCCTGGTGTGGTGGCGTGCGCCTGTAGTGCCAGCTACTCAGGAGGCTGAGGCAGGAGAATTGCTTGAACATGGGAGGCGGAGGTTGCAGTGAGCCAAGATCGTGCCACTGCACTCCAGCCTGGGCGACAGAATGAGGCTCCGTATCAAAAAAAAAAAAGCAAGGATAAGAGAATGGCATCCATTTTCTTGATATTTTAAGAAATGAAGCTTCCGGTTCTAGGCACTTGGAGAGCCGCGGCTTAAGGTACAGACATGGCCAAGTCCACGAACCACACCACACACAACCAGTCCTGAAAATGGCACAGAAATGGTGGGCTCCAGGTTCCTGAGGAACATGCACTTTGCCAAGAAGCACAAGAAGGGCCTAAAGAAGATGCAGGCCAACAATGCCAAGGCAATGAGTGCACTTGCTGAGGCTAGCAGGGCCCTCGTAAAGCCCAAGGAGGTTAAGCCCAAGATCCCAAAGGGTGTCAGCTGCGAACTCGATTGACTTGCCTACATTGTCCACCCCAAGCTTGGGAAGTGTGCTTGTGTCCGCATTGCCAAGGGGCTCAGACTGTGTGGGCCAAAGGCCAAGGATCAACCAAGGCCCAGGCTGCAGCTCCAGCTTCAGTTCCAGCTCAGGCTCCTCCCAAAGGCTCTCAGGCCCCTACAAAGGCTTCGGAGTAGGTATCTCTGTCTGCCAACGTGAGGACAGAAGGACTGATGCAACCCCCCTGGGCTGCCGTCTTTATGGGGCTGGGGTCCTCCTGTGCTATTAGTACAAATAAACCTGAGGCAGGGGAAAAAAAAAGAAAGAAAATTCTTGGACCTTGTCAATTAATATGTGAGAGCTCACTTAAAATTACAGTTGACCCTTGAACAGTGCTGGGGTTAGGGGCACTGAACCCCAGCCCACTCCCACTGTGCCCCACAGTCAGGAATCCAAGTGTAACTTTTTTTTTTTTTTTGAGATGGAGTCTTGCTCTGTCACCCAGGCTGGAGTGCAATGGTGTGATCTTGGCTCACTGCAACCTCTGCCTCCCAGGTTCATGGGATTACAGGCGCGCCGCCACACCCAGCTAATTTTTGTATTTTTAGTAGAGACGGGGTTTCACAGTGATGGCCAGGCTAGTCTCAAACTCCTGACCTCAGATGATCCACCCACCTCGGCCCGCCAAAGTGCTGGGATTACAGGCATGGACCACTGCACCTGGCCCCAAGTATAACTTGACTCCCCAAAAGCTTAACTACTACTAGCCTACTGTTCACTGGAAGCTTCACCAATAACATGATTGGTCAATAACTATATATATATATATATATATATATATAAAGCTCTTTACCCTCATCATCCTCACTTTGGGCTGAGGAGGAAGAAGAGGGGTTGATCTTGTTTGGGTAGCAGAGGCAGAAAAAAACCTGTGTACAAGTGGACCTGTGCATTTCAAGCCCCTTTTGTTCAAGGGTCAGCTGTATTGAGTTTCTGTTAAAACCTTTTTTTGTGTGTTCCATTCTAAATTGAATTAAGTTCTCCAAAGGAACAATTTAAAAATTTTTTTAAATTTTTTTTATATAGATGGGCTCTTGCTATATTGCCCAGACTGGTCTTGCATTCCTGAGCTCAAGTACTTCTCCTGCCTCAGCCTCCCAAAGCGCTGGGATTATAGGCATCAGCCACCGTGCAATGACCCAAGAAACAACTATGACATACCGAAAAATTCTTTATCTAGATAGGTTTTGGAGGTTTGAGCTGTAGATCTGCCATGTGATATTGACTGGGTCATCTACAGTCAGTCAGTTCCTTAATGTGTGTAAGCCCATCTGTTTCCTCATTTAGAACATAAAAAAAGGATTGTTCTAATGGGAAGGAGAGTGCTGAATAGAAAGATTTAGGGCTGCCTACCCTTCTTTTGCCAGCTAAATACTCATTTCCATTTGCCTTTGCATACTGAGCTTTTGGGTAGGGTTTTGTTTGAACAAGGGTTCCCTACTTAAAAGTGTCACTGGCCTCATTGATCCTAAGGACTTTTAGTCCTGGAATTTTAAGACCTATTTTCAAAGGATAGTAGCTAGAAAAAAAGCATTCCAGCAGTTTGATATTGTGTCTACTACTTGCCTTCCTTTCTTGTTTTTCCTATTTTTCTTTCATCTTTTATTATTTTTATTTTTAGCGGCAGGTTCTTGCTCTGTCACCCGGGCGGAGTGCAGTGGCTATTCAGAAGTATGATAATAGCACACTACAGCCTCAAACTCCTGGACTCAAATGATCCTCCTGCCTCTTAGCCTCCTGAGTAGCTAGGACTGCAGATGAATACCACCTCTCCCAGCTGCCTAGTGTGTTTTAATCACTATTTTTGCCCTCTGTGTCTGAAGGTCAAATGTTTTAGAACGTATTTATAAAGCACTAGTTAATCCTTACTCTTCACTTTTAAAAGCAGCTTAATCTTATCTTTGGCACTGAGCATATATCCTGTGAATAACATAATGGCTGTTATCAGAGAATAAAGATGACGCTGCATTGGATATGTCTTCATTAAGATATATTACAGTGTCCATGCTTAGCTTGGACTAAAAAAAAAAAACCAGAAAAACGTACGTCACAGATCACGAGAAATGTGCTTTTTAACTTGAAGGGAAACTGAATTCATGGTATACTAGAGCTGCTTTATACTGGCTTATGAGATAATGTAATAATGCTAGGTAGCATTTTAAGCTGGACAAAATGTTAGAGATGTATATAGCCCTATTCCTACTAATACAAATTAGACTGTTGAATCTCAGGGGAGTTACTGGAGTGTCCTAACTTCCAGTTCTTCTGAGAATCATTATCACCCTTATGTCAAGGTCAAATCATGCCCTCTCACACACTCCACATCGTTTCATTTGATACTGGAGAGCCATCCTGTACTTCTTCACTTGTTGGCATTTTGCCTCATAGACAAGCTGAAGAGCTCTTACATAAATATAAGTAACCTATTTGTATTTAATTAGATGCTTACGATTCAGGGTGTTCTTATTCTCCCTTTTGAATCTGTGGATTGCAGGATAAAAACTTGCTGGAAATTATTAATTTGTGGCCAGGCGCAGTGGTTCACACCTGTAATCCCAGCACTTTGGGAGGCCAAGACGGGCGGATCACCTGAGGTCAGGAGTTCGAAACCAGGCTGGCCAACATGGTGAAACCCCATCTCTACTGAAATACAAAAATTAGCCAAGCATGGTGGTGTGTGCCTGTAGTCCCAGCTACTTGGGAGGCTGAGTCAGGAGAATTGCTTGAGCCCGGGAGGCAGAGGTTGCAGTGAGCTGAGATCATGCCACTGCACTCCAGCCTGGGTGACAGAGCGAGCCTCTGTCTCAAAAAAAAAAAAAAAAAAAAATATATATATATATATATATACATATATATATATATATATATATATATATATACATATATATATATATATATATATATATATATATATATATATATATATAAATTTGTATCTCATTTCGGAGTAAATGCTTGAACCCATGTAAAGTATGTGGGTTATTCCTTGGCTTTAGTCAGTGGTCCCCAGCCTTTTTGGCACCAGGGACAGGTTTCGTGGAAGACAGTTTTTCCACAGACTGGAGCAAGTAGGGGGTGGGGTGGGGGTGGGAATGATTTTGAGATGATTCAAGTGCATTACATTTATTGTGCACTTTATTTCTATTATTATTACATTGTAACATATAATGAAATAATTATACAACTCACCTTGATGTAGAATCAATGGGAGCCCTGGGCTTGCTTTCCTGCAACTACCTGCTTCCATCTGGGGGTCATGGGAGACAGTAACAGATCGTCAGGCATTAGATTCTCATAAGGAATGCACAACCTAGATCCCTCTGATGTGCAGTTCACAGCAGGGTTTGCGTTCCTATGAGAATCTAATTCTGTTGATCTGACAGGAGGCTGAGCTCAGGCGGTAATGCCAGCTTTGGGGAGTGGCTGTAAATACAGATGAAGCTTCACTTCGCTTCTATACTGGATACCGGTCAGTGGCCCAGGGATCAAGGATCCTTGGCTTTAGTCATTTCTGGACCTAGATCTTTTTTTTTTTTTTTTTTTTTTTTTGAGATGCAGTCTTTCTCTGTTGCCCAGGCTGGGATGCAATGGCGTGATCTTGACTCACTGCAACCTCCACTTCCCAGGTTCAAGTGATTCTCCTGCCTCAGCCTCCTGAGTAGCTAGGACTACAGGCATATACCACCATGCCTGGCTAATTTTTTTTAGTAGAGATGAGGTTTCACCATATTGGTCAGGCTGGTCTCGAACTCCTGACCTCAAGTGATCCACCTGCCTCGGCCTCCCAAAGTGCTGGGATTACAGGCGTGAGCCACCGCACCTGGCTAGATCATTTTGTTTTAAAGTATATTTAAGCTGTACCTAAAATATCATTAAGTCTTGGTTTTCTCATGATCTGTCACTGTTCACCAGGGATTTTTGCTGTCAAGAATGAGTGTCTTCATAACTTTCATCATTTAACTTGGTGTTCAGTGTATGCACACAGGTAAAATGATGCTTTATTGTGTTACTGTTTTTGTTTCTAATTTCAATCTCAGATGGCTCTTAAAATTTTGGTTGACTGGCCGGGTGTGGTAGCTCATGCCACACCTGTAATCCCAGCACTTTGGGAGGCCAAGGCGGGCGGATCACTTGAAATCAGGAGTTTGACACCAGCCTGGCCAACATGGTGAAATCCTGTCTCTACTAAAAATACAAAAATTAGCTGGCCATGGTGGCAGGTGCCTGCAATCCCAGCTACTCGGGAGGCTGAGACAGGAGAATTGCTTGATCCCAGGAGACGGAGGTTGCAGTGAGCTGAGATCACGCCACTGCACTCTGGCCTGGGTGACAGATGGAGACTCCATCTCAAAAAAAAAAAACAAAATTGGTTGACCAGTATTAACATAGCATAAACTAATGCATGTTTTAGTGGGATTTTTATTTTTAATTTTATTTTTTGAGATGCAGTCTTGCTCTGTTGCCCAGGCCAGAGTGCAGTGGCGCAATCTTGGCTCACTGCAACCTCCGCCTCCTGGGTTCAAGTGATTCTCCTTGCTCAGCCTCTGGAGTAGCTGGGACTACAGGTGCCCGCCACCATACCCGGCTAATTTTTTTTGTATTTTTGTAGAAATGGGGTTTCACCGTATTGGCCAGGCTGGTCTTGGACTCCTGACTTTGTGATCCGCCCATCTCGACCTCCCAAAGTGCTGGGATTACAGGTGTGAGCCACCATACCCTGCCGGATCAGTTTTGACAAATGCATATGTTGGTGTAACCTACATCTCTGTTGAGATAAGGACTATTTGATTTTTTTTTTGTATGCACACATTGCTCATCCTTGGTAAGTTCTATTCTGTGACAGTGTTAGTTTTATTTTATTTATTTATTTTTTAAGTCTGTCTTTTGGATTACAGCTAAGCCTTATTTTTCTCCCCAGTCCCCAGTTAAGCATTATTTTGGTGTTGGTTTTACTATAGATTAATAGTCTGTTTATCACCATGAGGTACATTATAGGATTTATCTGACAAAATTATCAGATGGTGGTTGTGTTGCAGGTGATGGTAGTAAATATGGTATTCAGTGATAATTGAGATCTTTACCTTGCTCTCCTTTGAAGAACTAAAATACTGCCTTTTTCTTGTCGGTGTGAGCAGTGGGGTATGTTATGGCCCTTTAATGGGGATTTTGGAAGTGCTACACAAAACGGTTTAGCTGAAGAGAGTACATTTCAATCCTCAACATAAAGGGAAATGGAAAGAGCATTGTATTATGAGTCAGGGTTCTGCCTGTGATGCCATCTAGATTTGAACCTATTAATAGAATGAATTCTATAATTTGTAAAGTCAGTTCTTACTTGTAAAAGGGTTTTCGAAAGCCCAACAAGGTCTTAAGGGTTTTTTAATGTGTAGTATATATTGATGGAATCAGTAGGACAAAAGATGCCTCTTGTTCTCTGATGTAATGATTTGTTCTAATTTTAAGGTATAATTGCCTTTTATTTATTTGTAATGTTGATAAGTACTTTTGAAATAAGGGAATAATTGGTTGAATTCAGTGTGGCTAAACATTCTTTTTTCCCTCTGCATGCAACAAAAAGAGTCCAATATTATCCAGGCATTGCATACGGTCTCATTTAATCATTACACCAATCTTGTAAGTTGGTGTTTCTTATAAAGTATGTGAGTCAAAGTGGTTAATTTGCCTAAAGTCACACAGCTGATGTGTGATTTGTACAGGTCCTACTGCATCTTTCAGCTCTACCAGTGGTTCTCAAATTTTGCTGCAAATGGAATCAAATGGCAAAGTTAAAAAAAAAAGACAACTAATCCCTAACTGCAAGTATTTTGATTTAATTAAATTGGGATATGACGTAGGTATCATGATTTTTAAAAGCTCCCCAGGTGATTCTGATATGTAACAATTAATAATTGTTATTAATCCCCAAAATATAGTATATTAATAATTAATAACAATAATTTTTGCTTTGCTACTCACCCCCATCAACCCCCATCTTTTCCTAGAATTACAACCTAATAAGGCTATACTCTTTTCTTTCTTTTTTTTTTTTTTAAGAGTTGGGTTCTTGCTCGGCCGCCTAGGCCTGGAGTATAGTGGCTCAATCATAGCTTACTGCAGCCTTGAACTCCTGGGCTCCAGTGATCCTCCTATCTCAGCCTTCTAAGTAGCTGAGACTACAGGCATACACCACCATACTTGGCTAATTTTTATTTTTATTTTTTAGAAATAGAGTCTCACTGTGTTGCTCAGGCTGTAAGGCTGTGTTCTTAATTTATATATTTCCTCTTAGAATTAATTCAGGAAATCCTGTAATAGGCATCATGATACTGGAAAGTACCAGAAAGTACATATAATCCCATGTAATCAAATGCTTTGATTTCTGGAAAGTGTCTAAAATCGATGTATGAAACCATTTACCTCTTCACATGTTTCAGATGCATTCCTACAATAATGCATTCTAGAAACTCCTTGAAGGAGAGAACTGTCTTACTCATAGAGGTATCTTGTGTTTCTTATTGTGCCAAGTACAATAATGAAATTCTACTTTTATTATATATCTATATACATTTAATTTTTTCTTTTTCTTTTTTTTTTTTTGAGACGGAGTTTCGCTCTTGTTGCCCAAGCTGGAGTGCAATGGCACAATCTCGGCTCACCGCAACATCCGCCTCCTGGGTTCAAGTGATCCTCCTGCCTCAGCCTCCTGAGTAGCTGGGATTACAGGCATGCGCCATCACACTCGGCTAATTTTGTATTTTTAGTAGAGACGGGGTTTCTCCTTGTTGGCCAGGCTGGTCTCGAACTCCTGGTCTCAAGTGATCCAGCTGCCTTGGCCTCCCAAAGTGCTGGGATTACAGATGTGAGCCGCTGTGCCCAGCCATTCACTGTTAGGTTGAGTTTGGTTTTGTGTTTGGCTGTTTGCCCTTGATTGAAATTATTACCACCAAGCTGTACTTACAGAAATCCTAGTGTTCCCATTTTTGAACCTCCATAATATTATTTTTTATCCCTCTTAGAGAAGTGAGTGTTGTTAGCTTCTATTCTTCAAACGAGAGCTCTGATAGTTTGAGACTCTCTTGGTGAATTTAACATACAACACCTTGTACAGTACGTTGAAGAGAACAACCATTTCTTTCATTCAGTTGACATTCACCTGAGGGTACCTACCCTGTGCCAGTCACAGTTTAAGAAACTGGACAGCCGGGCGCGGTGGCTCATGCCTGTAATCCCAGCACATTGGGTGGCCGAGGCGGGCGGATCACCTGAGGTCGGGAGTTCGAGACCAGCCTGACCAACATGGAGAAACCCCGTCTCTACTAAAAATACAAAATTAGCTGGGCGTGGTGGCACATGCCTGTAATCCCAGCTACTAGGGAGGCTGAGGCAGGAGAATCGCTTGAACCTGGGAGGCGGAGGTTGCAGTGAGCCAGGATCGCGCCATTGCACTCCAGCCCGGGCAACAAGAGCGAAACTCCGTCTCAAAAAAAAAAAAAAAAAAAAAAAAACTGGGCACACTTCATTGAACAGACAATGATTTTGTGAGGCTTGCATTCTTTTTGAGCATCTGCTGTGAGCCTGGCATGTAATTGTGAATTTGTCTCCTGCTGAAAATTAGGAAGGATGTCTAAATCTCAAACTATGTGAGGACATAAATGTTTACTTAAGAGGGTAGCATATTGAGATGAGCCCCAAACAGTACCCTGAAACATTTAGAGATTGCCTTAGTTAATTGCAACAGTAGGACCCCGTTAAGACTATTCATGTGTATCCTTCTAAGTCAGCATTTTTCCAACCTCAGCTGTGTATAAATAATTACCACTTATAGAGTTTGTAAAAAATTCAGGTTACACTGCTCTACCATCAGATTTTTGTTTGACCAATTCTGGAGTGGGGACCAAGAGTTATTTTTTTTCTTTGTTTTGTTTTGTTTGTTTTTAATGTAATTACCACAAGGAATTTCTACTAAAGACCAGAGAACCACACTGAGAAATTCTGTGCTGAGGTTTTGGCACTCCATTGTATCAAGCTGTTGAGGGTAGTTAGTGAATTTTGCTGAGTGCTATGGCTGTTGTAGGAAATGGTATTGTCTTGGTTGTTGGCATTTTATCATTGTTGGTCAACTGTTTTTTGTTTGTTTTTCACTAGAGATGGAGTCTCACTCTGTCGCTCAGGCTGGAGTACAGTGGCACGATCTCGGCTCACTGCAACCTCTGCCTCCTGGGTTCAAGCGATTCTCCTGCCTCAGCTCCCTGAGTAGCTGGGATTACAGGCGCCCACTACTGCACCCGGCTAATTTTTGTATTTTTAGTAGAGATGGGGTTTCACCATGTTGGCCAGGCTGGTCTCAAACTCCTGACCTCAAGTGATCCACCTGCCTCAGCCTCCCAAAGTACTGGGATTACAGGTGTGAGCCACTGCACCTGGCCAGGCGACTGCTTTTTGTAATAAGAATAATAATCCCTTATTTATGTAATGCTTTGTAATTTATCAAGTGCTTTTACATAAACTCTCATAATTACCACAACACCTTTTGATAAATAAATAGGGTTATATTAAGAATCTTTGACCAGTGAGCAGAAATCACTTACACAGAGTCACAGAGCAAGAAAATAACAAGCCAGGACTAGAACCTATGTTTCTGGCTGCTGGTCCAGTATTCTTGGTACTATGTTACATATACTGTCAACTTAGCCAGCTTCCCATTCTTAAACCTAACTGCAGATTTACTGGACTACTTTTTAATGGTCTGGTCACTGAAGGACTTACTTTTATGAATATTACTTAGTGCTGTATTATTCAGGGTTGCACAGACTTGATAGCTATTCATGTATTTGAATAGCCATCTTTTCTTTCTTTGAGGTTGTATCATTCCTTTCTGGTAGCTTGTGTTGCTTCTTCCATTTTCCTTTTCCCCTTTGCTGTATGTTTGCAGCCCAGGCATTGTGTCCTTTCTTCTGTATTTGCTACGTAAAACAAACATATCAAACTTTGGAATGTTCATTGTTTTCTTTTTGTATTCATTTTCTCCACTAATGAAGATAATTTAATTTTGCCTTTTTGTATCGTTTTTGTCTACAGTTTCTTATCTAGAATACTTAGCTCTATCCATTTAAAGAGGATTTTCTAAGCAAATTAATTAATGCAAAGTAGGGGGAAGTGTTCCCTTCATCCAGTTATTTGTTCTCTTAGTATCTTCATACAGAAACATTGTCTGTAATACAAGTGCTAACTTATAGTGCAAAAATTACCCTAAAGAAAACCATTTGAGGCTGGGCACGGTGGCTCACTCCTGTAATCCTAGCACTTTGGGAGGCCGAGGTGGGCGAATCACCTGAGGTTGGTTGTTCCAGACCAGCCTGACCAACATGGAGAAACCCCATATCTACTAAAAATACAAAATTAGTCAGGCGTGGTGGCGCGTGCCTGTGATACCAGCTACTCAGGAGGCTGAGGCAGGAGAATCACTTGAACCCAGAAGGCAGAGATTGTGGTGAGCTGAGATCATGCCATTGTATTCCAGCCTGGGCAACGAGAGCAAAACTCTGTCTCAAAAAAAGAAAGAAAGCCATTTGGTGGCTGGGTGTGGTAGCTCACCCCTGTAATCTCAGCACGTTGGGAGGCTGAGGCGGGTGGATCACTTGAGGTCAGGAGTTTGAGACCAGTCCCCCCAACATGGCAAAACCCTGTCTCTACTCAAAACACACAGAAAAATTAGCTGAGTGTGGCAGCATGTGCCTGTAATCCCAGCTACTCAGGAGGCTGAGGCAGGAGAATCGCTTGAATCTGGGAGGCAGAGAGGTTGCAGTGAGCCGAGATTGTGCCAGTGCATTCCAGTCTGGGCAACAGTGAGACTCCATTTCAAAACAAAAACAAAGAAACAAACAAAAAGAAAGCCATTTGGTCTCTTAATAGTGTATTAGGAGATATTTTATAGGAGTGTGTTTGATTTCTTTTTTTCTTTCTGAAACTTTTTAATGTACATGTTATCCCTTTTTAAGGAGTGGAGGTAAGTCACTTGAGCCTTAAGAATTTGAGGTTTGAATTAGGGAGTTAGGAAGGGGGCCCAATTTTAGTATTTTACAAGTATGGTGGGTGGTAATGGCTTTGGACATGTTGAAATTAAGGTGAATGGCATATTGTGTTTTACTCTTGTGTAGTAAAGTTAGCAGCAAATACAGAACTGAGCCTAGGCCAGGGAACTGGGATTGGGGTTAGATCTAAGCAAGATCAGCATGTAAGTGATAGTGGAGAAAGTAAATTGAGAGGTGAGGACTCATCCCCTTGGTGGAAATTCGGAATTAATAAAGCAGGAGGAGAGTCAGGATAATGGGCTGTTGAATAAAGAAAGTAAGTTTTTAGGAAGAGGTAATGTGTATCCAAGAAGTAGGAAAGAAATGAGACTTAAAGCGTTTGGGGTTTGGCTGTGTTAGAGCTCAGTACCCAACAGGTGCTCAGTAAAGTAACTTGACTCAATGATTGGGTCTGAGGATAATCCGAAGAGGGAGTTAAGTATATAGAATTGAAAGGATAAGCAGAGGCCATATTTAGGAATTTTTTGATATATGAAACTCTTGCTTTTTTAGTAGGTAAGGGGCTTTTTTTTTTTTTTTTTTGGGAGACAAGGTCTCAGTGTCACCCAGGATGGAGTACAGTGGCTAGCCTCAACAGCCGAGGCTCAAGTGATCCTCCTGCCTCAGCTTCCTGGGGAGTACAGGCGCATGCCACCACGCCTGGCTAATTTTTTATTTTTCATAGAGAGACCGGGGTCTTTGTTGGCCTAGGCTAATCTCGAACCACCTGAGCTCAAGTGATCCTCCCATCTTGACCTCCCAAAGTGTTGGGATTACAGGTGTGAGCTATCGCATGGCTCCTTTAGTTTTTATAACAGAGAAATGACACAGTAAAACCATAGAGGGGTAACTGGAACTAGGAGAATATTTAAGAAGCTAATACAATAATCCAGGCATCTTTCAAAATTTAGCCCAGGTGCTAACATTTTTAGGAAGCCTTCTTTTTTTTTTTTTTTTTTTTTTTTTTGAGACAGAGTCTCGCTCTGTCGCCAGGCTGGAGTGCAATGGCGCCATCTCAGCTCACTGCAACCCCCGCCTCCCGGGTTCAAGCAATTCTTCTGCCTCAGCCTCCCGAGAGTAGCTGGGACTACAGGCGTGCGCCACCACGCCCAGCTAATTTTTGTGTTTTTAGTAGAGACGGGGTTTCACCATGTTGGCCAGGATGGTCTCGATCTCTCTTGACCTTGTGATTCGCCTGCCTTGGCCTCCCAAGGTGCTGGGATTACAGGTGTGAGCCACCGCGCCTGGCCAGAAGCCTTCTTTTTTATCTTCTAAGTAAATTGCTTATTCCTGTATTTTGTATTTATGGTTGCCTTTATATTACACTTGTCATCTACCAGTTCTTCATCAGCTTTATTGATATAATTTACCCACATAAAGGTTAACCTATTTAAGCTGTACAGTTTGTTTCTTAGTATATGTACAAAGTTGTACAACCATTACCATAATTCAAATTTAGAATATTTTCCTCATGCCAAAAATAAATCTTGAACCCATTGTCAGTCACTCCATTTCCCGTCAGCCCTAGGCAACTACTAATCTGCTTTTATATATTTGCCTATTAGAAAACATTTGATCAA
Source organism: Homo sapiens (assembly GCF_000001405.40). Taxonomy (NCBI): domain Eukaryota; kingdom Metazoa; phylum Chordata; class Mammalia; order Primates; family Hominidae; genus Homo; species Homo sapiens. Next base: position 149,533,869 of record NC_000005.10, on the reverse strand, counting down.
GCTTTTGTAATTTGTGTTATGAAGACTATAAGTACATTTTCCACTTCCCAATGAAAAAGTGTATTTTAACATTTGTATCTCCCTGGACCTTCCAGTTCTCCACATGCTGTCCCTCAATACCACCACTATCAATGTTGGAGCAGTGATGACAAGAGCTGACAAAAGTTAGGTCATTTGTGATTTTTTTTTTTTTTGCAACTACGTCCCCGCTCAATTATTTGTGATCTTTGAAATAACACTTTGGGTATTACGGGGAAAATAACTATGTTACTGGGAACCAAGAAAAAATGAGAGTAAGATGCAAATATAAACCAGGTTTTCAAAAAATTACCTGAAGAAGAAAATAAGGTGATCTTACACACTATACCAACCTATGCTGTCACTTAGTTTCTTGTGAGCACCAGACTTCAGCCTGGTGCCAATCCACCCCTTAACCTGGGTCTCTGCCATCTGTCCTTTGAGAATCAACCTTACTTCCTCAGAGAAACTTTCCCTGATGCCTCCCTTAAAAAAAAAGATCAGATCCCCATAATTTGTGCCCCCACAATAGCACTCTTCTCTCCTTCATCATGGTGTTTATCACCCTTCCCCACTATAAGCCACGAAAGCAGCAATTATTTTGTTTTGTCTTGTTAGCTACTCTAAATATTGAATGGATAAATGAATAGTAACTTTGATAATGAACAGTGGTAAAGTTTTTTTTGTTTGTTTTTATAATTTTTGGAGTTAAGGAACATCTACATATCTTTGAAGGCAAAGGGCAAGGAACAAAGGTGGAGAATATGAAAATGTACGGTAATTCAAGGATCTTGGGGGTAATGTTGTAAGCAAAGGATTAGTAGTAACAAGGCAGCAAGAAGAGGGAAAACAAATCATCTTAGTTGACTACGTTATTGCTGAGCAAAACATACATGATTTTCAAATATTAGATCTTATTCTACAGGCTATTTATCTCAAAAGTTGGTTTGGAACAGGGGCTCTTAACCTGGTTCATAACCATATCCACCCCCCATGAGATCTATGTATTTAGACAGGTAAGGAAAATTACATTTTTATTTTCATGAGCTTCTCACTCAAATCTAGTATTTCTTTTTGATTTTAAGTGTAAGTAGGAAACCTCATGAGTTTTAGCAGAACCTTTGACTTTGTCACCAATAGAAATCACTGATTTTTGTGGGGGGTAGATGGAGTTTTGCTCTTACCGCCAGGCTGGAGTGCAATGGCGTGATCTTGGCTCACTGCATCTCCTGCCTCCCAGGTTCAAGTGATTCTCCTTAGCCTCCTGAGTAGCTGGGATTACAGGCGCCCAACGCCACGCCCGGCTGATATTTGCATATTTAGTAGAGATGGGGTTTCACCATGTTGGCCAGAGTGGTCTCAAACTCCTGACCTCAGGTGATCCATCTGCCTCGACCTCCCAAAGTGCTAGAATTGCAGGTGTGAGCCACTGCACCCAGCTAGAAATCGCAGATTTTTTTTTTTTTTAGACTAAGTCTCACTCTGTGGCCCAGGCTGGAGTGCAACAGTATGATCTCAGCATGAGCCACTCCGCCCGGCTGAAATCACAGGTATTTTATATCACATTATTGTTGCAGGTATCTTAAAATATAGTTTACACTCATTACTACATCAAAATTATAGCATTTATTAGACCTGCTCCTATATTTAATGCATTAATAAGCAGAGTGTAGGGCTGGGCACTGTGGCTCACACCAGTAATCCCAACATTTTAGGAGGCCAAGGCAGGCGGATCACGTGAGGCCAGGAGTTCAAAATCAGCCTGGCCAACATGGTGAAACCCTGTCTCTACTAAAAATACAAAAATCAGCCAGGAGTGGTCGCATATGCCTGTAATCCCAACAGGTGGATGAGGCATGAGAATCTCTTGAACCTGGGAGGCAGAGACTGTAGTGAACCAAGATCACACCATTGCACTCCAGCCTGGGCGACACAGTGAGATCCTGTCTCAAAAAATAATAATAATAAGGAGAGTATGTATATTACTATATCCCAAATTCCTTTTTTTTTTTTTTGAGATGGAGTCTTGCTGTCACCCAGGCTTGAGTGCAGTGGCATAAGCTCGGCCCACTGCAGCGTCTGCCTCCTGAGTAGCTGGGATTACAGGTCCCCACCACCATGTGCGGCTAATTTTTTGTTTTTTGTTTTTTTTTTTTTTGTATTTTTAGTAGAGACAGGGTTTTGCCATGTTGGCTAGGCTGGTCTCGAACTCCTGACCTCCAGCGATCCACCCACCTCAGCCTCCCAAAGTGCTGGGATTACAGGCTTGAGCCACTGCACCTGGCTCAAAATTGATTTTTTTTCTTTTTCTTTTCTTTCTTTCTTTTTTTTTTGAGACAGAGTTTTGTTCTTGTTGCCCAGGCAGGAGTGCAATAGCGTGATCTCGGCTCACTGCAACCTCGGCCTCCCGGGTTCAAGCAATTTTCCTGCCTCAGCCTTCCAAGTAGCTGGATTACAGGCATGTTAATTTTGTATTTTTATTAGAGATGGGATTTCTCCATGTTGGTTAGGCTGGTCTCGAATTGCCGACCTCAGGTGATCCGCCCTCCTTGGCCTCCCAAAGTGCTGGGATTACAGGCATGAGCCACTGTGCCTGGCCCCAAAATTGATTGTTTAGAAGTAATTTTATGCTAGTTCAATTTCGCTATAATTGATTTTCTTTATAATGCCTTGTATTTTATGCATTTAAAACATTCTGAGAAGAGATGTATGGGGAGAAGAGGTATCTGGTTTTGAGAATACATCTGTGTATAATGAATGGCAAATAGCTGTTAAGAATGGCATATACAAATATGAATGTATAGGAAAATTGAAAGGATTTTAGAGAAAAGGGAACAGAGTAGCTGAAACTTTTTTTTTTTGTTTATGTGTTCTTTTTTTTTTTTTGAGACAGAGTCTCGCTTTGTCATCCAGGCTGGAGTGCAATGGCGAGATCTCAGCTCATGGCAACCTCTGCTGCCTGGGTTCAAGCAATTCTCCTGTCTCAGCCTCCTGAGTAGGTGGGACTATAGGCGCCCACCACCATGCCCAGCTAATTTTTGTATTTTTAGTAGAGACGGGGTTTCACCATATTGGTCAGACTGGTCTCGAACTCCTGGCCTCATGATCCGCCCGCCTCGGCTTCCCAGAGTGCTGGGATTACAGGCGTGAGCCACCGCGCCTGGCCTGAGTAGCTGGAACTGTTAGCAGTAGTATCCTAAAGAGACAATTTGAGTTAGTTCTTACGGTTCAGCAAGATCTTGCTAGGCCAAATTCCTTTTCTGCTCCCATTAAAAAGGAGCATAAAGGTTGGATAATGATGGGCTGGCAAGAGACTAAGTTTGAGAGACAGTATCTTCAGGATATCTTGTAGGTGCTATTAAAATTGGATATATTATAGCACTGATTCAGTGTTGATACTTTTTAGTTGTTCACTGAAGACTCTGACATTAATAACCGAAAGATTGGCAAACGACTTTTTAACTTTTATAATTATTTGGCTTATTTGAACTAGGGATAAATAGATGCTTCCTGATGTCTTCACTTGGAGTGCAGGGAGTGTTTTTGCATTTCTTGTTTTGTTTTCCTTATCTGCCAAATCAAGCACTCCCTACACTGTTACAGCTTCTAATATGAGTTTTCATTATTTTACTCAGCAAATGTTTTGAGCATCTCTTGTGTATGCTGGGAATACAGATTGTGAACAAGACAAATATAATGATTGCCCCTAATTAAGTTAATAGTCTGAAGGGGAAGATCTACATTAAATTTTTTTTTTTACTGTTATTTTGTCCTGGTCATGGTGATGGAACTAACATATATTTGGGTAAAGTGCATATTACAATAATTACACTGATTTATTCTGGAATATTCTGGGTCTCATAGTAATACTTAAATATTTTTATATGAAAAATATGTATTTTTTTTCTCAAATACTCCCATTTTCATGAAGACATTTTTCAGAAAAAAGCAAACCCCTAGCTTGAAATCTCCGGCTATAGTATAACACTTCCTAATTGGTAACCATGTCATTGTCATTCCTTCCCCTGGTCCTCCATTTCCATATTGTATACTGATGCCAAGGCTAATAATTACTGATTTTAATTATGTCTCAGCCACAAACTGTAGTAATAGTTCACCCAATTATTTACAGCATGTAAAGCTCATAAGCCTTGCACTGAAGAACCTATACTGCAGCTTCAATCTATCTGCCACCTTGACTCTTCCCTTTATGACAGCCCATGCCCCAAAATGGTTTGCCCCTGCCTGGTAAGCCCTTTTCTGCCTTACTTATCAAAACACTGTTCATCCTTCAGGATCTGACTGGTAGCAGACTATTTTCCTAATACCTCTTTAGACAGATTTAGTTCTCATTGATCTTTTGTGTGAATCATGTTAGCATTTTTTGTCAGCCTCATTGACTTTTGCATGTATTGTCTTACATTTGTGCTTTTTGTGTATGTCTTAATTTTTAAATTGGATTTAATTTGGATATGCGTTTAGAGGAAAGGACATAAGAGCAGAGAGATAGACCTTGCCTTCTCTTGGCATTATCTTCAGACCTTAGATACTTTTTTTATGCTGTAAGTAAGTAATAATGGTTGTGTAAATTATGAACTCATTCTTCAGCCTAGTTTTAGGTAACACTGAAGTCTAAAGGTATAGATTTGAAACAAATGGAAAATGAGATCCCCGAACATTTTATCTTTTTAAAATTATTATTTTCACTTTCACCCATTAAATTACTTGATTTTTTTTAATGTTTCGTAACTTAGGAAGAATAAGGTCCAAATCAACTGGAATACTTTTTTTAGTCTCATAATTACCTGAGTACCTGCAATATGCACATCACTTTACCACTGTACACTTAGTAGCAACACGTCTTGTACTTAAAAATGTCTAAAGGTAAGACCTGTGTTTCTAGTTTGAAGGCCTAGAAAGTAAATGAGTGAGGTTTTTGTGTTGGTGTTTCAGACTATAAACTTAAATGGCCTCAGAGAATCGGGTTAGTGCTTGTTCATGACTCAGGTTCTGTGAAAAGGCTATTCAAATAAAAATAAAGCTGTAAGCTCTATCCTACCAGGTATAGAGACAAACACCAAAGTTACAGTAGATGAGTATTGTCAAGGGGTTAAGACTGTGGACACAAGCAATAGTTAATGGCTTTGGGAATTCTAGGAAATAGGAGACCAATGTGGGATAGGTGACATTAGGAAGATTTCTTTGGCATCTGGGTTTTAAGGTTGGGATTGAAGGTAGAGAAAAGCTCTCAGAATAGACGTGGGAAGCATGGAGGTGAAGGTAGAAACTAAGAATAAGTAAGATTGGAATAAGCAGAAGACCATTTCTGGTTCTGAATCTGTGTGTGATAATGTCTGAATGAGTTAGTCCAGATGGAAGAGCACAGATGGAGGGTGTGACGTTCTAGCTTTAGAGAATTAAGCTATATATTCCTTGAGACCAAAGGAAGTGTGAAAGATGTAAACTCCTGTCTCTTAGGTTTAAGGAGTTATAGTACCAGTCCATAGAAAAGAAAGTCCTAGCTGTTTTAGAACTGCATGGTTGCTCCACAAGGTAAAATGCCTTTGAGACGCTTATTTTTTTTTAGCTATTTTCAAGGAAGTATTTAATCCTCCTGACTTTGAGAATAGTGAATATGTCTTGTGTTCATAAATTTAAGCAAGGATGAAGAATGCCCAATAATGTGTGTGTGTTTTAAGTGTGCTTCTCAATTCATCTAATTCTTCCCAGTTTCTAACTATTAAGGGAGTTAGAGGCTTACATGCAGGTGATTTTGTTAGAGGCTTACTTTGCAGATGATTTCTTTATGAAATCATGTTAATTGCATGAAAATATAAAGTCTGAATTTGTGCCTTTTACATTTCAGGTTTGTGTTTGGGCTTAGATGGATGGTTATAACATTTGCTTGTTTTTTGTAGTTTTACATCTGAGCCATCAGTGGAAACCTGTCTAGAGCTGAGACTTGGTCTTATAAATAAGAGTTGATTTATGCCTTCCCTTTTGCCTATTTGACTTTTTGCGCCTTCTTACTTCCTTAGCTCTTTCTGGATTTGGTGTTCTCGTTTTCTTAAAAGCCTAGGTAAATTATATTTATATTAAACAAGTGTTGAACGTTTGTAATGGTAGGTTCGTGACAGATCTCTAGTCCAGATTTGCCTATCACATAAAAAGGAAGAGGGAAAATAACAAAAGAAAATAAAATGAGGAAAAGGGAAAGGAGAACCCAGCTTATTTGCTTTATCACTTACCTTTTAATACTGTTATTTATGTATTACCCAAAGCATCACTGTGAGCTTCTTTCAAGTAAATGTTTCAGCGAATGTGAAAGGTGTTGAATTCCCATAGGGAGAATAAAGAGTGGAAGAGGGAAAATAACAGCAGCTTTAGTATGCTGTTTTAAGCAATAAGGACAAAACTGGCTCTTCTGGCCGGGTGTGGTGGCTCAAACCTGTAATCCCAGGACTTTGGGAGGCCAAGAGGTGGATCAGCTGAGGTCAGGAATTCGAGACCAGCCTGGCCAACATTGTGAAACGCCGTCACTACTAAAAATACAAAAATTAGCTGGGCGTGGTGGCAGGCGCCTATAATCCCAGCTACTTGGGAGGCTGAGGCATGAGAAGCACTTGAACCTGGGAGGCAGAGGTTGCAGTGAGCCAAGATCGCACCACTGCACTCGAGCCTGTCGGACAGAGCAAGAGACTGTGTCTCAAAAAAAAAAAAATGGCTCTTTTGCTGTCACGTTGACACATTTGTTTCCTAGCCTAGTGGGCAAGACCTCTAGAAAGTTAAGCAGAACTTTTCCCTTACTGGGTTATCTTTTTCTGCAAAGAGGATGTGGAAATGGATTTGATTTTGTGTGCTTGGCAGTTATCCATGTGTCAGGTTTGGGAAGTAGTTCTCAAGAACAACTGAAGCAAAAGTCGTAGGAAGGAACTGAACTTTTTGGCTTATAATCCTCTTAGGATCTCTTACTCTCAACATAAGATTCTAGGGAGCATATTTATTATACCTGACTATGAGACCTATCTGAATAGATCTGAAATTAAAGCTGACTGATTTGAGGCTCCCCCCCCTTTCTCAGGTGCTATGCCTGAAATTTCTGCAGTTTTGGTAGATGCCATCAAGGGTTAATGGGTGCCCAGGACCACTAGTTAGAATAGACTCTTTTCTTAAAGAAGAGCCACAAGAGTAGCACATCTGTATAGTTATCTTTGCATTTTCTAGAAAAATATTCTTAAAAGATTAAATCCTCATACTCTAGTTTTAATATTGATTTTCTTGAATCATTGGCATTTATCAGCAAAGCAGGAAATGGCACTAAACAGTTTCCTACTTGACTGATACTTGTTATAATTTTGACACAGATTTTAGTTTTCTTAAAAAGCTGGTGAGGTACAGTGGTTCAACTTGTAATCCCAGTGCTTTGGGAGGCTGAGGCAGGAGGATCGCTTGAGTCCAGAAGTTAGAGACTAGCCTGGGCAACGTAGGGAGACTCTGCCTTTACAAGAAATTTGAAAGACCATGTCTCTACCAAAAACTTTTTTAAAATTTAGCTGGGCATGATGGCACGCCTGTGGTCCCAGCTACTTGGGAAGCTGAAATAGGAGGATTGCTTGAGACCAGAAGGTCAAAGGCTGCAGGAGTTGTGATTTGCCACTGCACCCCAGCCTGGCAACAGAGCGAGACCTTGTCTAAAAATAAATGAATAAATAAATAAATAGATAAATAAGGAGGAAGGAAGGGAAAGGAAGAAAAGCCTGTTCTCCCCTTTTGAATATTTTTAAAACATAAGCTTTCCAGATATGGTAAATTTTGGGATTGGTTCTTATTGGAGTTAACAAAGAAATGACTGCAGTTTAAGCTTTAAAATAACTTTTTAAACAAAATTTTAAGTATCACCTGATTTTCTTAGCAGAATTTAATATCTAGAAAAGTTTGAAAGAAAAGTGGTAGTGCTTATTTTAAGGAAAGTACTCTTACCAGAATCATAGGCATCAAAATTTGAAATAATTTATTGCAGTGATTTTCAGTCCTTGGGATAAATGAAATTGGCAGTTGATACTTCTTATTAGGGACACATTGTATACAGTAATACAGCCCAGGATAATTAAAACATGATTCCAGTTAAAAGCAAATAAATGTCATTACCTTGTGTTATATGGGTTATTTTCTGTGATCTGAAGCCAAGGAAAAATGTGACTCCTTTTTGAATAAGGACAAGTAATTATTGATTAAATGCAATTTGGTAGGAACTGGAATCGAAGTTCAGATAAAAGAAATCTTTGCTTTCTGAAACATTTTGGAATGACTGATAGAGTCATCTTCATTTCTTCAGTTACAAAGTAAATTCAGGTGAGATTAAGGAATTTGGTAAAGGCCATAGGAATCAGTGGCCAGTGGGTATAAAATTCAGCTGCCCTGGTAACAGGAGTGTTAAGGCTACTATGCATGTCCTATCTATATAGGAGAATGGAGTTGCATGACAGGGAAAAAAAAAAGTCTCATTACCCTTGTTTTGTCTTTGGGCCTTGTAGTTAATTAGTGGGTTTGTCTTCTGAGTAGGGGAACATTCGCCTTATATAATACCTAGTCAGTGAAAGAAAACTATATTATTCTTAGGGTTGATGATATTAAGTAATAGCTTTTTGTAATATCCTCTCTTCTCCTTTTGTTTCGTTAGGTGGTATGGTCAGGAAAAAGACTACAATGTACTAGTCATGGATCTTCTGGGACCTAGCCTCGAAGACCTCTTCAATTTCTGTTCAAGAAGGTTCACAATGAAAACTGTACTTATGTTAGCTGACCAGGTATGTGAAATTTTGATTAGAATATAAACTGAGACTAGTACTGTTGACTGGAATTTCATTATTCATAAATCAGAGTATTAAAATCCTGTGCATCACTATTTAACCTTAGCATAGGCAGAAAAAAAATAATAATGTGACTTGTAGATATTTTCCTATGGGAATAAGACAAAACCTGGAATTATCTTGGTTTCTTACTCATCTGTAGACTAGTAGTTTTCAATCTGCTCCTTCAGATGAAGTTTTAGTGTCATATGTAGCAGGTTATTGTAAGATTTTGTTTGGAGAGTTTAGAGTGTATGTATGCATATAATTGTTGATAAATGTTTATTGACATTTTGGTTAAATTAAGCAAAATTGAATATTATGTATTATGTGTGGGACTCTTAGAAAAGCTATATTTTTGAGGATAAAAAGGTCCTGAAGTAATATAAGGAAGAATTTTTTGACCAAGTAGATGCTGCTTGGAGTAATGGATTCTCAACCATTTGTGTTACTTAAGACCTAGGAAATTTTGGTGATGTCATGAATTAGATTGATGCATTGGCTGTAGGTTAGATTAAATGGTTTTTACAGCCAAAGTTTGGATATTTCGATCTTAAGAAATGAGAAAGATGAGTAAGGAACAAACCTTAAGGGAAAAGATAATACATTAAGGTAATGATTGGTAAATATCAAGACATGTATAATTTTTTGTTTTGATCAGTATTTGTTACCTTTAAGGGCAGGAAAATGCTGGAAATGCTTTAAGTTAAACTCAGTGTGCTTATAAAAATACTATGAAGAGAATGACATTTAAAAATATAATGGAGGGTTTGTGACAGCTCTCTAGTCCAGATTTGCCTATCACATAAAAAGGAAGAGGGAAAATAACAGAAGAAAATAAAATGAGGAAAAGGGAAAGGAGAACACAGGTTATTTGTTTTATCACTTACCTTTATTTACTTTATCACTTACCTTTTAATACTATTATTTATGTATTACCCAAAGCATCACTGTGAGCTTCTTTCAAGTAAATGTCATAAAGTAAAATGAGATAAACAGACATGGTATTTGAGGTGGAATTTTAGTAAGTTTGTAAATTCAGAGGGATGAAGAGAAGTAGGTTAATGGGCACAAAAATACAGTTAGGAGGAATAAGTTCTAGTATTACATAGTATAGTAGGGAAATTATAGTTAACAATAGCTTATCGTTTATTTCAAAATAGCTAGAAGAGTAGAATTGTAATGTTCCTAACACAAAATATAAATGTTTGAAGTAATGGATATCCCAACTACCCTGATTTGATAATTACACATTGTATACATGTAACAAAATATCACACATACCCCATAAATATATACAACTATTATAGATCAATGAAAAAACTTTGTCTATAATTCCAAGGATTAGAAAGTAGTGCCCATTTTCTGTAATCAGCACCTGATACTCCCCAAGCTTCTTAACCTTAAAAGTACTCAGTGGCTCAAGCAAATGTGAGCAAATTGTGATATTTGTGGCACAAAACAAACTCAAGCATTAAAAGGTTAAAAGTGGCGCGGCACACTGGCTCACGCCTGTAATCCAGCACTTTGGGAGACCAAGACACGAGGATCTCTTGAGCCCAGGAGTTCCAGGCTACAGTGAGCTATAATAATGCCACTGCACTCCAGCCTGAGCAATAGAGCAAAGACCCCATCTCTTTTATGTTAACAGCCTTTAATGTGGGCTGGGTTTGGTGGCTCATGCCTACAGTCCCAGCACTTTTGAGAGGCCAAGGCCGGTAAATCACCTGAGGTCAGGAGTTCGAGACCAGCCTGGCCAACATAGTGAAACCCATCTCTACTAAAAGTACAAAAATTAGCCAGGCGTGGTGGCTGACACCTGTAATCCCAGCTACCCGGGAGGCTGAGGCATGAGAATCACATGAACCCAGGAGGTGGAGATTGCAGTGAGCCGAGATCGCACCACTGCACTCCAGCCTGGGGGATAGAACGAGACTCTGTCTCAAAAAAAAAAAAAGCCTTTAATATGTTTTAACTAACATATATGAGTGAATCCTAATAAAAGAGTTATGGCTTATGTTTTTGTTTGTTCAGTAACACGTAAGCATCCATACATTGAACATGTATTGAGAGCCTACCACTGTACTTAGTGCTGGGGGTTGGGGTGGCAAAAAAATAAGAATTAGTCTCTTCCCTCTAGAAAGAAACTTAGAGTCTAATAAAGAAAGATGGAAAAATAAGATGTTCCATCCTTGTTGTAGAGTTGTAGAAGTCTCTGTTGGGTACACGGGTAACAAATGTGAAAAAATATAATTCTGAGGAAGGGAGATACAAGAAAGCTTTCATTTAAGGTAGTTGACACCTAAGTCTTGCTCTGTGGTTGACAGGTAACAGGTGTAAGTTGTTCAAGCCAGAGATTACTAGTTTGGCTTCAGAAGACATTTGTCAAGGTAGAAGAGTACAATTTAGAATCTGTGTATTCATGATAATAAAAGCTCTGGGGAAAATGGGGACAAATAAAAAATAGAATCCTAACAGATACTACTGGGTAGAGCAAGAACATATGGACAGAAAGATAATGTTGGCAGTCTTTGGATATGTAATCTATTTAAAAATACAACTTCTAAGTAAGTGTCTTATAGAAAAGATAGAGGCTGGGTGTGATGGCTCATGCCAGCAATCCCAGCACTTTGGGAGGCAGAAGCAGGAGGATCACTTGAGCTCAGGAGTTCGAGAGCAGCCTGGGCAACATAACGATACCCCCCTTTCCACAAAAAATACAAAAATTAGCTGGGCATGGTAACGCGCATGTCCGTAGTTCCAGCTTCTCAGGGGGCTGAGCTGAGAGGATCACTTGAGCCCCGGAAGTTGAAGCTGCTGTGAGCCGTGATCTCGTCACTGCACCCCAGCCAGGGTGACAAAGTGAGACTCTGTCTCAAAAAAAACAAAAAAACACAGAACTTCTATTGTATACAAGAAATGCCATAAGCAGTCAAAATAAAAAATAATTTAAATTTGTTTACATAATGACAGATAAAAGATTGTTTGTTTTATGACGAGAACTCCTAAAAGCTAACAAGAAGACAATAGGCCGAAAGAAAAATAGGCAAAGAGTGGAGCTTGACAGTACATAGAAGAGTAAATCCTCATAGAAGGGCCAGGCGCAGTGGCTCACGCCTGTAATCCCAGCTCTTTGGGAGGCCGAGGCAGGTGGATCATTTTAGGCCAGGAGCTGGAAACCAACATGGTGAAACCCTGTCTCTACTAAAAATAAAAAAAAGTACCCAGGCATGTGGCGGGTGCCTGTAATCCCAACTACTCGGGAGGCTGAGGCAAGAGAATCGCTTGAACCCAGGAGGCAGAGGTTGCAGTGAGCCAAAATTGCACCACTGCACTCCAGCCTGGGCAGCAGAGTGAGTGAGACTCTGTCTCAAAAAAAAAAAAAAATCCTCATGGAAGGATTACTTCTAAATCGAGGCCGGGCATGGTGGTTCACACCTGTAATCCTACCACATTGGGAGGTCGAGGCAGGAGGATCTCCTGAACCCAGGAGTTCAAGAGCAGCTGGGCAACATAACGATATCCCGTCTCTACCAAAAATTAAAAATTAGCTGACACAAAAAAATTAGCCAGGTGTAGTGGCATGCACCTTATAGTTTCAGCTACTCCAGAGGGTGAAGTGTGAGGATCACTGGAGCCTGGAAGGTTGAGGCAGCAGTGAGTTATGGTTGCTTCACTGCACTTCAGCCTAGGTGACAGTGAGACCCTGTCTCAAAAAAAAAAAAAAAAAAAGAAGAGTAAATCCAAATTGTTACAGCCTATTGTGGAAGGCAGTGTGATATTATCTATCAAAATGAAAAATACACCCTTCAACTCAGCAACTCCCCATAATTATATGGGATTTGAAGCCCATAGAAATAAAAGCACTAGTGGGTAAAGATACATGTCTATTAATGGCATTATTTATAGTAGGAAAAAGTGGAAAACAATGTGAGAATACTGTGAGTTGGGGAAGACATAACATCTCTACCACAGAATATTTGTAGCCATTAAAAAGGATATTTGAGCTATAGCGTTTGACTTTGCATAATTTCCAAGAAATTAAGGAAAGCTTTTAAGAATGGCATGTTTAATATTTAACTTTTGGAATGAGATTATATAAGAATTATAACAACTACTTATAGCTTAATCTGCCAATCTGTCAACATCCTCCACTCCCAAGTATATGTGTATCTGTTTGTGTGCATATGTATATCTTATAACATGGAATTAGGTCTGGGTAATACAAGGCCATTTTAACAGGTTACTTTAGAAGGCCTAGGATTGAGTGTGGAAAGTTTTTATTTTATTTCCTTTATTGTAGCAACTGAAACTATTATACAGGTATTCCTTTTATTATTTGAAAATCACAAACACCAAGTCTTCCTATGGGGTTAGACCCTGCCATGGTTTTAATTATTAATACTAGAAGGTAAAGCCAAAGGACACAGCAGGTATATGCTTAGATATCCATTAACCTAGAAATAAATGGAGAACTTAGTTGTCCTTTCCATTTCATTTTCTTTAGCGCTGTCTTTGTGAACTCTAAATAATTGAGATACTGAAATACTTAAGAAATGTGTTGATTTTCATTTACTACTTAACTCAATTATCTCTCCCTTCTTTTTTTTCCAGATGATCAGTAGAATTGAATATGTGCATACAAAGAATTTTATACACAGAGACATTAAACCAGATAACTTCCTAATGGGTATTGGGCGTCACTGTAATAAGGTTAGTCAAATGCTCTTTGCATGAAAGAACAAAGAGTAAAGTTTCGACAAGAATTGCTTTGGTAAACTTTTCAATCTTTTAAAAAGCCATAGTAAGTTGAATTTGCTGTTGACAGTTGCTTTAAAAGATTGTGCTATGAGGATAATCAGCTAACTCCATTAACTTAGTAACTTGAAATAAATTATCTTCAACTTACCCAACCGAGGTTAGTTACCTATATGGAAATATAAAATTCTAAGGGCTGTATAATGAACTGTAGTTGTCTAAGTTATTTAACTGTTGAACAGTTGTATCTATTTTTCATTCACAAAAATAGCAAAAACCCCCATATTCTTTTCTTCCTGAATGCTTAAAACCAGATTTTAACCTTTGGCTCTGAAGTGTGGGTTTTTATAATATATGTGCTTGTGCCAGTGTGGGAACACTGACTTATCTGTCACCATGGTGTTAACATTTGCTGACTGAGCATGGTTGATAATGAGAATTCTTCAGTCCTTGAATTTGTGTATTTAAAAGGGTAACTTTTGGGCCTGCTTCAAAAGTAGTTGACAGTTTTTTACTTGGGTGCCAAATTGGGTGAGTTCTCCACCCCTCCCTCTCCCTTTAAAGGAAAATGTAGACAAGTGAAATGAACATTCATACAACAAAACTAGTGTTCATTTGGGGTCTCTGAGAGTGGTTCAACTTATGGGGTGATTGGGTTTTAGCTAGTGGCGCATGATTGCAGTTAGAAACTAATTGTGTTGACTTTTTTTCTGTAATGATTAGTCTTACTGAGTGAATTGCTTTCTTTATCGATACTATGTTGAGCTCGGGCAGACAGGCAGCATTGGCAATGCACTAAGCATGTTGTGATCTGATGATCTATCTGATAGAAATTCTCAACTTCAGGACAACTTGGGGGCTTTTTTTGTTTTTTTGTGGCTTTTTTGTTTTGTTTTTGGAAGGAAGATGCCCATTTGTTTTACTAAACTATTAGGAAATGTTTGGTGTTTTTAGGTCTAGCTATAAATGTTTACCTTTGTTTGCCTGTATGAATGCCAACTGGGAGACATTACCATTAGAATTGGTGTTATTTGTCAATGTGAGATACTGATGTTGGTCTGATTAGGTTTTAGGAAATTAAATTTTTTTGTTGAGCTTTAAATAATGAAAGGTGTTTAAATATACACATAACTTATCTTGTCATTCCCAAGTTGCATTAAAAAATATTTTATAGCTTTTCTCTGAAGTATCCAGGTTTTTATTACTGTAAAGCCTGGTAATTCAATTGAAAAAAAAATTACTGTTCTTAAGTTTTGGGGCAGTTTTGTCCATTTGACTCCAATCTTCTTGGCCATTTCCCAGCCCTCTCCTTCCTGTTTTCTTACCCCCTAAAAACCCATTATCACCATGTGATTCCTATTCTGCATCGTTGACATTGCAGTACGTGGTTTTTGCCTTAAATTTAAATGATGACCTAGATATCACTTTGCCTTCCCCCCCTCCCCCACAACCCCCTTAAGAATAGCTTGTTAATCGCATAGTTGTCTTAAGGAAGTGTAAGTTATCTAGTGGTGAAAACCTTTTTAGGAGGTTTAGGTCTCCTTTTCTCCTTGAGATATTAAAAATAATTTTGTGGAGCTGCTTGCTGCTTAACACTGTTTTAGAGAGGCCATGGGGAAGAAGCAAAGTGTTTTACTCAACTAAGATTCAAATGCTAAATGTTGCTCTTGAACATTTTAGATTAGTGTTTTGTTTATGTAGTTGATTTTTAGTGTTTTCTGTATTGTAGTTTGAAAAATGCCAGTTGTATGAGACTGGATTCTTTGGTCAGCTTGTTCCAGTAGTTTTCTATTCATGGGGAAAAAAAGGTTTTGGGGGGCTTTTGAGGACAATTTTTAAAGTTAAATTTCTTATTTGGAAAATTGTTCTGAATTTGATATTTAGGAGTGGCCACTCCAATCTTAGTGAATTTGCTCATCTCTTCCAGTAATCAGCCCTGCATGCTTACGAAAATAAATTTTAAGGTGACTAAATGCCTTCTACCTCTTCCTTACTGAAGATTTTTTTCCCCCGTACAATATTTTTTTGGGGGGGAAGGGCAGATTGTGGTACCAAAGATTGCAGATCTAAATTCCCCATTTTTGATTAAAAATATAAAAGAGCCAAATGTCACCATTGCTATCCCTGTTTCAGGCAGTGACACAAAATAGTGGCATTAAAAACCTGAGTAATTTCCAGAATTCAAATGTTCTTGAGCATGTGATTCTTATTTGGAAAACTGAGAAGCTACAGTGCTTGGTGGAAGAAGGATGGCATTTGGCTACCCTGTTCTTTCTCTAATGCCTCGGTGTTGCCTGTCTGCGCCGGCCATTGTTGCAATGTAAGCAATACTGTTTGATGCACTGCCACCCTCTATTGTCTGTTTAGTGTTTAGAATCTCCAGTGGGGAAGAGGAAAAGAAGCATGACTGTTAGTACTTCTCAGGACCCATCTTTCTCAGGATTAAACCAGGTCTGAAACTGTCTCCTATTCCAACCTCAATCCCAAATTCATGTGCTTTTCTTTTTTATTGTTTTATTTTGATGATTTTTGTTTTGTTTTAATTCTGGAGAATGTAGATCTTGCTCAAGCACCTCTTACGTTGGCATTATTCAGACATACTTGGCAAACATAACATTACTAAGATATTTCTTTGTGGCTTTTGCTTAAAACTTATAAAGTTTAGAAAAAAGCTAAATGAAAATAGGATATTATGTTTAGCTCTCTAACATACATATGAGGAAATGATGTTGGTCTAGTACTGAAATTGTTTACCTAATAGTAAACTTGAGATAGATCGTTAGTTTTTAAAAATTTATTTGGAGTTACACAACTTAATGCACGAAATATATTTAAATTCAGTTCATTAGTGCTGTATAATGAATATATTCTACCTCACCTCTCTTCCCCTTCCCTAAGGAACTTCAGGTAAGTGTAGATCAGATTTCAGATCTAGTGTTTCTAGAACTTATTTCCTCAGTCTGTATTCTCAACTTCTAGCAAATGGATATTTACAGAGCATTATAGGCTCTGGAACTAGAAGATACTGCATTCTTAACAATATAACAATAACATAGCTTAAGCACTTATCAAGTTATATGGTAGATTACCATTAGTAATACATTGAAATATATTAAATTTAGTTTTTGGCAGGCTGGATAAACACCCTACTAATTTTCTAAATTTGTAAGTAGAACTCTTCATATTTTGTTACACTTTTGTTGAAGTTAAATAGCTTTTTTATCACAAAATTTAAGTTCATAAATGTTCATGCTCCTGAGCAAATGAATCTTAATCATTCAGTTTAGTATACAGTGAAGAGGAAGTATTGGCATGAATAATCAAAAAACAAAAAACATGCTTTGTAATACCTTAAATTATCCACATGTATCATCTGGATAATCATTTAACCCTTTTCCATACTGCCCAGCTTTATTCCAGGAACCACCTCCAGCTATTAAAAAAGGTTTCAGAAATTCAGAGTTATTTTTATTCAGGCAAAGAAGTACCAAGTATTGTGACTAGTTAGATAAGGGGTGGGGGGAAGACAGTAGATGGTGGATCATTAGGCATATTATAAGAATAAAACTAGTTTTATAGTGCCTCATTTTTACTTACCCATTCACATATTTTGCTTACATTTCGTAGCATCATTTAATAATTTACAAAGAAAGTTGTATTACATTGTTTAGATTTTGTACATACAGGTTAGCTAGGTTTTTAGTAAAGTGACCTTGTGAATGTTTTAGAAGGGCAAGGGAAATTATGACCCCTGGTTAGGAAAAAAAAAAAAATGCTGCAAGTACTAAACACTAAGATTAGCCACAGTGATTTTGAAGAAAATGTGCCTCTATTGAATGGAATTATGGAATTATCCCCCTACTTTTTTTGGTTTTTGGTTTTATTTTTTGTTTTTTTTGGGGGGTTTTTTTGTTTTGTTTTGAGACGGGGTTTCACTCTGTTGCCCAGGCAGGAGTGTAGAGTGCAGTGGTGCGATCTTGGCCCACTGCAACTTCCACCTCCCAGGTTCAAGCAATTCTGTCTCAGCCTCCCGAATAGCTGGGATTACAGGTATGCGCCACCATGCCCGGCTAATTTTTGTATTTTTAGTGGAGATGGGGTTTTACCATGTTGGCCAGACTGGTCTTGAACTCCTGACCTCAAGTGATCCACCTGCCTTGGCCTCCCAAAATGCTGGCGTTATAGGCATGAGCCACTGCACCTGGTCAAATTATCCCCTATTTATCAACTCAGTTCCCTGTGCCTTTGAAGAATAGGCTGCATTGTTTAAAATGGGCGCAGATTTTACTCATAACATGTAGTTAGTAAAAATCCACAGAAAAGGAGCTTGATTCACTGAAGGAAGTGCCTGTGTCTTTGCACATAAAAGCCTATAGTAAAAATGCATTATCTTACGCTTATTTGATACTGACTTTTCCTCATTTGGTTCTGCCTTTACATATTTACAGCTTTTTGGTTGTATCTTTGGCATCATGTGGTTTCATGTAAACATTTCCATTATATGTTTATATTTATTAGTTTTAAACAGCAAAGCATACAGAGAGAGCTACTAAAGAAGCTTGATAGGTACCCGAAGGTAATGAACCACCAATAGTTTTATTTCCTTTTTTAATTTCAAGTAGTTTTCCTTTCAGTTGTTTACTGAGAATAGGCTATCTTTGTTCAGTACTAACATTTTTTTCCTGATGTATTTTCAGTTTTTATAAGAGGAGAACATTTCAAATTATTTGCTCTTTAGATTTTTGTTTTTAGATTGAGATGTTTAAGAAGATCGTGTTTACATATTTGTAGTTTACTTGATAAATAAGGTTTCCTCCTTTAGCGTTGTGGGAGGAAAGAACTCTCCAGCGAACACTGAATTTTTATAAAGCAGTCTTTTGGTTGTGAGAAAGTGTCTGGTTATTGAGTCACAAATGAAGCTATTGAATGTAGATTTAGACATGAATGAAACTGTTAGACATACTCATGTCAGAGCTCTTCCCTTTTGTCCTTCATTTTAAAGTACCAAAGGAAGCAATCCTAGAAAATGTGAACTGGAGGAAATTCTATGTACTAATCACTCTTCATTCAATGTCTACATATTTCTTAGAGATATTTTTTAAATACCATGAAGCTGAATGTCCTTTTGTGTTTATTTTCCCCATGTTTTCTTTTCACTATGAATCTGCAGAACTTAATCATCACTTTTGTTTTGCTTAACAAATGTATTTTGCTCATTTTAATATTTGTGTACTGATCTGGTTTTCATATCAAGAGAAACTTAAAGTATAAGCTTTATTTCTTAGTGTTTTACAACACAAATTTTCCTGTAATGACTTGATTGCTTAGGAAGGGAGTTTAATCTTTTTACTTTGAGAGTCTTCATCATCCAGTTAACATTTACTAATAATTTAATCTTCATTCTTTTATAGTAGACTAAGTAAAAATCAGTATCTCGTTGACATGGTGACTGAAGCTCAACTGTCAGTGTCTTTACTGTCCAAAGTATAATTGAGAATAGGTTATAATGCTTGGCTGAAATAGATGTTACTCATGCTCCTAGGAGAGGTACTGGTCAGATCTTTATAACCTAAATCAGTAACTTGCTTTATTTATTGACATGAAATCTGCAGGTTAGGTGATCAAGTTTCCCAGCACATCACAAATTATAAACTGGCAAAAGGGACCCAGTAGTCTAATGGAGAGAAGAACTACAAAATTTAGGAGTAACTAGAGAACAACAGACTAGGGCTATATAGTGTAAGGGCACATAGACCTGCCTAGCTTAATATTTGTAGATTAACTTTTATTAAAATATAGCATAATAGGTGATTTTATGACAAAAGCCAAAATTTTAAGTAAAGATTATTTCTTTTCATATGGTAGGTAAATATGAATATGTTTTGGATTTCTTTTTCATAAAAATAGTTATTTACTTATAAAAGGCTTAAGTTCTGGAGTGTAAACTTGAATTACATACAACAATTAGCTACATTATAAATGAATACCTTATTCCCTGAGTACCATATAGACATGATAACACTAAACGTTATTTTGTTCTAAACACTAGTTTTTGTTTTTAGTTAGCTCACTTAAACTGCTAATTGTAAGCCACCTTGATTTAAATGCTAAGCGCTTTTTGGGGGGATTTTTATATCAACTTGTTAAATTTTCCAGAAGTTTAACCTGACCCATTTGTATAATGTCAGTGCTAAGTAGTATTTTTTATTAATAAAAAGTCTTGGTTTCATTGGCAATGTCAGACTTTTAGGGTAGATAACAAGTATTCTGTTGGCACATTTAAGAATGGCCTTTGTAGGAGGGAAGAGTTCAGATAGTTTATATCTGGATTTTTTTTTTTTTTTTAAGAAAGAGTTTTGCTCTGTCACCCAGGCTGGAGTGCAGTGACGCGGTCTTGGCTCACTGCAACCTCTGCCTCCCGGGTTCAAGCGATTCTCCTGCCTCAGCCTCTTGTGTAGCTGGGACTACAGGCATGTGCCACCATGCCCGGCTATTTTTGTATTTTTTGTAGAGGTGGGACTTTGCCATGTTTGGTCAGGCTGGTCTTGAACTCCTGACCTCAAGTTATCCGCCTGCCTCAGCCTCCCAAAGTGCTGGGATTATAGGCGTGAGCTACCGCGCTCGGCCATTATATCTAGATTTTGAAACCTCATGTTTGTTTACCAGTAGTAACAGGTGTACAGACTATCAGGTGTCATTATGACAGATAGCACACTTGTTGCTTCTGCTGTCAAGCATGTATACATTTCTTTCTTTATAAAGACAGGTTCCTGAGTATGTAATGAAATGGGCCTGTGAAATCTGCAAACGACAAGGATAAACTACTAGACTTTTTTTTTTTAACTTGATTTATTGATGAAGACTAGTAAAAGCTTATGGGGGGGTGTTAAGTCTGTTCATTATCTGTTCTATTAATACTTAGGATACTTTATTTTGATATATTTGAATGCATAGAATAGATACCATTTAATGAATAAGACGCAGTTTAATTGAACAAGGTTGGAAACCTAATGTTTCTGTATTTCTCTTTTAAAGTTATTCCTTATTGATTTTGGTTTGGCCAAAAAGTACAGAGACAACAGGACAAGGCAACACATACCATACAGAGAAGATAAAAACCTCACTGGCACTGCCCGATATGCTAGCATCAATGCACATCTTGGTATTGAGCAGAGGTAAGTTCGAAAATGGAATGTGCTTATCATAGCCATAGCAGAAGCCATCAATGGGTTTTTGAAATATTTTAGTTTCTTACAATGTCTAAGGATGTTTCTTGGCTGAGGATTTGAAGGATGCTTATTAATCATTTTACCTGCTGCTTTAACCAGTGTAGAGAAGACCGTTAAATGAGGTCTTCTGGATTTTTTGTTGTTGTTGAAGGTTGTCTCTTGGGGGGAAAATACTGCGTGATAGAAAGTTAGAAGCATAAGTGCAATGTTGACGTTTCTTTTTGCAGCTGAAGATAGTACATATATTTTTAGAGCTATTTGGGGCTTTTTATACTTTAGTAATTCACGCTGAGTTTGGGAAGAATGCATTATTTATTTTTAAAAGGAAAATGTTATCAGTGTCCTAATAAACCAAAAGTGGGTTGATGGACCATCTCCTGTTATACTTCACTCAAATATATAAATTAATAGGATCTAGTTTAAAGTAAAAAAAGTAACAGTCTCTGCTCTCTTCCTATTTCTTCACATGAGTTCTAGAGTTTCGAGTTCCTTTCATCTTTTACAGTCACTTTTTGCTCCTTAAAACTAGCATAGAAGTAATAAGTAGAAAAAACAATGATATGCCTCCAGGTTAAAGAACCTCATACCAAGAATTTCAGGCTTAAGAAATATCCATGAATATCTGAATGATCTAGGTTAAACTGTAATGTCACTTTTTCTGTACGCCAAGGCATTACCTATCCTTAAATATATATATATCTAAATATATATTTGTATGTATGTGTATATAGATATGTATGCATGAATACATTCATATAGATGTTCAATTAGTTTTAAGTTGTAACTCCTTTTCAGTACTTCTGAAGTTTTTTTTTAATGAGTTTCTGCAAAACATAGAAATGTCATCCTGCTTGGTTCATTAAGCTCATTTAGAGGGTTGTTTAGCCAAATCGTTTCTGTTCTTTTAAAATTAAATTGTAAGACAGTTGTTTGTCAGATTTTGGATTCCATGGAAAAAGTTTTGTTTAGAGGTAGGTAACACATGAACTTTTTAAAATCACCTTAAATAAGTAGCTTCTTGCGTAAGACACCAAATAGTGTTCCCTCCTCATTTGGGAACATTTCTTCTGGGTACTTGACTTTCTTTCATATGTTTTTTCATAATAATAGTTCCAGTTTATAAAATTACGTTCTCTTTTCTAGTCGCCGAGATGACATGGAATCATTAGGATATGTTTTGATGTATTTTAATAGAACCAGCCTGCCATGGCAAGGGCTAAAGGTAAACCAGACTCACATTATCAGATTTTTCTCTCTCTTTTTTAGAATAAAAATATATATTGGAGAAGATAAGATTTAAGGTCCCTTCTAAGTCTGAGATTTTTCTGAGATATAAAGAATTAACCTTAATTTACTTTTTACCTTTTATCTGGGAAAATGAAACCAGATCATTTTAGTAAGAACTTAGTTCAGCTGAAGAACAGTGTCCTCTAAGAGACAGTAAGCTGGTACCCACTGGTAGCCACTAGCTCTATCTAGATGGAAGTGGGCATGGACTAAGAAAGGTGGAGACTTTCTCATTTTGATGTGTTGCCATTATGTTGAAAATGTATGTTTTTATGTACAGCAAGACCTGTTTATCCAGCAATACATGTCCTAACATTTTGTTTCTATTAGCTAGGAGTTTACTGTTACTTTTGTGAGTGTATGTTAATGATAAATCACCGTATCCTAATTTTGGGTGGGGGTGGGGGCATGGGGAATGGTCTTGCTCTGTTGCCCAAGCCGGAATGCCTGGCTCACTGCAGCCTGAACCTCCTGGGCTCAAGCAGTCCTCCTATCTCAGCCTCCTACCTGTAGCTGGGACTACAGGAACATGCCACCATGCCCAGCTAATTTTTAAATTATTTTTTGTAGAGACAGTGCCTCACTGTGTTGCCCAGACTGGTCTCAAACTCTTGGGCTCAAGTGATTCTCCTGCTTCAGCATCCCAAAGAACTGGGATTACAGGTGTGAGTCACCACTGTTGGTGTGTCCTAAATTTTAATGGCTATTTTGGTACCTTACCAGTTCTTTGAAGGAATACCTGTATTTATTGAGTGGCTGTGAGCTAGTTGTAGTGCTCAGTCCTTGGGTGGGTAGCTTTATCTAATATGAGTATTTTTAGTTTAGAAAAATATTGTGACTTATACAGTTAACTCCATTTATTAATGTCACTAATTGATGAACAAATTTTTTTGTATTAATCTGATGCCTTTGCCCTTGTGTTGAACATGGGTTAAGAAAATGCTTTTCAGGCTGAGCATGGTGGCTCATGCCTATAATCTTCAACACTTTGGGAGGCCCAGCCAGGCGGATCACTTGAGCCCAGGAGTTCAAGACCAGCCTGGTCAGTATGGCAAGACCTCACCTCTACTTTAAAAAAAAAAAATAGCAGGGTGTAGTGTCACATGCCTGTAGCCCCAATTACTCAGGAGGCTGAGCCGGGAGGATTGCTTTGAGCCCAGGAGTTCGAGGCTACAGCGAGCTATAATCGAGCCACTGCACTCCAGCCTGGGCAACCGAGGGAGACCTTGTCTCAAAAAAACAAACAAACAAACAAAAAAACAAAGAAAAGGAAAAAGGAAAGAAAATGCTTTTCAGCTGGGTATGATGATGCACACCTGTAGTCCCAGCTACTTGATAGGCTGAATCAGGAGGATTGCTTGAGGCCAGGAGTTGGAGGCCACAGGGAATTACTGCTGAGCCTGTGAATGGCTACTGCACTCCAGCCTGGGCAACATAGTGAGACCCCATCTCCTTAAAAAAATATATAGAAAGAAAGAAAATGCTTTTCAATTTTGGCCCCAGCCATTTTTACTTAAATCTAATATCCATATATTCCTATTAGACTCACCCTTTCCCTATAGCTAAAATTAAATTCTTAGAGAAGAAACTTACATCAGAAGTTAACAGTTTGGGAAAAATTTTTTTTAGATGTATTATACTTTGATTTTTTAAATTCTGGGTTAAAATTTCTCTTGAATCTCACAGGTATATGTTTATATGTCTAGTGCGTTAAACTACCATGGTTCTTCTCAGTAGCACTGAGTATATCTTTTTTATTTTATTCTTTTCCACAGGCTGCAACAAAGAAACAAAAATATGAAAAGATTAGTGAAAAGAAGATGTCCACGCCTGTTGAAGTTTTATGTAAGGTAAGTATGCATGATGAATATTAAAAAAATATAAATGAAGCCAGGCACAATGGCTCACACCTGTAATCCCAGCACTTTGGGAGGCCAAGGCAGTAGGTCACATGAGCCCAGGAGTTCAAGACCAGCCTGGGCAACATAGGGAAACCCCATTTCTACCTTAATAGATAAATGATCCGGCTGGGCACAGTGGCTCAAGCCTGCAATCCCAGCACTTTAGAAGGCCGAGGTGGGCGGATCACTTGAGCCCAGAAGTTCCACAAGACCAGCCTGGGCAACATGGTGAAATACCTTATCTACCAAAAATACAAAAATTAGCTGGGTGCAGTGATACACGTCTGTGGTCCCAGCTACTCAGGAGCCTGAGGCAGGAGGATCACTTGAGCCCGGGAGGCTCCAATTGCAGTGGTGAATCTTGGCTGTCTTGCAAGGATCTGAGATTGTGCCACTGCACTCCAGCCTAGGTAACAGAGTAAGACTCTGTCTCAAATGAGTGAATGAATGAATGATCCAGGAAGAAAAAGGAACATTTTATTTGCCAGCTCTGGAACTTGTAACATTGAATTAGGTAGCTATTCACCATTTTAAATTTACATTTTTATTATTCTAAATATCTTTAACAAGGACTTTTAACATAGGGGTCTTTTTAAATAAGTGTTTTGCTAGGCACAGTGGCTCACAGTTGAGGAGCCACTTGGTAGGCTGAAGGAGGGTGGATCGCTTGAGCCCGGGAGTTCCAGACCAGTCTAGGCAACATGGTGAAACCCCATCGCTACAAAAAATGCAAAAATTAGCCTGGCATGGTGACGCATGCCTGTAATCTCAGCTTCTTGGGGATGCTGGGGCAGGATGCTTGAGCCCAGGAGGTCGAGGCTGCAGTGAGCCAAGATTGCACCACTGCAGTCCAGCTTGGGTGACAGAGTGAGACCCTGTCTCAACAACAACAAAAATAAGTAAAATAATAAAAAATAAGTTAAATAAACGTTTTAAGTAAGTAAAATAAGTGTTTTATGTTTCTGGTTTGTTAGGGCTCTCTAATCTGTTGAAAACTAGGGGTAAATAAACAGGGCAGGTAAACATTTTCAATAGAACCTCATTAATCTATAAGAAAAAGTAAGAAATATTCTCCTTACCCTAAACTAGTGCTGGAAAAGAAAGGTTATCAACAATTAGTACATTAAGGAACAGGGAAACATGCAGACAGATTGGAGCAATCCAAAATAGCAGCTGTCCAACAATACAGGAATACAGAAGACAGTTTGAATCACACTCATTTTTTCTGAAATTTTCAACTTCATAGAAAGGCAATTGAGTTTAGAATAGAGAGGTATTTGTGTCATGATGAATAACCATGATCTCATCCATAAAAAGAAGGCCATATGGTCTTTCAGACAAGAAAGAATTGTATACCTGAAATTAAGTACAAAGCAGTATACAAATAAATAGTTGAGGGAAGAAATCAGTGAGAGTTAAAATAGTAATTATAAAGTGGTGAGATTGTTTTCAGTCTCATTGTCATACTGTTTACCATTAACACGGGCCATAAATGTATATAAATGTTGAGTTTTAGAAAGATGTATAATATGTATTATTTTACATCTTTTAACATATGTATATGTTTCAAGTGGTCACCCAATTTATATCGGTGCAATCAATAAAAAATGTTGCAAGCATTTCCATTCTATCCTTCCTAACTCCAGGACATGAGAAATTTCTCATAAGGTTGTAGAAAGAGATTGTAACTTTAACTCTACAATCATAAGGTTGTAGAAAGAGACTGCCTCCTTTAACTTTACCACTCTCCACATTGGCATTTACTCTAGGAGAGGAGATATAGAGGTTTGTGCTCTTTTAATATTTTGTATTTCCACATTGCTGATTGGGGAAATCCTTTTGGTGACTGATACCTAGAGCCTTGAAAATGTTTATACATTGTTGAGAATCTTTCCTAAGGAGCTAAATGGAAAAATTCTATGCCCACAGATGTACTTAGCAGTATTATTAATAATAGAGAAAAATTAGAATACATCCAAATGTTCAATTATAAAGAACAAGTTAATGATGTATATACTAGGTAGAATATCATGCAACCATTTAGAAACTTCTGAAGGCTGGGCATGGTGGCTCACACCTGTAATCCCAGCACTGTGGGAGACCAAGGAGGCCAAGGGGGGCAGATCTCTTGAGCTCGGGAATTTGAGACCATCCTTGGCAATCTGACAAAACCCTGTCTCTACTAAAAAATACAAAAAATTAGCTGGGCGTGGTAGCTCGTGTCTGTAGTCCCAGCTACTCAGGAAGCTGAGGTTGGAGGATCGCTTGAAGCCTGGGAGGTGGAGGTTGCAGTAAGCTGAGATTACACTACTGCACTCCAGCCTGGGAGACAGATTGAGACCCTGTCTTTAAAAAAAAAAAAAGTTCACGAAGAGGCGCGACTTTGATAAAATGACAGGTTTTAACAAGTGGGCTATGTAAGTTATTTAAGAACATAGTACTGTATAGGAAAAGCACTATATGGGAAGAACATATGTATTTCTTCTACTAATATTGTACATAATAGGGTAGGTAGGGTCATGAAATTTTATTTAAATTTATGAGGAGACCAAGCCATCATTTTAGCTCTCATATCTTCCTATGAAATGGTAAAATATCCCGCCCAAAAATATCTTTTTGCTTATACTTAAATGCATTTATTTTTCTATCTTGAAATGTTTGTTTTTAACTTTGTTTTAACCCTTGAACCTATAGGGGTTTCCTGCAGAATTTGCGATGTACTTAAACTATTGTCGTGGGCTACGCTTTGAGGAAGCCCCAGATTACATGTATCTGAGGCAGCTATTCCGCATTCTTTTCAGGTCAGTTTTTAAGGTATTTTAAGATTATAAACTCTGTGAGGGAAATTGGTTAAATTTACCTAACAAATTCATTCTGATAAATACTAAAGTAAAGCAGATCTAGCTAACATGAATAAAAGGTTTCAGAAACTGATTTATTTGGGACTAATTTGGCATTTTTCTATTTGTAGTGTAAATAGGTGATTTTAGTTTGGAGTGGATAGAGAGTTGAATCATACTCAAAGTAGAATGTAACTTTTCCAGAATAGTTATAATTCATATTAGATATAAGTGGCTGTCAGTGCCTTCTGGAACTCTCCAACTTTGTACAGTACCAAATAAAAAGCAATTAAAATATCACATAGTCATGGAGTCTGATCAAGTGGTAGCAGTCCTAAACTAGGGTAGGGTTCCTTAGGCACAACCCAGAACTGGTCTTGAAAAAGGGGGGGGAATAGATTACATGTGGCTCAAACTCTTAGTTGGAAGAGAGTAAGAATTGAGGTAATCCGCCCAGGTACGGTGGCTCACGCCTGTAATCCCAGCACTTTGGGAGGCCGAGGCGGGCAGATCGCTTGAGGTCAGGAGTTAGAGACCAGCCTGCCCGACATGGTGAAGCCCCATCTTTACTAAAAATACAAAAATTAGCCGGGTGAGGTGGTGCTCACCTTTAATCCCAGCGACTCGGGAGGCTGAGGCAGGAGAATCTCTTGAACCTGGGAAGCGGAGGTTGCAGTCAGCTGAGATCCCCCCAGTGCACTCCAACCTGGGTGACAATGAGGCTCTGTCTCAAAAGAGAAAAACAAAGAATTCAAGTAATCTGCCAGGTGCAATGGCTCACACCTATAATCCTAGCACTTTGGGAGGCCGATGGGGGTGGATCACCTGAGGCCAGGAGCTCGAGACCAGCCTGGCCAACATGGTGAAACCCCGTCTCTGCTACAAATACAAAAATTAGCTGGGTATGGTGGCAGGCGCCTGTAATCCCAGCTACTCAGGAGGCCGAGGCAGGAGAATTGCTTGAACCTGCGAGACGGAGGTTGCAGTGAGCCGAGATTGCACCACTGCACTCCAGCCTGGGCAACAAGAGCAAAACATGGTCTCAAAAAAAAAAAGAGAGAATTCAGGTAATCTTTTAACCCCAGAAAAGTGTCTTCCCCAGGTACCAGTCAGACATCTTATTCCCAAACTTCCAGTTGAATATTTACTCTTACTTGTTTTTAGGAAGTACCTCCTCTTATGAGTATTCCCCTAGATAACTGACAGCTTGATTTCATGTTTCAGTTTTCATGCTGCCTTTTTCATCTATAATAAGAAATATTTTAGAAGCTGCCACACTTGAGGAAATATTCGTTGTGTAAAGAAATGCTGTCACTGTCTTAAAAAGTTAGTAGGTTATATAACTGGACTCTGTTATTAAAGGATTAACATAAAATATTTTATGTGTTCCAGGACCCTGAACCATCAATATGACTACACATTTGATTGGACAATGTTAAAGCAGAAAGCAGCACAGCAGGCAGCCTCTTCCAGTGGGCAGGGTCAGCAGGCCCAAACCCCCACAGGCAAGCAAACTGACAAAACCAAGAGTAACATGAAAGGTTAGTAGCCAAGAACCAAGTGACGTTACAGGGAAAAAATTGAATACAAAATTGGGTAATTCATTTCTAACAGTGTTAGATCAAGGAGGTGGTTTTAAAATACATAAAAATTTGGCTCTGCGTTAAAAAAAAAAAGACGTCCTTGGAAAATTTGACTACTAACTTTAAACCCAAATGTCCTTGTTCATATATATGTATATGTATTTGTATATACATATATGTGTGTATATTTATATCATTTCTCTTGGGATTTTGGGTCATTTTTTTAACAACTGCATCTTTTTTACTCATTCATTAACCCCCTTTCCAAAAATTTGGTGTTGGGAATATAATATAATCAATCAATCCAAAATCCTAGACCTAACACTTGTTGATTTCTAATAATGAATTTGGTTAGCCATATTTTGACTTTATTTCAGACTAACAATGTTAAGATTTTTTATTTTGCATGTTAATGCTTTAGCATTTAAAATGGAAAATTGTGAACATGTTGTAATTTCAAGAGGTGAGTTTGGCATTACCCCCAAAGTGTCTATCTTCTCAGTTGCAGAGCATCTCATTTTCTCTCTTAAATGCTCAAATAAATGCAAAGCTCAGCACATCTTTTCTAGTCACAAAAATAATTCTTTTATTTGCAGTTTACGTATGATCTTAATTTCAAAACGATTTCTTTGTTTTTGGCTTGATTTTTCACAATGTTGCAAATATCAGGCTCCCAGGGTTTAATGTGGAATTGAAGTCTGCAGCCAGGCCTTGCAAATTGAAGGTAACTGGGGCAAATGCCATTGAAACCGCTAGTCTTATTTCCTTTCTACTTTTCTTTGGCACTCTTACTGCCTGTAAGGAGTAGAACTGTTAGGGCACACTGTTGCTATACAGTTTAACTCCCATTTTCATGTTTTGTCTTTCTTTTCCCATTTCTGGGGCTTACCTCCTGATACCTGCTTACTTTCTGGAAGTAGTGGGCAAGTAAGATTTGGCTCTTGGTTTCTAATTTTTAAATTTCTGAATACTGCCCTAGTCTGAACTTGGCCTTTATAGATTAATCTTTGCTTCACATTTTTAGTGTTGTATTTAAACTATTTTATAATTTAAAAATAGATTCTAATCTGAAGATACTTTTCAAGAAATATTATTAACTGATGTCATCCTCATCCCAGCAGCTCATCTGTTAGGAATGAAGTTGAGATGCTTCTATTCCATGTTTTTGTATTTGGGAAGGATTCAAAGTTGAAGGTTTATTGTCGTTGGGTTTTTCAGATGGTGACATGTAAACTCAGGATAGCAAACCCTAATGTTCACACAGTGCTCTGCCTCTGCATCTCAGTTGGGATAGTTGCTCCTTTTGAGTGTTTTAATCATCGTATAACTAATCATAGTGCCAAGAAGTTCATAATGTGTTATGTAGCTAATGTCACTGAAAAACAGTCCTACCATTTTAGGTAAGACCAAACAGAGTCTCTAACCCAAGGACTTGTTACACCTGACAACCTATAGTATATTTGCTTTTTCTCACAAAATGAAACCAATTTTGCCGAAAGCTAGCTGGGATAATAGGATCATCACAAGTTGCAGTTTCTATAACTAAAATTAGATTGAAATCTCTTCTGACCTAGAACATTTTACTTCAGGCATTCAGCAGATTTCAGAAAGAATTACCTTATTTTAAGTTAGTTTCTTTGTTAGTTTACTGTGTGTCTCTTATTCAATAAACAAGCAGAATTTGTGTCCTGCCCTATCCATGTCTTAAAGATGAGAAGTTGGATCCACTGAGTTAGTTTCATTGGGGCGGGGGAAAGAACTGTAATTAAACTTGTTTAATCCTTATTTTGTATTGTAGCTATTTTTTGTAAAAGCAACTTAAAATCTTTTAAAAATTTTATAGTGACATTAGAGACAATGGTCATACAAATTATCACATAAACATGGACTTGAAAAATTAGGCTTTTCATAAAACACATCACATGTCATTGACTGCTTTTTAGAAATACACTTCCAAGGCAGTACATCTGTATTGCTACTGAAAAGTGCCATTTCACAGAACACAGACTTCTTTTTGCTCTTTGACATCTTGAAAACATCTGTTTTTCTTTTTTAATACAAAACTTTGTGCTCAAGACAAATCTTACATGAAACTCTCATAAACCATGAAAATGTAGCTGGCCTTCGGGCCTTAGGCATGAAATAAGCATGAGGAACATATTCCCCTAACTTCTACCCCCAGCCCAGCAAGTTATCCTTTAAGAAATCTCCTAGGAATTCTGGAGTTTGAAAACAATTGCTCTATGTTATTCCTGCTTCCAGTCTCTAAGTAACAAGGGCATTTAAAAGCATAGTCTCTTAAGGTCCACTATAGTGGTTCTTTATTTAAGGAATAACTCAGCTGGGTGCAGTGGCTCACGCCTGTTATCCCAGCACTTTGAGAGGCTGAGGCAAGCAGATCACTTGAGGCCAGGAGTTCGAGAGTCTGGCCAACATGGTGGAAACCCATCTCTACAAAAAATACAAAAATTAGCCAGGTGTGGTGGCGTGCACCTATGGTCCCAGCTATTTGGGAGGCTGAGGCAGGAGAATTGCTTGAACCTGGGAGGTGGAGGTTGCAGTGAGCCAAGATTGTGCCGCTGCACTCCAGCCTGGGTGACAGAGTGAGACTCTGTCTCAAAAAAAAAAAAAAAAGGAACTCATACAGCTCAATGATTCATTGATCCCAATAATAAATCGTTTTAATAATGATGAAAACATCCTACTGGGGTTTTCTTGTTAAAAACTTTAGGACAGGCGCAGTGGCTCATGCCTGTTATTCCAACACATTTGGGAGGCTGAGGTGGGAGAATTGCTTGACCCTAGGAGTTCTAGACTTGCCTGGGCCACATAGTAAGACCCTGTCCCAGCTCCCTCCAACATCGTCCCCAACCCCCCCCCCCCCAAAAAAAAAAAGCGCCAGGCGCAGTAGTGAGTGCCTGTGATCCCAGCTGTGTTGGGAGGCTGAGGTGGGAGTATCACCTGAGCCCTGGAGGTTGAGGCTGCAATGAGAGCTGTGATCATGCCACTGCACTCCAGCCTGGGCAACAGATGAGACCCTGTGTCACAACAAGGAATTTTTAGAAGGTGCTTTTTATATTACTCTTCACAGAGTTAAATTTTCAGAGGATTTAGTATTATTGAACTAAGTTTCATAAGTGTATTTTAAGCAAGTAAATCTCTAATGTAGGAAAATCCCCAAAATGGTAGCATTTACTAATGTTTTATATGGTAATTTTTGAAAAATATATCTGATATTTCTTCAGTAAAAATGGTGTTGTTTTAATAACTTAATAAGAATGTTTAAAGATTCTTTAAGTCTGGCTTATCTAGCTAATGTGGGCCTATTAAATAATAGGCAGACTTCTGCCTTCCTTATATTCTTTAGATCTTTTCAAATACTCCATTCCAATATCCATCAAAAGACTTCTCTTTATGCCACTTATTATCTATACTAGTTTTTAATGTTCAATTACTACAAGATTATAATTACTGTTTTTATTCATGTTCCCAAGAAAAATACATAAGATTCACACCCAACACACTTCGAAATTTATTTCACTCCCTTTGACTATATGTGATTATCAAAAAAGTATTTTTCAAGATATTAAAAATAAGTAAAGGAAAATGAAATATTTTTAGGACATTCAAAATCTAATGAAGTTCAGTGTTTCTTTAATTGAGGGCAGGCAGAGGTGGGGGAGAATTTCAGAAGGTAGTGAACCCAAAGGTGGATTCTTGGATAATTCTACTATTCTGTACTCTCATCATCTTAACCCATCTGTTTACTACCCTAACCATAGTTACTAAGCAGAGTTTTATCATAATAATATAGACAGCTCTCAAAGTATTGACATTCAGAGGGGATTACAAATATTATTTTTCTATCATATTGACCTACCATGTCCACAGTCTTCCTTGAATTACCTTCCAGTTTTACTGGGCTGCATCTACCGTTTATGTCTAGTTTGACTTTTTCTGAGTTCACCAATTGCTGCTAGGAATGTGCTGGTCACTCAGCAGCACACCCACATCACAGGGGAAGATTTTGAAATACCTGGACAGTCTGAACACACTGCTCTGAATACACTCAATTCTAAGAAGTACCAGGGAACCGCATCTTCTTGCTGAAATCTTGAATTTTTGTCAGCTTTTTTTTTTACTGTGGACAGTAAAGCTGGAAAGATCTAAATAACCCAACAGGAAATGCGGATGAAAGTGCAAGAGTTGGTTTGTGGTCATCTGGAGTCCATGTCTCCAAGACTGCTGGACCTTCAAATTCTGCAACTTGTTAGATCATCTGGATGATAGCACAACTGTTAGAAGACCTAGAAGAATACAGCGTTGCTATGACTCAGTGGTGTTGAATGCAGACCATCTACCAGCTGGGGAAAGAATCAATTATAAACAGGTATTTTAAAACTCCAGAACGTCAGAAATGTGTAGCAGAATGAATTCTGTTATAAGGAAGACAAAACAATTCAGTCTGTTTTTTAATGCAGTTTAGGAATAGTGTATACCTCCTATACTTAAAATTGTCATTTATCTTTCCCAACTTTAAATACTCTTTTAGTTTCTATAGGGAAGGAAGAGTTATTACAGGTTTTTTTTTTTTAATTATTCTTTAACTTTAGATACTGCCAATCTGATTTAAAATTCTCCAAGCTTAATTCTGTGCAACAAACAGAACCACACAAGCAGCCAGGCACTGTGGCTCACTCCTATAATCCCAGCATTTTTGAGGCTAGATGGGAAGATCACTTGATCTCAGGATTTTGAGAACCATCCGGACAACATAGGGAGACCTCATCGCTATTTTAAATAATTTTAAAAAGAAAAGAAAAAAAAAGGCCGGGTGCGGTGGCTCGCTTCTGTAATCCCAGCACTTTGGGAGGCTGAGGCGGGCAGATCGTGAGGTCAGGAGATTGAGACCATCCTGGCTGACACAGTGAAACCCTGTCTTTACTAAAAATACAAAAAAGTAGCTGGGGCCGGGCGCGGTGGCTCATGCCTGTAATCCCAGCAGTTTGGGAGGCCGAGGCGGGCGGATCACAAGGTCAGGATATCCAGACCATCTTGGCTAACATGGTGAAACCCCGTCTGTACTAAAAATACAAAAAATTAGCCGGGCGTGGTGGCGGGCGCCTATAGTCCCAGCTACTTGGGAGGCTGAGGCAGGAGAATGGCGTGAACCCAGGAGGCGGAGCTTGCAGTGAGCCAAGATCGCGCCACTGCACTCCAGCCTGGGCGACAGAGCAAGACTCCATCTCAAAAAAAAAAAAAAAAAAAATTAGCTGGGCGTAGTGGCGGGTGCCTGTAGTCCCAGCTACTTGAGAGGCTGAGGCAGGAGAATGGCGTGAACCCAGGAGACGGAGCTTGTAGTGGGCGGAGATCGCGCCATTGTACTCCAGCCTGGGTGACAGAGCGAGACTCCGTCTCAAAAAAAAAAAAAAAAAAAGAAAAAAAGAAAAAAAACCCCACAACCATGTTATAGGAAAAGTTAGTATAAATGACATAGCATAATTAATATATTCAAAATAACTTTTAAAAAGTTGTCTTGTAGCTTGAAGGGATCCTAAATATCAAAAGCCCATCACAAACTTACAAGCCTTACTGCTACGTAAATATCCCTTTGAACTAGTTTCTGGTTCTATTTAAAAAGTCGAAAACTGTTGAAATTAATTTACGAATAAGAACAGATACACACTTTGTGGGGAGGCTGAGGTGGTAGGATCTCCTGAGCCCAGGAGTTTTAAGTCCAGCCTGGGCAACATAACAGCAAGACCCCATCTCAAAAAAAAAAAAGCATATCTTTTGTTTATTTTTTTAATAGACAAAGTCTCACTATGTTGCCCAGGTTTATTTGGAACTCCTGGCTTTAAGTGATCTTCCTGCCTCAGCCTCCCAAAGTGTTAGCATTATAGATGTGAGCCACCTCGTCTGGGCCAGAGCATACATTTTAGATTTCAGATTGGGTGGCGGGCAGGGATAGAATATCCTTGTTAGTTATATAAAAATAAACTTTTTTTTGCTTTTTGCAGATTTGAAATTTAATTAAGCTATTAACTTCTTAATCATCACATCCTCCAACTCTGTTTTAACTCCCCCCTCCCCCTCCCCTTTTTTTTTAAGGAATAAAGGGATTCATTCCTCATTTTAACTGATGTTACAGTGAAGATGGGTTCTTGAACTCTTGGAAGCCTGGATGAGCCACCTAATCTGCAAGATAAAAACCAAAGACCAATGCGTATTGGGGAAAAGAATGCTTAGTACTGCAAGACTGTTGAATACCTGTTGAATATTCCTATTGAGGTTTTTTCCTAAACATACTTCAGTAACATCTTAGGACAATTCACTGGAGAAATGTTGATCCCTGGCTGGAATGTCATACCATTGACCCATTTGAAGAGTTAAAGCTGGATTTGACTGCTCTATTCTACCAGGAATATTGTTAGGGTAGCCTTTTACCAGTTTCTAAACAATTGTAATCATTTATTGACTCAGCAATTCCTCAGATAACAGGTCAAAAGATGTACAGATACATTCTGAAGTTTTCTTGCTATTAAAGGCACAAGAGTTTCCTTGTATTTTGACTGACAATGTAGCATGTTTCCATTTTAGTTTGTTAGTGATGGTGGTTTTCCCTTTGAAAGCCATTTGGTATATTCACCATAACAATTAGTTTAATATGATTACATAAGAAAACTATGATAAAACCCAGCAATTTTAGTAGTTGTGAAAATACGTTTTTTAAATCATGTTTAAGAAGAATTGCAAGACTTGAAACCAAATCCTGATGGGGGAATTCTGTTTAATCCTGTTTAATCTGTTTAATTTCTGTTTAATCCTTAGTTTCTTAACCTGCATAGCTTATCCTGTATTGTACTTTTTTTCTTTTTTAAACTCCCAAACAAGAAGCTTGAAACTTTTCCTGTATTTTAAAATTGAAATTTGGTCACAGGGTATAGTCAGATTTTTATTAAGGTTTGGTTTGACAACCTTTAAAAGAAAGGTTTACCTCGCTAATACTTCTTAATAACATGCATCAAATGATATTCCCTATGGTGAAGTATATTCTCAAAGTTATGTTATCTTTCATTTTTGGCATTTGGTGCTTATGGACTTAGTACCCAGGCAACAAAGATCTATTATGCACCTACTCTCTTGTATGTTCGCTATTATTTCCCAAAAAAAAAAAGGGGCATATATGCATAAGAAATAAATATTAGAATTATTTTGTTTCTCCCACAAAGCCCATGGGAGATGGCCCAACAAATGTTTAAAAAGTAAAAGAAGCTGGGCACGGTGGCTCCCACCTGTAACCCCCACACTTTGGGAGGCCATGGCGGGTGGATCACGAGGTCAGGAGTTTGAGACCAGCCTGGCCAACACAGTGAAACTGTGTCTCTACTATAAATACAAAAATTAGCCAGGCATGGTGGCAGGCACCTATAGTCCCAGCTACTCAGGAGGCTGAGGCAGGAGAATCGCTTGAACCCAGGAGGCAGAGGTTGCGGTGAGCCAAGATCATGCCACTGCCCTCCAGCCTGGGTGACAGAGCGAGACTGTCTCCAAAAAAAAAGAAAAAAGAACTAAAAGAAAAGGAGCAGTTTATGATTGAAGAAAACATGACCTGGGCTGAAGAAGTGAGGATTGATTGGAGTGGGCTAGAATGAGCTATAGTTTCTAGCTCATTTGTAAGGAGGTAGACAAAGGAGCATTGGTGCCTCAGAGTGGGTGTCTGGTGAGAGGAAAAACGGTGCTTAAGAGATTTTCAGGCTATTGCTGTGGGACAGGCATATTTTCTCCCTTTGCCTTTAGCTGTAGATAAAGTGTGGTTATGACCTGAGGCTTCTTGTATTCAAACTTGGCCTAGGGCCTATGTAGAGGCCCTAGGGTCTACTTGTGGTGGAGGAGGGAAGTATTTGTAGAATGTGTAGGCTTGAGAAGTAAATAAAGCCAAAAAAGCATCACTTGCTTACATTTTTAAATGAGTCACAAAACAATCTTTCTAATGCGGCCGGTAAAGAAGTTTTAAAGGTCTAAGGTTTCTCTACAGAAATTACATGCTTCTCAGGTCTTTGTTTAGTAAAATAATACAGATAATTATGCTTTGAATGCATTTATTATTAAAGCTAACCGTTTTAATTTGTGTCAGAAATAATTTGTGCCTATGGTAGGATTAAAATTGTATTCTTTAGTTAAAGCAAAGCAATCTGTTTTTCATTGATTTGATAAATATGTGAATGCCTAATATGTTCTGCATATGTAAAAATGCAGAAACATGCTCATTTGAATTACTAATAATTATTTTAGTATGCTGAGAGGCTTTGAATTCACTGTACCACTCCTTCCTAGAGTCATTCAAAACAGAAAAAATTAGTTTTAAGTATAGATTCATGTTTTTCTGTTTTAAAAAGTTGAGCTAATACTTTTCACAAGAGACGAAATAACATGAGCCACTATAATTATTGGCTCAGTTCCACCCAATTTCCATATTTTGGGTGTAATTTAAAATTTTTGACTTGGAATTTTAACTTTTTTTTTGTTTTGATTTTTTACCAGGTTTCTAAGCATGAATTGAGGAACAGAAGAAGCAGAGCAGATGATCGGAGCAGCATTTGTTTCTCCCCAAATCTAGAAATTTTAGTTCATATGTACACTAGCCAGTG
This sequence comes from Homo sapiens, assembly GCF_000001405.40. Taxonomy (NCBI): domain Eukaryota; kingdom Metazoa; phylum Chordata; class Mammalia; order Primates; family Hominidae; genus Homo; species Homo sapiens. The sequence goes on along the minus strand of NC_000005.10, from coordinate 149,496,753 downwards.
GTTGTGGACAACCATTTACTTGGTGTAAAGAACTTAATTTCAGTATAAACTGACTCTGGGCAGCATTGGTGATGCTGTATCCTGAGTTGTAGCCTCTGTAATTGTGAATATTAACTGAGATAGTGAAACATGGTGTCCGGTTTTCTATTGCATTTTTTCAAGTGGAAAAGTTAACTAAATGGTTGACACACAAAAATTGGTGGAGAAATTGTGCATATGCCAATTTTTTGTTAAAACCTTTTGTTTTGAACTATACTGCTTTGAGATCTCATTTCAGAAGAACGGCATGAACAGTCTTCAGCCACAGTTGTGATGGTTGTTAAATGCTCACAATTGTGCATTCTTAGGGTTTTTCCATCCCTGGGGTTTGCAAGTTGTTCACTTAAAACATTCTTAAAATGGTTGGCTTCTTGTCTGCAAGCCAGCTGATATGGTAGCAACCAAAGATTCCAGTGTTTGAGCATATGAAAGACTCTGCCTGCTTAATTGTGCTAGAAATAACAGCATCTAAAGTGAAGACTTAAGAAAAACTTAGTGACTACTAGATTATCCTTAGGACTCTGCATTAACTCTATAATGTTCTTGGTATTAAAAAAAAAGCATATTTGTCACAGAAATTTAGTTAACATCTTACAACTGAACATGTATGTATGTTGCTTAGATAAATGTAATCACTGTAAACATCTATATGATCTGGGATTTTGTTTTTATTTTGAAATGGGAGCTTTTTTGTTTACAAGTTCATTAAAAACTAAAAACTGTTTCTGTAAGGAAATGAGATTTTTTTTAAACAACAAAAAATGCCTTGCTGACTCACTATTAAATAAAAATCTCCCCAATTTTTTGATAGACTACTTCAAGCCATTTGTTACATGGTATTCCTTTGCAAGTCAATTTAGGTTTCGTGTTATAACTTTTCCTCTTTTTTTAAGAAAAATGAAAAAAGTAATTCTTTTGTCTGAAGGGGAAAGGCATTCTTTCATTTTTTTCTTTTTTTTTTTTTTTTTTTATGACTTGCAGGCACAATATCTAGTACTGCAACTGCCAGAACTTGGTATTGTAGCTGCTGCCCGCTGACTAGCAGCTGGACTGATTTTGAATAAAAATGAAAGCATTAAAGGGTTTCCCTACAAAACATTTTTCTTTAAAATACTTTTGAAATGGCTATAAGCAGTTGACTTTCACCCTTGGAGAGCATCACACTGTGTGAGGTTCAGTGATTGTTGACCCTCCCCAGCCCCTCCTGCTTCTTTAAGTTATCTGTGTGCGTGCGCTTCCTCTCAATCTTCTTTGCACGCTCATTTCTTTTTCTCTGACCCATGAGAAAGGAAAACTTACTGATGATAATTTTTAAATAGTGTAATTTATTCATTTATAGCATGTCAGGATAAATTAAAAGAACATTTGTCTGGAAATGCTGCCGGGAGCCTATTGTGTAAATGTAGGTATTTTGTAAAATAACCTTGAAATTGTAAATTGACACGTGTTTGGTCAGATTGTGTCAAGTTTAATTTGTTTTGTTTTCTTTTTTCTTTTTTTTATTTGAAAACTACTTTAGCAATAATTAATTCCATGATTATCACATTCTGCCATTAAGGGATATTAGTACCGTAATACTGAAGAAATTTTATTAAGTCTGAACTTCTGGGGTAGGCAGCTTCTTTGTTTCTTTTCTATCCACCCTTGTCGGTTGAGGTATTTGTTTCTTGACTAATAAACCCTTTGATACTTTTAGCCAGAAATCAGTCTCATAAAGCTATTTTTGAGTATAGTTTGTGTAAAATAAAAATGTTTAGCTTTGGTAATAACTTCCAAGCTGAACTCCCTCTAGCAAGATATTTTTCAGTGCTTTTATTTACTATGCACTTAGACTATGCACTTTTTCTGAAATATTTTTGTAACACTTTTTTGTATTTTTGCCATTTGAAAAGGTTGTGGTGTAGTTGGTCTGTAATTAAGTTGCAGATTTAAAACTGCTGTTAGCTTTGTAAATCAAAATATAGGTGTTTTTTGTCCTGGTATATCGTCATTCCATCTGCAGCTGGAGCTGGAATCCCATTGATCTTCTAGCTACCATTCATTTTCTTCACTGTTCACAAAAGAAGAGTGTGAAATTCAGTGAATGCTGTTACTAATCCTGTTACGAGATGAATCTCATTTCACCAAAATTAAATTATGTTTTTCCGCTAAAATGATGATACAAGTTGAAGACACATCACTCTGAAATTGGAAGACCTCACCACTTAAGGCTCCACAGTGGCTTACTCAGCTGAACTCTAGGTTACTACTCTTTACTTTGTTCACCCATTGGGGGGTGCAGTTTTTTTAAAATGTTGGGAGATGGCCATTCTAACTACTGTTGAATGTCTCTGTTTTGGGAAGGTATAACAAGAAATAAAAAAGAATATATATGAAGGGAGAGACTGGTTATCTCCTCCCATATGGTTGTGCTTATCCTCTTATGGCTTACAAATGAATATTTGGAGGTTTGCTTTCACAATGATTTCCCATCAACAAATATTTTTAGTAGGATTTTTCCTGTTTCTGTTAGTCCTTGCAGTACTCATAAATGTTTTAAGCTGAGCATACTGTAATAGTCATAAGTTTAATTTCATTATAATAAAAATAATCAAACAAAAGGACTTTAGAACCCAAGACAATGAGCTAGTTTTCCCTAAAGTTTGCTGAACTATTAAGGAATATGTTCTTATAGCTTTTGACTAGAATGAGTCATGGGAATTCTAAGAAGGGATGGCCTAGACATTTTTAGCTCAGTTAAATTCAGCATTTAATGCAGGTGAGTTCCTGGGTCGTTTTCCAACTAGTCTGGAACAGTCTGGTTCTGACTCAAACTGGTATAAAGCATTATTTTAGGTTTTCTCTTTGCCAGTTTTTAAGCAGTTATAACCATGTAAATCAAGATGTGAGGACATCTATATGAAGTATAGTAAAGAAGTGGTGTCAGCAGATCAATATGTGTGTCCTGGGTGTGCTGCTCTCTTAAGTGAGACTTTGTGAGACTATACTTTAAATGCATTATTACCATTGCTTACATTTTGGGGGATTTTCTTCCTCCTCAAAACTTCCATTTCTATTGTAATATTCTTAATGACAATCTTTTTTTTTTTTTAGCAGTGTATGTTTGAAACAGCCAAAGATGGCGATGAACCAAGTGTAAATTGATCTAAGCAGCCCATGCAGTTTGTGTTGAATCAACAAACAGTGTATTGTTGAAGTGAAATTATTTTCTGAAATGACTTGTTAGACCAGTTTTGAGGACATACTCAAAAGTAGAGTAATAATGGCTCCTGGGATGGAGAAATATGAGATGAACCTGGAACATTCTATTATGGTGCCACAAAGGAAATCTAAAAAAAAAAAAAAAAAAAAAAGTGGTTGGCTAGGAGCAGTGGCACACGCCTGTGATTCCAGCACTTTGGGAGGCCGAAGTGGGCAGGAGTTCAAGACCAGCCTGGCCAACATAGTGAAACCCTGTCTCTACTAAAAATACAAAAATTAGCCGGGTGTGGTGGCGGGCGCCTGTAATCCCAGCTTTTCAAGAGGCTGAGGCAGAAGAATCGCTTGAACCCGGGAGATGGAGGTTGCAGTGAGCTGAGATCGTGCCACTGCACTCCAGCCTGGGCGTTGCAGTGAGACTCCGTCTCAACAACAACAAAAAGGTGGATACATGTCAAAAGGGCACAGGAGCCACTTGAAGGATTATACTTGCTAAATCTGTGTCAATTATCAAAATAAACTGGTAGCAACGTTACAACTCACTGAATAAGATACCATGATTCCATGTTGACTTAAAAATGGAGAGAAGAGAAAGCTCTAACTTGAATGTCAGCTAATTTAAGGTGAAAGGATTTTATGTGTTAGAAAAATCACCATTTTGCAAACTAGTTTTCAGAATCCTTAATATATGTCATCTCTTTTATTCCTCATAACAGTAATAAGAAACAGTTAACTGTTTCAGAAAAGAGTGGGGCTGCCCAAGGCAAGGCATGTTGGTAATTGGTAAGCTTTATAGAGCCAAGACCTCAACCTGATTTTCTTGCTTTCATGCAGTTAAGCCATGGTGCTCCTCTTGTTATATCACCCTTTTAAACCCAGAGATTGATAGTATTAGCCATCATTTGCTGAGTGTCATGCACTATTCTAAGTGCTTTACATGTATTTGCCTAATCAGCGCCCTGTGAAGTACATCCTGTCTCCATTTTGCATATAAGGATACCAAAGCACAGAGTTGGAGGGAAGATAGTTATATTCCCTTACTTTATTTATTTATTTTTTTGAGACAGGGTCTCGCACTGTCGCCCAGGCTTGAGTGCTATAAGACCTTAAGTTTCCCCTTTCAAAGTAGTTTATAGTGTCTAAATATCTTACATAAAAGTATATATCAAATAGGGTGGCAGTCTGGAAAGATTTAAAATCCAGAATGACTGGAAGGTTGGGCAACTAAGATTTCTTAAATTGCAGCTGTTTTCAACATAGATGTGTTGTAGAGTCTTTTCGGTTTCAAAATTAAATTGACTATAAATGGAGTGTGCTTAATTCAGATCTAAAAATTTTGGAATTAGAATATTGGGTGCTTGGCTGAGTGCTGTGGCTCACGCCTGTAATTCCAGCACATTGGTAAGCCCAGGTGGGCGGATCACTTGAGGTCAGGAGTTTGAGACCAGCCTGGTTAACATGGTGAAACCCCATCTCTGCTAAAAATGCAAAATTAGCCGGGCATGGTAGTGCACGCCTGTAGTCCCAGCTACTTGGGAGGCTGAGGCAGAATTACTTGAACCCAGGAGGCAAAGGCTACAGTGAGCCGAGACTGAGCCACTGCACTCCAGCCTAGGCGACAGAGCGAGACTCTGTCTCAAAAAAAAAAAAAAAAAAAAAAGTATTGTGTGCTTATATTGCCTCCCTTACCCCCTCAAACTTGGGCAGGGCAGAGCCCATCTATAATAAGCAAATGGATAGTTTCTGCATCTGTCGTCAACTTTACACAAACAAACATTTTTATTCTTGGAGCATTTTTGAACTAAGATCTAGGCACTTTAAAAGACAAAGGCAATGAGTAGCTTCCCTGTATCGACACCCAGTAAGTTAAAAAGCAGTCTTACAGAGCCTTAAGTAAAATGTTTGGAGTAACTTGGTTCTTTCTTTGTAGCATTTTCTAATTTACTATTTGACATATATCTGATTAGAGAATATAGATGTACTTAATTGTTTAGGGTGTTAAAGAAAATAGGAGTGACAGTAATAAAACAAGATGTGTCCACTGGTATAACAGTGGGATAAGGATATCTTTGAAGTGCTTAGAAATATGTTAATCTCAGTAGATTGCAGAGTATTTTTTTTAGTATTTTTTAATTTACATGAAAATCTGGGAAATTTTAATAGTAATTTTCCAGTCTAGTCATGAATTTTTCATTACATCCACCAGATGGAAACTGATTCTGCCATATGCAAAAGGCTGCTATGTGATAGTGCTGGGGATTGGGGTGGCAGGGGGATGTGAACAGGCAGAATGGAGTAAGGGCCTTTAGTGAAAGTATGAGGGAATGACTTTAAGAGGCAGGACAGTACTTTGTGTATGTTTTGAAAGTAATTGTGGGCCTGGTATGGTGGCTCAGGTCTGTAAATCCCAGCACTTTGGGAGGCTGAGGCAGGTGGATCACGATCATGAGGTCAGGAGCTCAAGACCAGCCTTACCAACATGGTGAAACCCCATCTCTACTAAAAAAAATACATATATATATATATACACACACACACACACACACAAATTAGCTGGGCGTGGTGGCACGCACCTGTAATTCCAGCTACTTAGGAGGCTGAGGCAGGAGAGTCTTGAACCCAGGAGGCAAGAGGTTGCAGTGAGCCACTGCACTCCAGCCTAGGCGACAGAGCGAGACTGTCTCAAAAAAAGAAGTAATTGTGTGTGTCCTACAAGGCTGCGCTGGTGTCTTGATCCTTTGGCCTTCAAATAGCAAAGGTTTGCCATTCCTTAGGAGTCATTAAACTCCCTTCACCCCTCATCTATTCACTAAAATATAGGAGCACTCCACAAAATATGCAGGTCCAGGAGAGAAAGGGGCAAATGATCAGGCTTTTTACTAATTTATCCACTGACATGTTTGGTCATTTTGTGGCTCATTAGTAGAATCCATATTTAGAGCCAAATGCTAGAGCTCATTTTCTTTTGTCTTTTCGACACCAGTTAATGAATATGAAGCCCAAAAAGATGTGCAGATGTGGTCAAGCTCCCCAAGCAAGACTAGAACCCAGGCCAAATAGTACTACTCATATTTAGAGGTAATATATGTTTTCTAGTGGCACATTTATGCCAGAGCAGTTTTTTAATATAATGCATTTATTAGCCAACCCTTACCTAGTTATCATCAATACTTCATCAGTGTGTTGATGATAGCAAAAAAAAAAAAAAAAAAAAAAAAAGGCCAGTCTTGTTGCTTCATGGTCTTATTAAAAATTGACTTTTTTCTAAAAATCACCTTAAAACTTGACTAAAATTGTATTTGGATTTAAGATACATTATATCTACAAGAGTGGAATGCATTAATTAGATTTGCAGTCTGCTACATAAAACCAAACTTGACCAAGTTATTTTTGCTTGAAGTTGTGAATATTTTTACACTTTTAGAGCATTTCCGTGTACCTAAGTTTATATAGATTGTTCTAATATACCAGTGTATTCATTGACAGGGTGTTCTTTCTCATAGTTCTGTAGTACTTTTATAGCCTGTCATTTATGGAACAGAATGTCTTAGGTAAAAAAAATGTAGCCTTTTCTCATCATCACCATATTAAGTCTTCAATGCTGCTAATTCAGAGAAGCAAAATAGTTTGAATAACTGTTGGAAACAATTCCCGTGGATTTCAGGCAGCCTGCCATTGGCTCTGTATGCCAATGGACAGCGGCACACATCTTGGTGATAAAATGCTGCATTAGATATTTAGGATCAGAAGAAAGGGTGGAGGTGGATATTTTTAGAAACTGCTTTTAACGGTTGCTAAGTAAATATTTTTTATTGCAAAACTGGTTTGCACCGTGCTAACGTATGTAACTCCGTTAACAGCATAATGTTTTAATCTCCGTTTAGACAGTAAAACCAATTTTTTTTTGTTTTTTGTGCCAAAAGAAGTGAAACTAAATATTTGAGATAGTTTTTAAAATCATTGACCATCCTGTACCCTGCAAAATTGTGAAGCATACATTACTGAGTTTTCTATAATGGCATGCATGATTTTTTTTAGCCTATGACAAAGTGCAATTCCTATACAAACAGTAATAGGAATTGAGTTTTTAAATGCCAGGCACTGTGCTAGTCCCTGGGAATTCAGGGGTGACAATTCAAATGGACCTATATGCAACATAGGGTGTTACAGATACAGTACTCATGGGGCAGATGGAGACCAGAGAAAATAATCTATGAATTGCATCTGAAAGGATGAGTAGGGCGGGCGCGGTGCCTCACGCCTGTAGTAATCCCAGCACTTTGGGAGGCCGAGGCGGACGGATCACCTGAGGTCGGGAGTTTGAAACCAGCCTGACCAAACATGGAGAAACCCTGTCTCTACTAAAATTACAAAATTAGCTGGGCGTGGTGGCGCATGACTAATTCCAGCTACTCAAGAGGCTGAGGCAAGAGAATCTCTTGAACTCAGGAGGTGGAGGTTGCGGTGAGCCAAGATGGCACCATTGCACTCCAGCCTGGGCAACAAGAGGGAAACTCCGTCTCAAAAAAAAAAAAAAGGTTGAGTAAGGTTTCGGCAGACGGTGAAGACTCCTCGTCTTGGAGGAATGGTAGCAAAACACACCCACATGAATGATTTCAGCCAACAGAGAGCACCCATTCCTTAGCACAGAGCCAAATGAGTGGCATAGAAAGTGTCGAAGGTTCACGTGGGTTCGATAATGAGAATGCCCTCAGTCACAAACATTTTAACCAAAAGTTGAAATAATGAAGTATATAGGGTAAGAAATGTTCAATCCAGCCGTGACCCTATCCAATGACAGTTTTATTGGTCTGCAAATCCTTGCAATGCCACCAAGGAGGAGATTGAACAAAAGTGAGATCATAAATGATACTAAATGTTAGGGACAGAAGATGATAAGTAAAAACATTCAAGCAGCAAGCATAAACCCAACTTTTGGGAAATGTGGGGGGAAATAAGATGGTTTTTAGGGCAGGTAGCAGCCCTGAGAGTATAATTTTTTTTTTTTTTTTTTGAGACAAAGGCTGGATCTTGGCTCACTGCAATCTCCACCTCCGGGTTCAAGCGATTCTCGTGCCTCAGCCTCCCGAGTAGCCGGGATTCCAGGCACGCACCACCACAGCCGGCTAATTTTTTTGTATTTTTAGGGAAGACAGGGTTTTGCCGTGTTGCCCAGGCTGGTCTCAAACTCCTGTGCTCAGCCAATCCGCCCACCTTGGCCTCCCAAAGTGCTGGGATTACAGGTGTGAGCCACTGCACCCGGCCTCAATTTTCTGATCAGTGGTAGGGAGTCAGAAAACAAGTTCTTCATGCCATCACACCAAGTCTAACCCTCTAAAAAGTCTTGTTCCTCATGCTAACAGTTGCTTCAATAACAACCTCATAAATTGGTGGTAAAGACTCACTGGTTTCCATTACATATTGAAAGTTTGGATTCTAAGGCTGATAATCTGCTCATATGGGATAAATCTATCTTGCTTTTTTTTTTTTTTTTTTGAAACAGGGTCTCACTCTGTTGCCCAGTTTAGAGTGCAGTGGCATGATCATGGCTCACAGCAGCCTCAACCTCCTGGGCTCAAGCATTCCTCTGCCTCAGCCTTCCAAGTAGCTGTAGCTGGGACTACAAGTGCGCACCACCATACCCAGCTATTTATTTTTTTAGAGACGGGATCTCTCTGTTGCCTGGGCTGATCTCAAACTCCTGGGCTCAAGCCATCCTCCTGTCTCAGCCTCCCACAGTGTTGGGATTACAGGTGTGAGCCACTGCACCCAGCCTTAATGTCTTTTTAAATGCCCCTATCTGCAGTTTCTGTCCTTAAAGGAAAATGTCATATATTTATAACTGGACATCAGGAAGGAAAGCACTGTACATTAATTTTACTCTGAATGATTGCCTGTGCCTTTTTATAAAGTCACATTCAAATGTGCATTGTCACCCAGGAGAATATCAAGCCTAATAGGAGGACTTTGCTGCTTGCAAAATCTGGAGATACCTTACTCTGTGCTTTTTTGTCCCTGGATACTATGTTTGGAGTGGTGACAAGCTTAGAGAAATGAGAAGAAAATGGTGATGCATGGAAAGTAAACAGTGAAATGGTTGACTCTTGAAGCTCTGGTCTTCCTTTGGAAAAATTCCCCATTCAAGGTCACAGAGCTTTTTAGTGGCAGGGCTAGGAAAGAACCCAACTGGTACACTTTTGGCCACTGAACTGCTACTCTAGGCATGGGGCAGTGATTTTAAGTATGATTCCAGAACCAGCAGCACCAGCGTTGTCTGCGTATTTGTTAGAAATGCACATTCTTATGCCCTGCCACAGACCCACTGAATGGAACTCGGGCTGGAGTCTAGTAATCTGTGTTTTAAGAAGAAACCCTCCATCCTGGCCATCCCCAGGTGATTCTGGTGTGCAATAAAGTTTGAAGAGCCACTGGCAAACGAGAATGAGACTGAATGGGTGGCAGAATGAACTGGGAAGGGATCTGGTGCAAGACCTATTATTTGTTTCAGTATCCTCATCTATAAAGGGGGAGTAATCACCAGGCTGTCAATCTGCTGCTAGTCGTGAGTATGGAATGAAGTCAAATACCACAGGACTTGCCCCAGACAGTGGAGAGCTGAAGGCATGTCTTAGCTTATAAAAACTGCTCATTTCTTCCCAACTGTACATTTGGTGACATGGTAGCTTGAAATTAGCTGTGGTGAGAAACTGGAAAACCCTACAATCAGGGCCTGCCTCTCAACCCCAGCTGGATTAAGAGAAAATGTAAAATTAGGAGAGAAATCTGTTTTATGTATCTTAGCAGGACTTCAAAATCACATATCATGAATCTAGGAAGCCACACATTTCCCAGGTGTGGGGTAAGAAGAGAAGTGCCTAAAGCCAGACATGCAAGTTTGAGAGTTCTTATTCCAGGAGTGATAGGTGAAGTTGCAGAGCTATGTGAATTCTTCCAGCCTGAGGGTATTGATGTGGAAGTGAGGGCTGAACACAGAACTCTGAGGGATATGAAGCTAAAGAATGATTAAATACTGGAGAAGAATGGGAGTAGTCACAAAGGAGGACATCCAGAAAGTTAGTCATGTCTTATGAAGAAGTCAAGGAGAAAGCTGTATTGTTTATTAGTCATGGTACTTAATGACAAACTCTTGAATAATGGCTTTATGCAAAATGTCTTTCTCCCTAATGTGAGCCAAGTAACCTGCCTTCAATCTTCTGACAACACCATCTGGAACTTGAGGCCTTCCAGACTGACGCAGCAGAGAGGCACACCAGCAATGAACTGGCTGAGCTGGGAAGTGACACACACACATACCACTGTTACGTAGTTTATTGGCCAGAACTACTCAGCCCCCATCTATTTGCAAAGGAAGTTTAAAGATGTGGGGAAGAGGATAGGTATGTAGTTCCTTCTAATGTTCTTGCTCACAAATTGTATGTACTATTTTAGAGAAAGTTGAGTGTGTACAGAAGCAGTCTCTGGCTGTTTGTACCCTCAGGTATCTAGGCTAGATCTTCCAGGAAGGCAGAACCTCAGGCTGTAAACTCAGATGACTCTCCACTGGCTCCTTGCCTGGTTTTCAGGGCTTGTCACATAGGAAAACAAGCCATGCAGTCCCCTGTTGCTAGGAAATGCATAAACATAGCAAGAAATAACCTGCCCATCTGCTGAGGGTTTAGCATTGCAACTTTCCCATAAATGACCAACAGCTGTTTGACTTTTGGGGGGCAATATCTCTGTGTTGGTGGCATAGGAATAAGGAAGAGAAGAGAGGACCAGGCATGATGACTCACACCTGTAACCCCAGCCCTTTGGGAGGCTGAGGTGGGTGGATTGCTTGAGCTTAGGAGTTCAAAACTAGGCTGGGCAACATGACAAAACCCCATCTCTACAAAAAATACAGAAATTAGCCTGGCATGGTGGTGTGTGCCTGTAGTCCCAGCTACTCAGGAGGCTGAGATGGTAGGATCACTTGAGCCCGGGAGGTTGAGGCTGCAATGACCCATGATTGTGCCACTGCACCCCAGCCTGGGCAAAAGAGTGAGACCCCCATCTCGAAAAATAAGGAGAAGAGAGTAAGGTTTTTTTTGTTTTTTTTTTTTAAGGCAAAGGCCATATCTCCCTTTCCCCTTGTACTCATAGAGTCTAGCATAAAAAGGTGACCAGTAAAACTGCTGTTGAATATTAATGTACATCAGGATAGTATTCGCTTTCTTTCAGCAGTTTTGACCCAGATTTGTGGTCAGTTAAAACCCTACTATTGGCCAGGCATGGTGGCTCATGCCTGTAATCCCAGCACTTTGGGAGGCCAAGGCGGGTGGATTGCTTGAGGCCAGGAGTTTGAGACCAGCCTGGCCAACATGGTGAAACCTGTCTACTAAAAATACAAAAATTAGCCGGGTATGGTGGTGGGTGCCTGAAATCCCAGCTACCCAGAAGGTGGAGGGAGGCAGGAGAATCACTTGAACCTGGGAGGCAGAGGTTGCAGTGAGCCAAGATGGTGCCACTGAACTCCAGCCTGGGCAACAGAGCGGCGAGACTCCATCTCAAAAAACAAACAAACAAAAAACCCCTGCTATCTCTTATTCAAGATCTGTTGTCAGGTCACATCTATCTTGAACCTATGCAAAAAAAAAAAAATTGTTTTGTTTTACCCACATGCCAATTGTAGATTCAGAGCTTTTTATTTTATTTTATTTTTGAGATGGAGTCTTGCTCTGTCACCCAGGCTGGAATGCAGTGGTGTGATCTCAGCTCACTGCAACCTCTGCCTCCAGGGTTCAAGTGATTCTCCTTCCTCAGCCTCCCGAGTAGCTGGGATTACAGTCGCGTGCCACCATAGCCAGCTAATGTTTTTGTATTTTTAGTAGAGACAGGGTTTACTGTGTTAGCCAGGGTGGTCTCGATCTCCTGACCTCGTGATCCACCCGCCTTGGCCTCCCAAAGTGCTGGGATTACAGGCGTGAGCCACCATGCCGGGCCATAGATTCAGAGCTTTAAAGTGGCCTATTAACCAGAATAACCCCAAAAGGAATTAGCAAAAGTCCCCTTTTTCAAGAAAGCCCACTTTCTTGAAAATAGAACTGTAATCCTCATCTTAACTGTAAAAGGAATTTTATTAATACTTGGTCTAGGGCTTTTTTTTTGAGAAGGAATTTCACTCTTCTTGCCCAGGCTGGAGTGCAATGGTGTGATCTCGGCTCACCACAATCTCCGCCTCCCAGGTTCGAGTGATTCTCCTGCCTCAGCCTCCCAAGTAGCTGGGATTACAGGCATGAGCCACCACACCCAGCTAATTTTGTACTTTTAGTAGAGATGGGGCTTCACCATCTTGGTCAGGCTGGTCTCGAACTCCTGACCTCAGGTGATCTGCCTGCCTCGGCCTCCCAGAGTGCTGGGATTACAAGCATGAGCCACCGTGCCCGGCCTTTTCTCTTTTTTTTTTTTTTTTTAAGAGATGGGGTCTTACTATATTGCCCAGACTGGAGTGCAGTGGCTGTTCACAGGTGTGATCATAAAAATACACTGAAGCCTGCAACTCCTGACCTCAAGTGATCCTCTTGCCTCAGCATCCCAAGTAGCTGGGACTACAGGCACACACCACTGAACACAGTTCTTATTTTGTTTTAAAAGTATGTTTTCAAAAGCCCAGTGTTTCAGGCCTAAATCTAACAACTTCAATTATTTTTGGAGATGGGGTCTTGCTCTATCACCCATGCTGGAGTGCAGTAGCACCATCAGAGCTCCCTGCAGTCTCTAACCCCTGGCCTCAACCAATCCTGCCTCAGGTATGCAACACCATGGCTGGGTAATTTTTTCTTCTTCTTCTTCTTCTTTTTTTTTTTTTTTTTAAGATGGTCTTGCCGTGTTACCCAGGCTGGTCTTGAACTGCTGGCCTCCCAAAGCACTGGGATTCCAGGCTTGAGCCATCATGCCCAGCCCAACTTTCCTTTTTTCTCTAATTCTTGCTGACCTTCATGCAGACTTTATTATTATTATTATTATTTGAGGCAGAGTTTCACTCTTGCTGCCCAGGCTGCAGTGCAATGGTGTGATCTCGGCTCACTGCAGTCTCTGCCTCCCCGGTTCAAGCGATTCTCCTGCCTCAGCCTCCCAAGTAGCTGGGATTACAGGTGCCCGCCACCACGCCCAGCTAGTTTTTTTGTGTATTTTTAGTAGAGATGGGGGTTCGCCATGTTGGCTAGGCTGGTCTCGGACTCCTGGCCTCAGGTGATCCGCCCACCTCAGCTTCCCAAAATGCTGGGATTTCAGGCGTGAGCCACTGCTCCCTACTCATGCAGACTTTAAAACTGCAGTGTTTTCTTAGGCTTGTCTGTTGCTCAAGAACTTGCCATCTCTTCTTTTGCTTCCCAAAAGACTTTTGCTTCCCAAAAGAACATGGAAGATGACTCAAGAACTTATTTGGGTCTGTTTAACAGCTGGCTCTAGAATACAGCCCACTCTTAAGGTGGCTTGTCACTTTGGTTACACTGTGTGCTCTAGTTATTTGACATATAAACTTTCACCTCAGGCTCTTGTGCAACTTGAATTCCAAATCCATGCTTTGAAATGGCTAGCTAATTATCCCAGTTGACTCACTATGTCTACAAATGAATCTACTATCTTGCCTCTCTAAACCTGCCCTTCCTTCTATGCATGGACGAGCAGGACACCTGGGAGCCACCCTTGACTCCTCTATCAAGTCCATCTCACTGTTTCCTTGAATTTGCCCTTTACTATCGCTTACCTGAACTCTTTTTTTTGTTTGTTTGAAACAGAGTCTCATTCGCCACCCAGGCTGGAATACAGTGGCATCATCTCGGCTCACTGCAACCTCTGCCTCCCGGGTTCAAGTGATTCTCCTGCCTCAGCCTCCCGAGTAGCTGGGATTACAGGTGCCCACCACCATGCCCGGCTAATTTTTGTATTTTTAGTAGAGATGGGGTTTTGCCATGTTGCCCAGGCTGGTCTTGAACTCCTGACCTCAGGTGATCTGGTCATTTTGGCCTCCCAAAGTGCTGGGATTACAGGCGTGAGCCACTGCGCCTGGCTGCCTGAACACTTGAAGTAGCTCTTATCTAAGCTTCATTCTCCATATGATTCTTGAATGTGCCCCTTCCCACCCCCACTGCTTTCAGGATAATGACCAAATTCCGTGATCTGTTCCCTGTTTACCAAGCTATCCAAATTTATCTCTTGGCTTCTATTCCCAGCCCCAATTTCCATCCCACACAGTACGCTCCAGATACACTCGCAATTCCCAGGATTCATTGTGCCATCTTGCCTTCATATGTTTCTCTGTGCTAGAAATGCCTTCCACTTTCTCCAATCTGCCTCTTTGTTCAAAAGCCAATTCAAACGTCTCTGGGAAGTTTCCCACACCACGAGAAAAGCTGGTCTGTGCCTCCTCTGCGCCTTCACTGCCGCGCTTTCCTAGCCAGATTTTGCAATTGTATTTCTGCAATTACTCAAACGTGTTTCCTTCTGACCAGACAAAGCTCCCCAAGGCCGGACTTCATTCATCTTTACTCCTAATGCTTGAGGAAGGGCACATGAGTTGCAGATGCTTAGTGACTATTTTTTTTAGTGATAGACTCATGGGGGAAGGCAGCTTAGCTATAGCTAAGACAACCTTGGGGTGTGCAGGTGGGGGCGGTGAGGTGACTTCCAACCAGAAAAGAACTTGTAAATCTATAGGCATAGGTCATAAACTGAGCGTGTGTTTCACCCAAAGATGTGTTCATTTCTCTCCAGGGGGACATAGCTGGGGGTGAGAGAAGCGTGGAGGACACAAGATTTTGGCATTGAAAAATAGCAAAGAGTCTAAAAATGTTATTCCTGGAAGGGACATTCAAGATCATAAAACATTAGGACAAGACTGCATCTTTTAAATGTACATTTTAAAATATGCTTCAACACTCTGCTATTGAGGACACTGGCTCAGAAAGGCGGAACTGACTGCATTAAGGCCATAAAACAATTTAGTGGTTTCTTCACCCTTTTTTTTCCCTAAGAGACAGGGTCTCACTTTGTTGCCCAGGCTGGAGTGCAGTAGCATAATCACAGCTCACTGCAGCCTTGACATCCTGGGCTCAAGTTAATCTTCCCACCTCAGCCTCCCAAGTAGCTGGGACTACAGGTGTGCACCCCCATGCCTGGCTGGTTTTTAAAATTTTTATTATTTTTTTTTTAATGTAGAGACAGAGGTCTCCCTATGTTGCCCTGCCTGATCTCAAACACCTGGGCTCAGCCATCTTCCCCTGCCTCGGCCTCCCAATATGCTGGGATTTCAGGTGTCGGCCGCTGTGCCCTCCAGATTTCTTCACTCTTAACCCTATTGTCTTAATATTTCTCATGTTAATTGGGATTTAGATCAGAAAGCAGGGCGAAAATGGTTTTCAGTTCTCCCAAAATAAGGGGTTGGAAATTAAGAGTCTTTTGAGAAAAGTGAAATGTGGATGGTCATCTTGTTTGCTGTCACTGCTGGTTTAGACTTTTCAAACACTTCTGTTCACATGTCCCTAAAAGAAATTTGAAAATAGTGTATCTATTTGCACACTTTTAAGTTAACATCTAGTTTTTAATTATTTATTTATTTTTATTTTTTGAGATGGAGTCTCACTCTGTCAGCCAGGCCAGAGTGCAGTGGCGTGATCTTGGCTCACTGCAACCTCTGCCTCCCACGTTCAATCAATTCTCCTGCCTCAGCCTCCCTAGTAGCTGGGATTACAGGCATGTGCCACCATGCCCGGCTAATTTTTGACATCTAGTTTTTTGGGGTTTTTTTTGTGATTTTTGAGACAGAGTCTCGCTCTGTTGCCCAGGCTGGAGTGCAGTGGCGCGATCTCGGCTCACTGCAAGCTCCACCTCCCAGGTTCACGACATTCTCCTGTAGCTGGGACTACAGGCACCCGCCACCATGCCCAGATAATTTTGTTTTGTATTTTTTAGTAGAGACGGGGTTTCACTGTGTCAGCCAGGATGGTCTCAATCAATCTCCTGACCTCGTGATCCGCCTGCCTCGGCCTCCCAAAGTGCTGGGATTACAGGCATGAGCCACCGCGCCTGACATCTAGTTTTTTAAATCATAACTTTAAGTAGTTGCAAAACTTGTGGTTGGAGGGTTTCTGTAGGGGGTTGTACTTTTCTGAGCACCATTTGAACTCAAATTTGAAATTTCTGTTTTTAATTATATCCCAAGAGAGGTCAATCAAAGATATCCACAGTATTACCTCCTTTCTTTGTTTATTTATTTATTATTTATTTGTTTATTCAAGACAGAATCTCACTCTGTTGCCTAGGCTGGCGTGCAGCAATCATAGCTCACTGCAGTCTCAACCTCCCAGGCTCAAGCAATCCTCCTGCCTCAGCCTCCCAAGTAGCTGGGACCACAGGCATATGCCACCACGCCTGGCTAATTTTTTTTTTAAGAGATAGGGATTTGCCATGTTGCCCAGGCTAGCCTAGAACCCCTGGGCTCATGCAATCTCCCTACCTCGGCCTTCCAAAGTGCTGAGATTACAGGCATGCGCCAGTGCGCCCAGCCATGACTTCCTTTCTTTTTTTCCTCTTTTCTTTTTTGATACAGAGTCTCGCTTTGTCACCCAGGCTGGAATACAGTGGTGGGATCTTGAGTCACTGCAACCTCCGCCTCCTGGGTTCAAGCGATTGTCCTGCCTCAGCCTCTTGAGTGGTTGAGACTACAGGTGCCTGCCACCACGCCTGGCTAATTTTTTGTATTTTTAGTAGAGACAGGGTTTTACCATGTTGGCCAGGCTGGTTTCGAACTCCTGACTTCAAGTGATCCTCCTGCCTCAGCCTCTCTAAGTGCTGGATTACAGATGTGGGCCACCGTGCCTGGCCCATGGCCACCTTTCAAGTATGATTATCTTGGGCTGGTGACACTTATTGAGGAACTGGAGTCACACCGTTCTGGGGCAGCTCTACTCACTATCATCCTTGGAAAACACATGGACAAATTTCAGTCAGAAACTTCACCTTGCTCTTTTTTCTTTTTGAATTCCTATTTCCATTTCACTTTCCCCACAGTATTAAGTCATAGATGCCATTCATTTCCATGCTATACTGTCTTTTAATGATTGCCATATAGTATTTCTTTGTAACAGAAATAGGCACTTGAATTCCAATTTTAATTTTTAATTTCTCGTGACCATAAACTCTGAAGTGTTACTTCTTCTGGCTAGAATTACCATTAGAGTTATTAGACCTAACTGATTGAAACCACATAAGTACAATACAAATTTGATAACAGTTTGCATATGGAGAGTTACATTTTATTTATTGAGATGGATTTTTAAAATGTATGTTCATGTTTACATTGATAAATATTATTGATTCCTAGATTGGAACAGGAGTCACTATCAACACTATCCTTATTTTTTTATTTTAATCCATATATGAGTTTAGAAGCCTTTTTCACAAAATTATGTGGAACTGGAAAGAGTTTTATTATTACAGTGTCACTCAATTCTTTGGATTCTTTCCAAGATGCTTGGCAAAAATCACTTGGAGCTCTTTTATTGAAAATCAGTGAACAGCTCCATCAGTTCCTCCTTCAGCGTTGTATCATGGCAACGCCTTTTCTCTAAGTCTGTTCCCCTGAAGGAGCTTTGCTGTGATTTGAATGTGTCCCCCAAAGCTCATATGTTGGAAACTTAATATCCAGTGCAACTGTTTTGAGAGGTGGGACCTAGCCAGGCATCGTGGCTCACATCTGTAATCCCAGAACTTTGGGAAGTTGAGGTGGGAGGGTCACTTGAGCCCAGGAGTTTAAGACTAGACTGGGTAACAACATAGTGAGACCCTGTCTCTAGAAACAAAAACAAAAAACTAAATTAACTGAGCATGGTAGCACATGCCTGTAGTCTCAGCTATTCTTTAGGCTGAGGTGGGAGAGTTGCTTCAGCCGGTGTGGGTGAGGCCATAGTGAGCTGTGATTGTGCCACTACACACCAACCTGGGTGACAGAGTGAGACCCTGTCTTAAAAAAAAAAAAGAGAGAGGTGGGATCTTTAAGGGGTAATTAGGTCATGAGGACTCTTCCCTCACGAATGGATTAATTCCATTATCATGGGAGTAGATTTGTTATAAAAGTGAATTTGGAGGCAGGAGGATTGCTTGAGCCTAGGAGGTCAAGGCTGCAGTGAGCTGTAATCGTGTCACTCCACACCTGCCTGGGCTGGGTGACAGAGCTAGACCTCATCTCTTTTTTTTTTTGAGACAGAGTCTCGCTGTGTCACCCAGGCTGGAGTGCAGTGGCTCGATCTCGGCTCACTGCAACCTCCGCTTCCCGAGTTCAAGCAGTTCTCTGCCTCAGTCTCCCGAGTAGCTGGGATTACAGGCGCCCGCCACCATGACTGACTAATTTTTGTATTTTTAGTAGAGATGGGGTTTCATCATCTTGGCCAGGTTGGTCTTGAACTCCTGACCTCGTTATCCACTCACCTTGGCCTCCCAAAGTGCTGGGATTACAGGCATGAGCCACCGCGCCCAGCCTAGACCTTATCTCTTAAAAAAAAAAACAACACTGAGTTTGGCTTCCTCTTGCTCTCCTGTGCACAGCCCCTTGCCATGTGATGCCTTCTGCCATGTTATAATGCAACAGGAAGGCCCTCACCCGATGTAGCCACTCGATCTTGGACTTGCCAGTCACCAGAACCATGAGCCAATAAGTTTCTGTTCTTCATAAATTACCCATTGTGTCAGGTATTATGTTTTAGCAGCACTAAAATGGATCAAGACAAGGTTCTTCTTGTTTTTTTTTTTTTTTTTTTTTTGACAGAGCTTTGCTCTGTCACTCAGGCTGGAGTGCAGGGGCATGATCATGGCTCACTGTAACCTCTGCCTCCTGGGCTCAAACGATCCTCCTACCTCAGCCCCACAAGTAGCTGGGATTACAGGTATGAGCCACCACACTTGGCTAATTTTTTATTTTATTTTTTTGAGATGGAGTCTCACTCTGTCGCTTAGGCTGGAATGCAGTGGTGCAATCTTGGGTCATTGCAACCTCTGCCTCCCGAGTTCAAGCAATTCCTCTGCCTCAGCCTCCGGAGTAGCTGGGATTACAGGCGCCCACGACCAAGCCCAGCTAATTTTTTTTCTATTTCTAGTAGAGATGGGATTTCACCATGTTGGCCAGGCTGGTCTCAAACTCCTGACCTCAGGTGATCTGCCTGCCTTGGCCTCCCAAAGTGCTAGGATTACAGGCATGAGCCACTGTGCCCGGCCTAATATTTTATTTTATTTTATTTTATTTATTTTGAGATGGAGTCTTGTTGTGTCACCAGGCTGGAGTGCAGTGGCGCGATCTCAGCTCACTGCAACCTCCACCTCCTGGGTTCAAGCAGTTGTCCTGTCTCAGCCTCCCGAGTAGCTGGGATTACAGGTGCACGCCACTACACCCAGCTAATTTGGGTAGTTTTAATAGAGATGGGGTTTCACCATGTCGGCCAGGATGGTTTCGATCTCTTGACCTTGTGATCTGCCCGCCTCCGCCTCCCAAAGTGCTGGGATTACAGGCTTGAGCCACCGCACCAGGCCAATTTTTTATTTTCAAATGTTGTAGAGGTGGGGTCCTCACTACGTTGTGCAGGCTGGTTTAGAATTCCTGCACTCAAGCAATCCTCTCACCTTAGCCTCTCAAAGTGCTGGGGTTATAGGCATGAGCCACTGTGCCTAGCCAAGACAAGCTTCTAGAATAAGGTAGATCAGTTTTACAATATGCCCACTGGTTGGGGGACCATGAGAGCAGGAGCTTCTTTTTTTTTTTTTTTTTTTGAGACAAGGTCTCACTTTGTCACCCAGGCTGGAGTGCAATGGCACAATCACAGCTCACTGCAGCCTTGACCTCCCAGGCTCAAGTGATGCTGCCACCTCAGCCTCTGGAGAAGCTGGAACTATAGGTGCATGCCACCACGCCCTAAGAATTTTTGTATTTTTTGTAGAGATGAGGTTTTGCCATATTGCCCAGGCTGGTCTGAAGCTCCTGGGCTCAAGTGATCCACCCGTCTTGGCCTCCCAAAGTTTTGGGGTTACAAGTATGAGCCACTGCGTCCGGCCCAAGAGTAGGAGCTTCTTGAGCCTGGCTGCCCACAGGCCCAGGACCCTAAGCAAGGGGTCTCAATAGTTTTCTTCCAGCTCTCACCTTATTCCTTTTCCTCTCCAGGTTTGAATCTCCAGATCTGATTCCTGAAACTCCTTTGAGCTGAAAGTTAGCTCCCACTGTAATAATTCCTCCCCGTGGGGTGACTATCTCTTTCAAACAAAGATTTACCCTGTATAATTAGTAAATCAACCCATAATCTAAAATGCTGCTTTAAAAAACAATGTAATAAAGAAACAAACAAACAAACAAAAAACAACGTAATCAACAGAGGTAGCCTGGGAAAGCTGGCCTACCATATTTACCTCCAGCTTCAAAAAGACAAGTTTGCTGAAAGCTTTCAGTGTCAGCTGTTTGAGCCATTTACAGTCAGCCCTTACACAATACAGAGAACTAGCAGCCTCTACTCAATTCGCTAAAGCACTCTGGAAAATTGTGTGGGGGTGCTGGTCCCTAACTCGCCTCTGTTAGCATTTTAGTTCAGGCCATTAACTTTGCTTTTGTATCTGGATCTAATGGATTCTTGCCTCTTTCTGACCACATTAATTATCTCAGATTTCACTGGGACCTTTTCCTTGGCTTGTTCCCATTTCTAATGAAGGTGAAGTCACAACATGAAAGCTGCACACATTGCTAACTTTCTTTTGCATTAACTCTTGCTCTAAAACAGAAGCAGCATCCTCCTTGCTCCTGGAAGGCAGCTTGATGCCTTGGAAATAACACTGAAGCTGGGGGAGATAGAAGACCAAGTTACTAGATTTCACTCTGACACTGACAATGACCCAGGTTAACTTTCTTCTCTACGCTGATTTTCAGTCCTTGGTCTAGACAATTGGATAAAAATTTTCCTCCTGTCTTATCCTCCCACCATCAGGTATCAAGGCCAAAGCTTTGTTGAGTGTAACACTTTTTTGAGACAGAGTCTCGCTCTGTTTCCCAGGCTGGAGTTCAGTGGCCTGATCTCAGCTCACTGCAATCTCTAACTCCCGGGTTCAAGTGATTCTCCCACCTCAGCCTCCTTAGTAGCTGGGATTACAGGCGTCCACCACCACACCCAGCTAATGTTTGCCTTTTTAGTAGAGATGGGGTTTCACCATGTTGCCCAGGCTGGTCTCGAACTCCTGACCTAAGGTGATCTATCTGCCTTGGCCTCCCAAAGTGTTGGGATTACAGGTGTGAGCTGCCGCGCCTGGCCTGTTGAGTTTAGAATAGTGCCAAGCACGGCCAGGTACAGTGGCTCTCACCTGTAATCCTAGCACTTTGGGACACCGAGGCAGGCGGATCACTTGAGGCCAGGAGTACAAGACCAGCCTGGCCAACATGGTGAAACCCTGTCTCTACTAAAAACACACAAAAAATTAGCTGAGTGTGCTGGCACGCTCCTGTAATCCCAGCTACTTGAGAGGCTGAGACAGGAGAATCTTTTGAACTTGGGAGGCGGAGGTTGCAGTGAGCAGAGATCACACCACTGCACTCCAGCCCAGGTGACAGACTGAGACTCTGTTTCAAAAAAAAAAAAAAAAAAAAGAATAGTGCCAAGCACATAGCTGTTGATGAATGTGAAGAGCCATTATTCACATCCAAGTGGAAGTTATTCCCAGAATTTGAGGCCGAGTTCACAAAGAACTCTTTCTCATGATCTCAGGGAACATGGTTGTATTAGGTGGGTTTTGATACAGGAAGACACAGCTCTGACTGGTGCGCAGATCTAGAGGGCTAAAGCATTATCTCCTTAAGTCCATTGTCCAAGTGGAAAAAGCAAGGGCCACATTGCTGGGGCCTGGGCTCCTAGAAGAAATGGGTGGATGGGCTGCTTTGTCAGTTTGGACCCACCCAGCTGGTTTCCACAGCTCTGCTCAGGGCACAGGCGGGCCATGCCCAGGCTGTGAATGAGTCATGGTAGCTGCAAGTCTCCACAGCAGCTGGCTCTACCTGCCTAGTGGAGGGAATGCTGGAGCCACCTGGGAGAGCCAGGCTTGTCCCAGGGTGGCTGCCAGAAGAGCCTGTTCTCCCCAAGCCTGAGTGGGATGATGGCCAAAGTCCAGGGGAGCAGGAGAAACAGCATGTGCTGGACATCGATGGCTCACACTGAGGAGGCCGGGGAGGCTCAGCTCCTGCCCTCAGACAACTGTGGTCCATCCAGAGAAGAGGCCCCACATCTACTCAGGAGCTGGGAGAGGCACTGTGAGGGGTGGAGAGCTCAACACTGAAGCCTAAGCCTTCTTCCAGCCCCTCTGTTTACCAGCTGTGTTTTGTTTTTGTTGTTTTTTTTTTTTTTTTGAGACGGAGTCTCGCTCTGCACCCAGGCTGGAGTGCAGTGGTGCGATCTCCACTAACTGCAAGCTCCGCCTCCCGGGTTCACGCCATTCTCCTGACTCAGCCTCCTGAGTAGCTGGGACTACAGGCGCCCGCCACCAAGCCCGGCTAATTTTTTGTATTTTTAGTAGAGATGGTGTTTCACCATGTTAGCCAGGATGGTCTCGATCTCCTGACCTCGTGATCTGCCTGCCTCGGCCTCCCAAAGTGCTGGGATTACAGGCGTGAGCCACCGCGCCTGGCCCCCACAAGGTTTTTATGAGAATTCAGCAATGTTTCATAAAATACAGGTAAATATAAAGGACTATGTAAACATCTAGCTGGTGGAGTTGTAGGAAGAGGGCTTCGCATGTCAAAGGCCTGAGGCTGAGAAGTGATGTCCTTATGAGGACTGAGGAGGTTACAGAGTCCAAAGGGCTGGAGTGTGGGGTGTGAAAAAAGAGCAGAAGGGAAGTAGAATCCCTAGACTGTGGACATCGTGAATGCCAGGCACAGAGACAGGCTTCGATTCTGTAGGCCACTGGGAGCCTGTGAATGTGCCCGTGAGCGGGTAGGAGATGACTTCAGGGCTCTGTATTTTCAGACAAGATCGGGTGTGTTCAGGGTGGTATGGCCGTAGAATGTATTTTCTTTTCTTTTCTTTTTTTTTTTTGAGAGAGTCTTGCTCTGTCGCGAAGGCTGGAGGGCAGTGGCATGATCTCGGCTCACTACAAGCTCTGCCTCCTGGGTTCAAGTGATTCTCCTGCCTCAGCCTCCCGAGTAGCTGGGACTACAGGCATGCGCCACCATGCCCGGCTAATTTTTGTTTAGTAGAGACAGGGTTTCACCATGTTGGCCAGGCTGGTCTTGAACTCCTGACCTCGTGATCCACCCGCCTCTGCCTCCCAAAGTTCTGGGATTACAGGCATGAGCCACAGCAACCGGCCTATAGACTGTATTTTCTTTTTGTTTTCTTTTTCTTTTTTTTTTTTTTTGAGACGGAATTTCACTCTTGTTGCCCAGGCTGGAGTGCAATGGCGTGATCTCAGCTCACTGCAATCTCCGCCTCCTGGGTTCAAGCGATTCTCCTGCCTCAGCCTCCCTAAGTAGCTAGGATTACAGGTGTCTGCCACCACGCCC
Source organism: Homo sapiens (assembly GCF_000001405.40). Lineage (NCBI taxonomy): Eukaryota > Metazoa > Chordata > Mammalia > Primates > Hominidae > Homo > Homo sapiens. The sequence goes on along the minus strand of NC_000005.10, from coordinate 149,472,959 downwards.
AGCTAATTTTTTGTATTTTTAGTAGAGACCGGATTTCACTATGTTAGGCAAGCTGGTCTCAAACTCCTGACCTCAGGCAATCCACACGCCTCAGCCTCCCAAAGTGTTGGGATTACAGGTGTGAGCCACCGTGCCCAGCTTGACTGTATTTTCAAATGTAAGGCCTAGCATGTTTCCTTGGGGAGGTGACATCGACAATGAGGACAAGGGAGGAAACATCAGCTCACTTGGGATGCACCCATAAGCAGGTAACAGCCTTGCACTTCACGCCTTGCAGAGATAAGAAGCCGGTAGGGGATTCATAGGCTTGGCCCTAGGAGCCCCCTGGACTGAGCTCCTTGAGGCCAAGGGCCCCAGTGTGGAGACCAGGCACGCAGTGGGCTGTCTGGATGCAGCTGCAGAATGAAAGAAAAGGCAAGGGCCTGGCGCAGTGGCTCATGCCTGTCTGTAATTCAGCACTTTGGGAGGCCGAGGTGGGTGGATCACTTGAGGTCAGGAATTTGAGACCAGCCTGACCAACATGGCGAAAACCCATCTCTACTAAATATACAAAAAATTAGCCAGGCGGCGTGGTGGGGCACACCTCTAACCCCAGCTACTCGGGAGGCTGAGGCAGGAGAATTGCTTGAACCTGGGAAGCAGAGGTTGCAGTGAGCCAAGATTGCGTCAATGCACACTCCAGCCTGGGTGACAAAGTGAGTGAGACTCTGTCTCAAAAATAAATAAATAAATAAAAAAGAAGCCTCTAGCTCAGCTCCCTGCTTTCCAGGAGGGAGAACAGCCCTGAGTGGGAATTTGATGTGCAGGAGCCACACAGCAGGTGCTGAGAGCCAGGCCACAAATACAGGGACTCCCTCCCCTCCAGCCTTCCCCCTGTGAATGGACATCACCCGGGCCGGCACCCCCGAGAAGGTGCTATGCTGCAGGTAAAGACTGCTTTGTCCTGCCAGAGCGTGGTTCCTGGAACTTGTCGCAGTCCCAGTAGTCCTTCCCCCACAGTGATCGGCTCCCTCTTGGGTTCCTGGGTGCGGGAAGGAGGTGAGGTCAGCAGTTCCAGCAGCCAGGAGAGGAGGGTGCCGCCCTGCCTGAGATGACTTCACTGTCTCCACCTCATCTTTCCCACTTTGCCTACAGTCGGAAGCTTCTTGTGAACTTTGCTTCCTTGGCAACTTTTGCTTCCTTGGAAAACCTCCAGAAGAAATACAGGGACACAGGGTCCTTTCCACATGCTGCACTCAGCAAAGATTTCTTACTCTGTGTCCAGAGAGGCTTGGGCTGCTATTCATCTGCTTCCAGCCTCTCCTGGTGCTTCCACAGTGGAGGACATAGGCCCTCCCTCCTCTTCTCTCTAGTGCCCTGGAGGGTCGAGGTCCATGCTACTCACTGGATGGGAAAAGCAAAGGTGGAGAGCCAGGCACAGTGGAGCCAGCAAGCCTGGAAACTCTCCTCTCCCTTCCATCATAGCCCTCTCGTGGTCTCTGCCTAGCGCGCAGCAGTGGCGGGTGATCGTTTGCAATATTTCCCAGCTCTTGGTAGCCTGACTGTGAAAACCCCATCTCAGTCGAGTAAGGCCCCGATTGGAACAAGGCCCTATACCCTCTAGCGCTCCGTCACTCCCCATACCCCATTTCTGCGGCTCTCCCTCCACCACCCTCTCGAGCCACCCTGAACTGCCTGCCTCCCTCACGGAGACTGAGGCTGGCCCCAGAGCATTTGTACTTGCAGTCAGCCTAGACTTTCCTTCCCAGCTTTTCTGAAATGCCACCTTCTCCGTGAGCCCTTTCTAGGCCACCTCAAATGTGAAGATGCAACCTATGCTTCACGCCTCACTCCTTTCCGTGTTTTATTTTTCTCCAACTCACATACTGTATACTTCACTTCTTATTTTAGAGTAGCAATAATCTCAGCCCCCACTAGGATGACAGCAACACAAGAACAGATGTTTTGTTGGTCTGTTTGCTCAGCACAATGCCTGGCACACAGCAGGCTCTCTACAAACATCTTTGAATATTGAAAGAATAGATGAGTGAATGCATAAATAAGAGAGTGATGAAAGCTATTTTGCCCTCCTGAGCAAGGGAAGTTCCCTCCCAGCTGCGGACATCCTGAAAAGTGCAACAGATGGACTCTTGCAGGAGAGAATGGACCAAACCATGGGTCAGGATCTTGGATGTTAAAACTACCAGGGATAGCCGGGCATGGTGGCTCACGCCTGTAATCCCAGCACTTTGGGAGGCCAAGGCAAGCGGATTGTTTGAAGCCAGGAGTTCGAGACCAGCCTGACCAACATGGTGAAACCCTGTCTCTACTAAAAACACAAAATTAGCTGGGCATGGTTGTACATGCATGTAATCCCAGGTACTCGGAAGGCTGAGGCAGGAGAATCGCTTGAACCCAAGAGGCAGAAGTTGCAATGAGCTGAGATCATGCCACTGCACTCCAGCCTGGGTGACAGAGCAAGACTCTGTATCAAAAAAAAAAACAAAAAATAAAACAAAAAAACTACCAGGGATGAGCACCACCTCCACTCCTTACCCCAAGCATACTTTAATTTTTAATATTTATTTTATTGTTATTATTTTTTGAGACAAAGTCTTGCTCTTGTCTCCCAGGCTGGAGTACAATGGTGCGATCTCGGTTCACTGCAACCTCCACCTCCCGGGTTCAGGCGATTCTCCTGTCTCAGCCTCCCGAGTAGCTGGGATTACAGGCGCCTGCCACCATGCCCGGCTAATTTTTGTATTTTTAGTAGTGACGGGGTTTTGCCATGTTGACCAGGGTGGTCTCGAACTCCTGACCTCAGGTGATCCACCTGCCTTGGCCTCCCAAAGTGCTGGGATTACAGGCATGAGCCACTGCGCCTGGCTTTATTATTATCATTTTGAGGCAGGTTCTCACCCTGTCACCCAGGCTAGAGTGCAATGGTGCCATTATGGCTCACTGAAGCCTCAACCTCTTGGGCTCACTTGATCCTCCCACCCCAGCCTCTCAAGTAGCTAGGACTATGTGCCACCACACCCAGCTATATTTTTATTTTTTAAACAGACCTCAGTCTAATTCTTTCTTTCTTTTTGTTTTGTTTTGTTTTGTTTTGTTTTGTTTTCGAGACATAGTCTTGCTCTGTTGCCCAGGCTGGAGTGCAGTGGCAGGATCTTGGCTCACTGCAAACTCCGCTTCCCGGGTGCAAGCGATTCTCCTGCCTCAGCCTCCTGAGTAGCTGGCATTACAGGCGTGCACCACCACACCTGGCTAATTTCTGTATTTTTAGTAGAGACGGGGTTTCACCATGTTGGTTAGGCTGGTCTCGAACTCCTGACCTTAGGTGATCCATCCGCCTCGGCCTCCCAAAGTGCTGGGATTATAGGTGTGCCAGGCCATTTTTTTGTATTTTCAGTAGAGATGGGGTTTCACCATATTGGCCAGGCTGGTCTCAAACTCCTGACCTCAAGTGATCCACCCGCCTTAGCCTCCCAAAGTGCTGGGATTACAGGTGTGAGCTGCCGCGCCTGGCCCCCTCTTTACACCTTTTTAATGTAATTGAGTTATAAGTTAGATATGATAAAGGGCACACATCTGAAGTAAACACCTTGATGAATTCTTACATATCTGTCCACTTGGCTACCCACCACCCAGTTCAAGATGTGAGCCATTTCTATCACCCAGGGAGGCTCCCCAAAAGGCAACTGTCATCTTGACTTTATCATCGTAGGATTGGCTTTGCCTGTTTTAGAACTTCACCTAAATAGACCCAAACAGCGTGTGCTCTTCTGTATCTGGGCTTTTTTTTTTTTTTTTTTTTTTGAGGCGGGGTTCCACTTTGTCATCCAGCGTGGAGTACAGTGGCACAAACGTGGCTCACTGTAGCCTTAACCTCCTGGCCTCAAGCAATTCTACTGCCTCAGCCCCCACAAGTAGTTGGGACTACAGGCACACACCACTACACCTGGCTAATGATTTTTTGAGATGGAGTCTCACTCTGTTGCCTAGGCTGGAGTGCAATGACGCGATCTCGGCTCACTGCAACTCGCCTCCCAGGTTCAAGCAATTCTTCTGCCTCAGCCTCCCTAGTAGCTGGGATTACAGGCGCCCGCTACCACGTTTGGCTATTTTTTGTATTTTTAGTAGAGGGTTTAGTAGAGGGTTTAGTTTAGGGTTTTGCCATGTTGGCCAGGCTGGTCTCGAGCTCCTGACCTCAGGTGATTTGCCCCCCTCAGCCTCCGAAAGTGCTGGGGTTACTGGCATGAGCCACCGCACCCGTCCATGCCACATGCCCAGCCCACACCTGGCTAATTTTTTATACTTTTTGCAGAGACAGGGTTTTACCATCTTTCGCAGTCTGGTCTCAAACTCCTCAGCTCAAGCAATTCTCCTGCCTAAGCATCCCAAAGTGCTGGGATTACAGGCATGTAAACCTCGCAGCATAGGGTCTGGCTTTGTTCTGCCTAACATTGTGTCTGTGAGGTTTACCCACATTGTTGTGTATCACAGTAGTTTGTTCTTTTTTATTCCTGTATAGTAGTCCTCTTCACTTTTTTTTTTTTTTTTTCGAGACAGAATCTCATTCTGTCCCCCAGGCTGGAGTGCAGTGGCGCGATCTCGGCTCACTGCAACCTCTGCTTCCCAGGTTCAAGTGATTCTCCCACCTCAGTCTCCCGAGTAGCTGGGATTACAGGCGTGCACCACCACACCTAGCTAATTTTTTGTATTTTTGGAAGAGATGGGGTTTCACCATGTAGGCTAGGCTGGTCTCGAACTCCTGAGCTCAAGTGACCCACCTGCCTCAGCCTCCTCTTCACATCTTGAGTGTACAGTTGTATGATCTGGACCAGTTCTTTCATCTGGCCTAATAGAGGACACAGTGAACCCTGCCCTTCTACTTGCTCTTAGGTCTCTTGCTTTATTTACATGGACACACAAGCTAGAGAGACACTTGGTTGCTGTGCTTCAGCCTTGGGGACCTCATAGTAGCCCACAGCAGACCGGCATCATGGACAAGTGCTTTGGCCCTAGAATCAGGTCTGTGTTCACATTGCTCGTCTGCCACTTCTTGGCTTGGTGATCTTCAGCAAGTCACTAAGCCTTCATTTCTTTTCTTCATCTATAAAATGCAGATGTAATTATACTACTGACCACATGGCATTGCTGCAAAGGTTTAATACAATGAGCCATGTCCAGCCTGGCTGTGTCTAAAAATACAAAAATTAGCAAGACTGGGTGGTGCACACCTGTAGTTCCAGCTACTCAGGAGGCTGAAGTGGGGATAGCTTGAGCCCAGGAATAATTTGAGACTGCAGTGAGCTATGATTGCACCACTGCCTTCCAGCCTGGGTGACAGAGCAAGACCCTGTCTTAAAAAAAAAAAAAAAAAGAGAGCCATAAGTCTGGTACTCAGGCATAGACGATGCTTCGAAAAGCTAATTATTATTATGGCTTAGACCACCAGACACTCCTCCAAAACTGGAGTTCCAGGATCTTTGCCCAACAGGCTGATCCACAGCTATTTCTTGGCCACCTCTCCCCATGCATCTACCAGGCTCCCTGCTCAAGCCTCCGTTTTTGCAACTTTCAGAACTCTTTTATTTTTTATTTTTATTTATTTATTTTTTGGAGATGGAGTTTCACTCTTGTTGCCCAGGCTGGAGTGCAATGGTGCGATCTCTGCTCACCACAACCTCCAGCTCCTGGATTCAAGCAATTCTCCTGCCTCAGCCCCCCGAGTAGCTGGGATTGCAGGCATGCACCACCATGCCCAGCTAATTTTGTATTTTTAGTAGACACAGGGTTTCTCCATGTAGGTCAGGCTGGTCTTGAACCCCCGACCTCAGGTGATCCGCCCACCTCGGCCTCCTAAAGTGCTGAGATTACAGGTGTAAGCCACCGCGTCCGGCCTCAAAACACTTTTATAAAAGGGCACAGGGGAACAACCGAAACCCAGAAGAAATGCAAGGAAGCACACATATATCAGTATCATTTTACAAGCTCCATAATTGAAGCTTTGTATCATCGTCGGGTCAGATTCATTATCAAGGCTTTCATTCAGGACTTTGAACTTGAGCCTCACTCACAAAGTGCTGAGTGAGGAAGCAGTTTTAAGTGCGGAAGGCAGGCAGCAATTTGAGATTCAATCTGGTCTCCCAGATGAGAAGCCTGTGCCACCTCCCGCCCACGCACAGAGGTCTGTTGCCTCCCAGCAAGAGAGCCGCCATCCCCACCAACGCGACCACTCACAAGACACAGCCCCACCGAGGGGAGCATCCCGACATCACCCCATGACTCAGCCTCCTGGGACTACTAGCCTAGCATGATGACGTGGTGCATGAAGTGCCTGTATCAAGGAGAGCCTTGGGAGCACATCAGTCACCCGACTCACCACCAGCAATGACTGTCACTTCCCCTACAAGCTTCGCTAAGGATTTACAACAGCAGCGATAGGATCTGACACAGGTGGACAGCTGCGCGGTTTCTCAGTCACGCACCCAGTGGGACTCAGAGCATCTTCAGGAAGCACTGCTGTCTTCGTCGTGTGATATGAGAGCTTAGATCCATCAGTGAGCGTGCTGAGCCCCTTCCAACCTGATCTCCCTCCCACGCCCCCAAGTTCCTCCTTACTGTGAAATTCTGGAGCCACTGCTGGTCACATTTCAGGGATTTGTGGGGCACTTGCACTACCCTGGGATGGCCACCCCATAGGACCCAGTGCAGCACACTGGCAGCCACTGTGCAGAGAAATAATAACAATATGATAATAAAGAACATTCACTGAGTGATGACTTTGTGCCTGGCACAGCATGCGTTAGCTCATTTCATCCATTTGACAATCCTGTGAGGCGGTGTTATGGCTTGAACATCTCCCTGCCCTAAAAGATGCAGGAGTTGGCCGGGTGTGATGGCTCATGTCTGTAACCCCAGCACTTTTGGAGGTCGAGGCGAGTGGATCACAAGGTCAGGAGTTCAAGACCAGCCTGGCCAAGATGGTGAAACCCTGTCTGTACTAAAAATACAAAAAATTAGCCAGGCGTGGTGGCAGGCACCTGTAATCCCAGCTACTCAGGAGGCTGAGGCAGAGAATTGCTTGAACCTGGGAGGCGGAGATTGCAGTGAGCCAAGATCGTGCCACTGCACTCCAGGCTGGGCAACAGAGCAAGACTCCGTCTCAAAAAAAAAAAAAAAAAAAAAAAAGATGCAGAAGTCCTAACCCCAGTACTTGTGAATGTAACCTTATTTTGGAAATAGGGTCTTTGCAGATGATCAAGTTAAGTTGAGGTCATTAGGGCCCTGATCCAGCATGACTGTTGTCCTTATAAAAAGAGAAATTTGGACACAGAGGCACACACAGGCAAGAACCATGTGAGTGTGAAAGCAGAGGTCTGGTTAATACGTGCATAAGTCAAGGAACATCAAAGACTGCGAGAAAAGCAGCAGAAGCTAGGAGAGGTCTCGAACAGAGACTTCCTCACAGCCTTAGAAAGACTCAGCCCTACTAATACCTTGATCTGGGCCTGCCAGCCTCCAGAAATGAGAGGCAATATATTTCTGTAGTTAAAGCCACCCAGTTTGTGTTACTTTGCTATGTATGATAGCCCTAGCGAACTACTACAGGCGGGTGTTATTATTACCCACAGTTTACAGGCAAGGAAGCTGAAGCTTGACTCTGTCCTGGCTGTAGAGAGAGTCCGATGATGGAAGCCCTGAAGTGGACAGGAAGTTCAGGAGGGGCTGTTTGTTCCACCAGCTCCCGCTTGGTTGTGGTCATTTTTTTTTTCTTTTTATACAGACAGGGTCTCGCCATGTTGCCCAGGCTGGTCCTAAACCCTTTGGCTCGAGTGATCCTCCTGGTTTGGCCTGGCTGTGGGCTTTTACTCCCACTGCAGCAATAGGGAGTTTTGCAGTCTGAAGCTCAGCCTGGTGGCTTCTCCCTGCCCCCCTCCAGTCCTTGAAGGCCCAAAAAAGGAAGGGCTGAGTCAGTAGTTGGGGAAAGGAGCCATAAACAGACACAGGGCAAAGGCTGCCGAGCAGGCTGCTGGGATGAAGGGCGGGGGCTGATTCCCAGGGGTGAGGGTCTGGCTGGAAGATGGTGGCAGCACCAGATTGGCCTGTGCTGGAAGGGCCTGCAAGTGGTGGCTTCCTTCCCTCTTGGGCTCTCTCAACCTCAAAGTCCTGAATGGGCCTTGGATGGAGTTGGGGACCCTGCTAGGGGCACAGAGAAGAACAGCATGGGCACAGCCAGGGCAGGAAAGCATAGCCATTGGTGGAGGGCGTGAAGACGGGTGGACAGAGAGCAAGGGCTCTGGACTTGGGTGTACCTGGGTTCAAACCCTGTTTTCTTTACTCACCAGCTTGCTGAATTTGGTTTGCCCTCCCTTGGCCTCAGTCTCCCCATATGTAAAATGTGTGGTACTGACATAAAAACAGACATGCGGCCTGGCACCATGGCTCACTCCTGTAATTCCAGCACTTTGGGAGGCTGAGGTGGGAGGATCTCTTGAGCCCAGAAGTTTGAGACCAGCCTAGGCAACATAGTGAGAACTTGTCTGTACAAAAAATAATTAGCCAGGTATGCTGGTGTATACCAATGGTCCCAGCTACTTGGGAGGCTGAGGAGGGTGGATCACTTGAGCTCAGGAGTTCAAGACCAGGCTAGGCGACATGGTGAAACCTTGTCTCTACCAAAAATACAAAAAATAAAAAATAAAAAATTAGCCTGGTGTGGTGGCCTGCGCCTGTGACCCCAGCTACTTGGGAGGCTGACGTGGGAGGATCACTTGACCCCAGGAGGTGGAGGTTGCAGTGAGCTGAGATCACACCACTGCATTTCAGCCTGGGTGACAGGAGTTGAGACCCCCTCTCAAAAAAGACAGACATGTAAGGCGGGACACAGTGGCTCACTCCTGTAATCCCAGCACTATAGGAGGTCGAGATGGATGGATCACTTGAGCCCAGGGGTTCGAGACCAGGCTGGGCAACATGGCAAAACCCTGTCACTACTGAAAATACAAAAAATTAGCCAGGTGTGGGGGTACATGCCTGTGGTCCCAGCTACTCGAGAGGCTGAGGAGGGAGGATTGCTTGAGCCCAGGAGGTAAAGGTTGCAGTGAGCAGAGATCATACCACTGTGCTCCAGGCTGGATGACAGAGTGAGGCCCTGTTTCAAAAAGGGAAAGAAAGCCAGGCGCGGTGGCTCACGCCTGTAATCCCAGCACTTTGGGAGGCCGAGGCGGGCGGATCACGAGATCAGGAGATTGAGACCATCCTGGCTAACACAGTGAAATCCTGTCTCTACTAAAAATAGAAAAAATTAGCTGGGCATGGTGGCAGGCGCCTGTAGTCCCAGCTACTCAGGAAGCTGAGGCAGGAGAATGGCGTGGACCCAGGAGGTGGAGCTTGCAGTGAGCCGAGATCGTGCCACTGCACTCCAGCCTGGGCGACAGAGCGACACTCCGTCTCAAAAAAAAAAAAGGGAAAGAAAAAACCCCAAAACAACAACAACAAAAAACCAGACACATAGACCAGTGGAATAGAATCTATTTACATACATTTACAGCCAACTCATTTTCCACAAAGGTGCCAAGAACAAACACTGGGGAAGGGTCAGCCCATTCAATAAATGATGCCGGGAAAACTAGATATCCACATGCAGAAGACTGAAACTAGGCCCCTCTCACTCACCATACACAAAAAATCAAATCAAAACGGTTTAAAGACTTAAATGTAAGATCTGAAACTATGAAACTACTAGAAGAAAGCATTGGGGAAATGCTTCAGGAGATTGGTCTGAGCAAAGATTTTTTGAGTAAGACCTCAAATGCATGGGCAACAAAAGTAAAAATAGACAAATGGGGTTATATCAAGCTAAACATTTTCTCACAGCAAAGGAAACAATCAACAAAGGGAAGTGACACCTACGGAACAGGAGAAAATATCTGCAAACTGTGCATCCAACAAGGGATTGATAAGCAGAATATACAAGGAGCTCAAACAACTTAATAGCACGAAAACATAGAATCTGATGAAAAAATGGGCAAAACATCTGAATAGACATTTCTCAAAAGAAGACATACAAATGACAAACAGGTATATGAGAAAATGCTCAATAACACTAGGGAAATGCAAATCAAAACCACAATGAAATATTATCTCACCCCAGTTAAAATGGTAAAATGGCCTTTATTAAAAAGAAAATAGCAGGCTGGTAGCAGAGGCTCACACCTGTAATCCTAGCACTTTGGGAGGCTGAGGCGGGTGGTTCACTTGAGCTCAGAAGTTTGAGACCAGCCTGGGCAACGTGGTGAAACCTCATCTCTATCAAAAATACAAAAAATTAGCGCATACTTGTAATCCCAGCTACTTGGGAGGCTGAAGCAGGAGAATCGCTTGAACCCGGGAGGCAGAGGTTGCGGTGAGCCAAGATCGCGCCATTGCACTCTAGCCTGGGGAACAAGAGTGAAACTCTGTCTCCAAAAAAAAAAAAAAAGAAGAAGAAAAGAAAGAAAGAAAATAACAGGCCAGGTGTCGCGGCTCACGCCTGTAATCCCAGCATTTTGGGAGGCCAAGGTGGGTAGATCACTTGGGCTCAAGAGTTTGAGACCAGCCTGGCCAACATGGTGAAACCCCATCTCTACTAAAATACAAAAATTAGCCGGGTGTGGTGGTGGGTGCCTGTAATCCCAGTGACTCAGGAGGCTGAGGCACAAGAATCGCTTGAACCTGGGAGTTGGATGTTGCAGTGAGCAGAGATTGTGCCACTGCACTCTAGCCTGGGTGACAGAGCGAGACTCTGTCTTAAAAAAAAAAAAAAGAAAGAAAGAAAGAAAATAACAGAAGCTAGCGAGGATGTGGAGAAAGGGGAAGTGCTTTTACACTGTTGGTGGGAATGTAAATTATTATTATTTTGAAACAGAGTCTCGCTCTGTCACCCAGGCTGGAGTACAGTGGTGTGATCTCGGCTCACTGCAACCTCCGCCTCCTGAGTTCCAGAGATTCTCCTGCCTCAGCCTCCCAACTAGCTGGGATTACAGGCATGTGCCACAACACCTGGCTAATTTTTGTATTTTTAGTAGAGCGGGTTTCACCATATTGGCCAGGCTGGTCTCAAACTCCTGACCTCAGGTGATCTGCCCACCTCGACCTCCCAAAGTGCTGGGATTGCAGGCGTGAGCCACCACGCCTGGCCAGGAATGTAAATTAATACAGACACTGTGGAAAACAGTATGGACAGTCCTCAAAAAACTAAAAATAGAACTACCATGTGATCCAGCAGTTCCACTACTGGGTATACAACCAAAATAAAAGAAATCAGTATATTGAAGAGATACCTGCACTCTGGCATTTATTGCAGTACTATTCACAATAGCCAAAATATGGAATCAACTTTAGTGCCAATCAATGGATAAACAGATAAATGAAATATGGTATATACATATGATGGAATATTATTCAGCCATAAAAATTAAGAAAAGCCTGTCATTTGCAGCAACATGGATGGAACTGGAGAACATTATGTTAAGGGAACATAATGCCAGGCACAGAAAGACAAACATTGCATGTTCTTACCCATATGTGGGAGCTAAAAAAATTGATCTCATGAAGGTAGAGAGTGGAATGGTGATTACCAGAGACAGCCTCCCAAAGCACTGGGATTAAAGGCATGACCAACTGCTCAGTATTAATGATGGATAGTGCTCTGTCTAGGTCCCAGAGTGAGTCTAGCTCCCAGGTATGGACACATCATGAACAGATAGCACAAGAGAATTAAGCCTATGTTGCTTTAGGCTGCTGAGATCTGGGGATAGTTTGTTACTGCAGCACTGCTTAGTTTATCTTGACTGATACAATGCTTCATAAGTTTGGATCTTCTTGGTGCAGGAGTAATGTACACAAGAATAGACGACCACAACAGACTCCAAGAACTGACCTGATCTTCACTGGGAATTCCCCAAATCAAGGATTATGCTAGATCTCTCAGGCTGAAGACCCTAGCTCCACTGGGAAGGAAGAGTTGGAGGAAGAGGGAGATAAATAGAGGTTAGTTAATGGGTACAAAAATACAATTAGATAGAAGGAGTAAGCTCTAGTGTTCCACAGCACAGTAGAGCCACTATAATTAAAAAGAATTTGGCCAGGTGCAGTGGCTCACGCCTGCAATCCCAACACTTTGGGAGGCCGAGGTGGGCAGATCACCTGAGGTCAGGAGTTTGAGACCAGCCTGGCCAACATGGTGAAACCCGTCTCTACTAAAAATACAAAAAATTAGACGAGACGGGTGTAGTGACAGGCACGTGTAATGCCAGCTACTTGGGAGGCTGAGGCAGGAGAATCGCTTGAACCTGGGAGGCAGAGGTTGCAGTGAGCCAAGATTGTGTCACTACACTCCAGCCTGGGCAACAAGAGCGAAACTCCGTCTCAAAAAAAAAATATATGTATAATTATAGGCAAAAAAAATTTTTTTTTCAGACGGAGTCTCACTCTGTCACCCAGGCTGGAGTGCAGTGGTGCAATCTTGACTCACTGCAACCTCCGCCTCCCGGGTTCAAGCAATTCTCCTGCCTCAGCCTCCCGAGTAGCTGGGACTACAAGCGTGCACCACAATGCCTGGCTAATTTTTGTATTTTTAGTAGAGATGGGGTTTCATCATGTTGGCCAGGCTGGTCTCGAACTCCTGACCTCAGGTGATCCTCCCTCCTTGGCCTCTCAAAGTGCTGGGATTATAGGCGTGAGCCACCGTGCCCAGCCCAGCGGCTGTCTTTCTTCATTTGGTCTTTTCTTTTCTTTTCCTTTTCATGTTAGCAGCAGCAGAACACTTCATATGAGAGGACTCTTGGGCAGTGGCTTCTGTTCTGAGGCCCACTGGAAGCCAGCGCCATCAGGCTTGCCTCATCTCTGTGGCAAGGTTGTGCTTTTTTTTTTTTTTTTCCTCTCGCAATCTCATAGGAATTGCAGAATACCAAGAGAAAGTGGCCCTTCAGAGGGTTTTACTTTTCCTTTATTCCTGTGATTCCTCCCTGCCCTGGACACCTTGCTGGAAGCAACTTCAGAGAGCAGTAAGGCAGCTACCACCCATCAACTCTCAGAAGGCAGCCGGAAAAGGGTGGTCCAGTTGATAGTCTATCTTGAGTTGTTTAAGGAGTTATTTTCTGCCCCAGAATCACAAAGATAATCTCCATTTTACTCTTCTAACTTCGCAACTTTGCCCTCCCACTCAGATTTTTTTTTTTTTTTTTTGAGATGGAGTCTCGCTCTGTCGCCAGGCTGGAGTGCAATGGTGCTATCTTGGGTCACTGCAACTTCCACCTCTTGGGTTTAAGTGATTCTCCTGCCTCAGCCTCCTGAGTAGCTGGGAATACAGGCACACGCCACCACGCTGGGCTAATCTTTGTATTTTTAGTAGAGAAGGGGTTTCACCATGTTGGCCAGGGTGGTCTCAAACTCCTGACCTCAGGTGACCCACCCACCTCAGCCTCCCAAAGTGCTGGGATTACAGGCATGAGCCACCGTGCCCGGCCTCCTACTCAGATCTTTAACCTCTCTGGAGTTTGCCTTTGTGTGGATTAGGTTCAGCCCTCAGGTAGCAAATGAGTTGCCATAGCACCAGCTCCTAAACACTCATGTTTCTTTTTCTTTTTCTTTCTTTCTTTCTTTTTTCTTTTTTTTTTTTCTGAGACAGAGTCTGACTCTGTTGCCCAGGCTGGAGTGTAGTGGTGCAATCTCAGTTTACTGCAACCTCTGCCTCCTGGGTTCAAGCAATTCTCCTGCCTCAGCCTCCCGAGTAGCTGGGATTACAGGCATGCACCACCACGCCTAGCTAATTTTTGTATTTTTAGTAGAGATGGGGTTTTGCCATGTTGGCCAGGCTGGTCTTGAACTCCTGACCTCAGGTGATCCACCTGCCTCGGCCTCCCAAAGGGCTGGGATTTTAGGCATCCCACCACGCCCGGCCAACAGTCACGTTTCTAATAGGCAGAGTGTCTTCCTCTGGCCTGGTGGCTTTGGGCTTGTGTCTGGAATCTGCTGACCAGCAGCTTTCTAAGTCCCCGCCTCAATTTGTAGCTCTGAGAAACAGCCACATGGAGCGGAGAGATCATAGATGTGAATGAAACTGCTCTGTAAATCAGAAGAGGTGCGAGGAGGCTGTGGGTAGATGCTGATGAGGCCAAGCAGGCTCCTGGGAAACAGAGGCAGCACCCAGAGAGCAGAGGCAGCCTGGGAGCCCTGCCCTCCTCTCAGCTCTGTCCCTGCCCCCAGTGACCACCTTGGGAGGTGATACCTCATGTGTGGGAGGGCAGGGCCTCTGTCTCTTCTCAAAGGTGTAACCCAGTGCCAGGGCTATGAGGATGCCCAGGGCTCTGAATAGCTACTTATCTGCCCACTTGATGTGGAGCAAAGCCCTTCTGGGTGCCAGAAAGATGGGGGTTTCCAGGACTCATTGTTCCTGTGTTTTGGCTTATTCCTTAGATGGGGTGTGGTAGGAGAGGCTGGACTCGACAGAAGACCTGGGCCCTGCTCCTCGCTCATCCAGGACTTGAACGGGACCCTTTGCCTCTCTAGGCTTCAGTCCCCCCATGTATAAACTAAGATATTATTTCTGTCCAGTGGTAAAATTCTGAACTCTCTTTCCCACCTCAAATTACAAGAGGTATTTATTGAGTGATTTCTGGGTATGGTGGGGGGAAGCCTCCATACACTTTGTTTGTTTTCTGAGATGAGGGCCTGGCTATGTTGCCCAGGCTGGATTTGAACTCCCAGGCTCAAGTGATCCTTTTGCCTCAGCCTCCTGAATAGCTGGGACTACAGGCACCTGCCACCACACCAAACAACCACTATACACTTTTATCAATTTAGTCCTTACACCTCTAAGAGGTAGCTACTATTGGCAAGTGACAAAGATGGAATTTATGCTTTTGTAGTTTTAAGAATGCATTAGCCAGGTGCAGTGGCTCGCATTTGTAATCCCAGCCCTTTGGGAGGCCGAGGCGGGTGGATCACAAGGTCAGGAGTTCGAGACCAGCCTGGTCAACATGGTGAAACCCCGTCTCTACTAAAAATACAAAAATTAGCCGGGCGTGGTGGCGCATGCCTGTAATCCTAGCTGCTTAGGAGGCTGAGGCAGGAGAATTGCTTGAACCTGGGAGGTGGAGGTTGCAGGGAGCTGAGATCACGCCACTGCACTCCAGCCTGGGCGACAGAGTGAGACTCTGTCTTAGAGAAAAAAAAAAAGAATGCATTGCCCCAGCCCTGTGAGGCCCCCCAGGTCATGGGTCCCTGGCAGTTGACACCTCCTCCACTCCGCTGCCTGATGCCGTGTGCTTACCTGGCCAGTGTCTTCCACCTGCCACCAGGCCCTCCTGAGACCCTCTGATACACTCAGGTGTGGGCTTTACTGAAGGCCTGCCCAGCCTGGGGGATGTGTGTCTGGTGCCGGGACCCTGGCTCGCCAAGCCCTGCACTGGTCAGTCTCTAAGGCAGGTTTCCCAGTCCACAGATATGCTTGTCAGCCTCTGGTGGCTGCTTGGCTTACATTCTGATTTATTGAAAATGCTAGGCTGGGTGTGGTGGCTCACGCCTGTAATCCCAGCACTTTGGGAGGTTGAGGTGGGTTGACTGCTTAAGCCCAGGAGTCCAAGACCAGCCTGGACAGCATAGCAAAAGCCCATCTCTACTAAAAATACACAAAAATTAGCCAGACATGATGGCATGTGCCTGTGGTCACAGCTACCCAGGAGGCTGAGGTGGGAGGATCACCTGAGCCCTGGGAGGTCGAGGGTGCAGTCAGCTGTGATCACACCACTGCACTCCAGCCTGGGTGACAGGGTGACAGAGCAAGACTCTGTCTCGAGGAAAAAAAAAAAAAAGAAGAAGAAAAAGAAAAATGGAAAAATCTGGCAGTACCAGGCCTGTGTTTGCTCATGGAAAAATTCAGTGGGAACTGCAGGCCCTTGGCCTGACTTAGCCCTGTGCTCCTTCTCAGAGCGCCTCTTATCTGCAGTCCCCTTGCCTCATCTCTGTTCTCATTTCTGTTATCTGCCCGCTTCCAGAGGTGGGTGATTTTTTTTACTCCTATGTAGTCTGTATGTCAAAATCAGTCAAATAATTCAAGGGAAGCTCTGCTCACTATGTCCTGCTCTTGTTGATTGACCACTTGAACACATCGTGGCTCTGAGAAGTCCCTTCCTTCCTTCCTTCTTTCCTTCCTTTTTTCCTCCCTTCCTTCCTGCCTCCTTCCTTCCTTCCTTCGTTTCTTTCTTTCCTTCTTTCTCCTTCTTTTCTTTCCCTCTCTCTTTCTTTCTTCTTTTGTTCTTTCTCTCTCTCTCTTTCTTTCTCCTTCCTTCATTTTACCTCTCACCCCCCAACTCTCTCTTTCTTTCTTAAATGGGGTCTTATTCTGTCACCCAGGCTGGAGTACAGTGGTGTGATCACAACTTACTGGAGTCTTGAACTCCTCCTGGGTGATCCTCCTGAGTTGGCCTCTTGCCTCCTTCTCCTGAATAGCTGGGACTACTGGCACATGCCACCATGCCCAGTTCCCTGCTGTTTCTTAAAGCATAGTTGTCCCCATTCGATACAGTGGGTGCCTCCCCAGGGCTGATGCTTTGGTACCTTCTCAGAGCACTGATCAGGTCTCAGTTAGGTGGTGAGGAGTCCCTCTGTGATGTGGGAGAAGCTGCCTGTTCGACTCACAGAAGAGACAGAGATGAAAGGAGATCAAGTGACCAACTTCAAACTCTAAGCCAGTGAGTCAGTGTTCAACCCCAAGCCTTGCCCTTGGCTCAGGCGTCCCCTCACCATATCCTGAGGGTTATACGTAATTAGAACCTGTCCCTGAGGACACTGACCACTGGTTACAGATCCTCCCCGGCTGCGTGTTCTGCTCAGGTGGGGAACGCTGACTCACACCCAGGCCACGCCAGTGGCCAAAACAACCTAGAGATCATTCCCTCGGCCTAGGTCTTTCATGTCAGCTGGAGTAGCTTGGCAGCGGCTTCTGGAGTGCGCTGTTGAGAGCGATTCTGCATCTGTGCTCAGTGAAGGGGAGGGAGTACTACTGTCGACTGGTGATGCTGGCTGTGGGCTGGGAAGCAAGCAGTGGGGGCCTGTGTCTTGAATTGACATCCTGGATCTAGCCTGTGGGTCAGAGGCCCTTCATGGGGTTGAGGGGAGCTCATGAGAGAAAACTGGGCTCTACAGTTTTTGTAAAGGGAGCTGAAGCATGAAGGAGACAGTTGAAGGCATGACCCTCAGGCTACACACAGGCCAAGCCAGCCTCAGTGTGCCTACCAGTCCCATAGCCCCATTCTCAGAGGCTGCCAGGCTGGTGCCACAGAGCCCACCCCGCCCCCCGACCTCCAGCTACAGCTGATTGGACGTGGGTGGGAACCCCATCTATAGGCTGATTCACCAGGCTTTGAGGCAGCCTGGTGGGAAATTAACTGGACAAGTAGATCCTCTTTTCGGGAATGTGAATTCAAGGCAAAGAGTGGAACAGTTGGCAGCAAGAACTGAAGCTGTAAGATGAAAATGGAGAGAGTGAGGAGAGAGGCTGAGTGCGGGTAATGATACACCCTAGAGTGATGAGGCTCCCACCCCAGTTCCTGAAGCTGACATGACCAGCTCCCTGGAGTCACCTTGCGTGAGGGTGTGGGAGGCAAGAAATATAGGCTAGTTTACCAATAATTGTTTCCCCATTACCCATTGAATCTGTTTCTTTTTGTAAAAAAAATCCTTATTTATTTATTTACTTTTTAGTTTTTATTATTATATTTTTTGAGACAGAGTCTCACTCTGTCATCCAGGCTGGAGTGCAATGGCAAGATCTCGGCTCACTGCAATCTCCACCTCCCGGGTTCAAGCAATTCTCTTGCCTTAGCCTCCCAAGTAGCTGGGATTACAGGCGCCCACCACCATGCCTGGCTAATTTTTGTATTTTTAGTAGAGATGGCCTCTCACCATGTTGGCCAGGCTGGTCTTGAGCTCCTGGCCTCAAGTGATCCACCTGCCTTGGCCTCCCAAAGTGCTGGGATAACAGGCATGAACCACTGCCCCCAGGCCTATTTATTTATTTATTTATTTATTTATTTATTTATTTATTTATTTTTTGAGACGGAGTCTTGCTCTGTCACCCAGGCTGGAGTGCAGTGGCACGATCTCGGCTCACTGCAACCTCTGCCTCCCAGGTTTAAGCGATTCTCCTGCCTTGCCTCAGCCTCCCGAGTAGCTGGGACTACAGGCTCGTGCCACCACGCCTGGCTAATTTTTTGTATTTTTAGTAGAGACAGGGTTTCACCATGTTCGCCAGGATGTTCTCGATCTTTGGACCTCATGATCTGCCTGCCTCAGCCTCCCAAAGAGCTGAGATTATAGGCGTGAGCCACTGCACCCAGCCTTATTTACTTTTTTAAAGACAAGTTCTCACTATGTCGCCCAGGCTGGAGTACGGTGGTGAAATCGCAGCTGATTACAGCCCTTGAACTCCTGGGCTTAAGTGATCCTCCTGCCTCAGCCTCCCAAGTAGCTAGGACTATGGTCTTGTGCCACCACACCCAGCTAAATTTACTTATTGTAGAGACAGGGGTTTTGCTCTTTTGCCTAGGCTGGTCTCAAACTCCTGGGCTCAAGGGATCCTCCTGACTCAGCCTCCCAAATAGCTAGGAATACAGGTTTGAGTCACAGCACCTGGCCACTTGAATCTATTTCTGGCCAAAGAGATTTTTCCTGTGCCGAGGGCTGGGGCCTGCTCTCTAGACCTACTGGGCCTCAGCTTCCAAGTGGGGACGGCAAGTCCGCCCTGGCTCCCTGTGAGATCATGGAGTGGGCTCCCTCCTGTGACAGCTGACTTCAGTTAGAACTCATGCTGGGGGCATTTCCTGGGCCACGGAGGGCCAGGGACCAGCCACTGTGGTAGAGCATGGCATCTTCCCTGTGACACCTGTCTTCAGGTGCCAGGTCTAGGAACAGGTCTTAGTCTTGGGGGTAGGACTTTGACCTTAAGAAAACACGTACATTTCTCACAGCTGCAGTCTGGTTTGCCTTTTCATTACTTCAATAAATATTGACAGTGAATAGATAAAAGCCTGGGCTTGGGAGCCAGGCCACCCGGATATGAATCCTAGCAGTGGTGTGACCTTGGATAAGTTATATGAGCTCTCTGTGCCTCAGTTTCCTCAGCTGTAAAATGGGGGTAGTAATGGCTCCTCATGGGGTCACTGGGAGGGATAAATGTGAACACTTACAACAGTGCGGGGCACTTAGTTTGTCCTGCTAAGTGTCAGGCCTTGTGCCCTGTGCCAGCTGCTGAGGGTGCAAAGTGGAT